>NC_000003.12:159766180-160069210 GCF_000001405.40 Homo sapiens
GGCAGGTGGGAAAATGCTTGCCTTGCGGGTGTAATTTTTGCGACACCAGGACCCCGGGGCTCCTGAAAATTGGGTGCATGCACTTCTGACTTCAGGGGTGAGGATGGTAACTGTGTTTCACAGAGAAATTGCCATGGTTCTATCAGAGAGCGCCCTTGGCTGACAGAGCCTGCTGGTTAGTTTCCCTTGGGAAACTACTTAATAAATTAGCATACTCATTTTAATTCCAGCTGTTTAGGAGTTTACCATGGCCATTAACAGACGTGGAATCTTTCCATTACAGTCAATACTATCTCTTATACCTTGCAATAGAAAATATCCTTTTCCCACTTTGTGCTTGAGAAAAATACCTCATTAATACCTGGGCTTGAACAATGAGTGGGAAATAAGCAGGAGGTTAGTTTGCTATTGCGTGACATTTATACATTCCAGGAAAATTTAGTACTTGGGTATACATGCAAAGTTAGGGTTTGATGGTGACAATGAGCTCCATTATTCAAAAGTTGTGGAACAAATTGTTTTTGAGCACCCATGTATGTGCTGTGTGCCAGGGATGGTTCTGAGTGCTGTAGTTACACATCAGTCCACATGGGGCTGAAATTCTGGTGAGGGAAGGGTAGGGATACAGACTGCCTTCCCTCCAGGAACTTAAAATTTGATGGCTTACCTAGCACCACCTCATACCCCCACCCCCAACGCATCTTCTGGTTATTGTGAAGACTATGAATCTTTCCTTCTTGGGCAGTCTTTGAAACCAATGGTGTATCCTCACCTAGTGAACAGTTTGCATATTTGCATATTTGGGTTTCTTTCCTTCACTTCCAGCTTTCCTGGAAATGCCCCTTCTGGTCATTTCCTCTACAAGTTACACAGAGAAATTTAGATTTCATTGTGTCAAAGCAAGGATGTATACAGAAAAAAGGGAGAAGGAGGTAGCATTTGAGGTTAATGGTGGATTTTTTCATGTTTTGGTTTGTGTTTGAACAAAATTACTAGTCAGTGTTGGTTTAGAATACTGTTTTTCAAACAGTAAGTTTCCCATGAAATCACCTTAGCATTTAAAAAAATGAAATAAAATAGAATGTATGATAGTGTATTGCAGGGAGTCATAGTAAAGTTGGTAATTTTTAAAACTTTAGTTTTATATGTATGGTGGGTTGCAACATAAAGTTTACTTCTCACTATGGGTCGCTGTTATAAAAGATTGAAAAGCACTGATTTAAATCCTGTTTAGTGCTGCCTGGAGTACGTAAGGGAATTTATGACCATGAGGACAGAAACCGGAGAAGAACAAAGGAGCCGTGTGGAAGAGAAGGCCTGCCTTGAAGGAACTGTTCAAATCCAATGATATTTTACTCCTCTTTAAAATGTCTTGTATGAATATATTTAAGTGGCATTAATACACACCACTAGGAATGGGGTATACAATGAAAAGGGGATAGCTTCTCTTCACCAAGTAAGCCTATTCCTACTTCAGGGCTTTTGCCCTTCTGTAACCTCTGCTTGGAAGCAAGTGTCTGGTTCCTTCTCATCATTCCAGACTCAGTTCAACTCTCACCAGCTCAGAGAAGCTGTCCCCCACCACCCTTCCTAAAGTAAAGTAACAGCACTGCACCCCAACTCCAGCACTCCTGGTGTATTGTTTTCTTAGTGCTTGTCACTATCTGACATTATCTTATTTAGTCCTCTATTTTTGGTCCCTCTGAAATGTAGGCGGGAGTTCTTGCCTGTTTTTTAACTCTATAACCTATTGCCTGGAACATGCCTGGGATGGAGTAGGTTCTCAAATATTGAATGAATGAATGAATGAATGTTTATGACAACAACACAACCCATACCTAATCCAACTCCCATTTTACAGTTGAGAAAATTGAAGCCCAGAGAGGTTAAGTGATTTGCCTCAGACCCAGTGAGAAACTTATGAACAGGGTTTTGTTCTTTCTTGTGACACCAGACTAGTTCCCCGCCCCCTTTTTTAATGCTTAAAATAATTTGAAATAAAAGGAAAGGAAGGAGCTCCCACCTCCCTGAAACTTAAAGGGTTTCCTATTGACAAGTCTCTTATTGCACTTCCTTAGAATTAAGGACATAAGTAAACTGGGAAATCATCAAAACCCCCTTACTTATGAGTCTTCTTTTGTAGACAGGGTTTTGTATTGTTTTGTTTCAATGACATACTATTGGGTTCTGCAGAGCAGGGTAGTGACAGAATCCATGTCTCCTCACTCCACATCCAGTGCTCTTTCCTTCCTCTTAGTTGTGGTGATGCACGCAGAAGGATGACTGAGGTCTCAAAAATGGGATGACAATCAGCTATCCCTAATTCAGATAAGATTGAGAGGCAAATTTAAAAATGCACAATGTTTAGGTGGGATTTAAAACCTAGCACTGACCTTCACTTTGCGATGGGTTTAGAAAACTAATCTCTCTCTTGGTATCTGTGGAGGATGATGAGCTTGGATGCTGTCAGGAACTATCTTTGGTGTCACAGCATGGAAGGGCCTGGGGAGTCCTGATGGAAACACTCTAGTGACTGGATCCTTGCTCCATCTCAGAGCTGGGGGCTCAAGACAGACCTCCAGCACCTGGTCCAGCCCTCCACTGTGATGTCATCACCTGGGACAGCCATATCCCCAGTAGTTCGCATTGTGCCTGGCACAAATAAATGCTTGAAACATGCAGAGAGGGTGAGGGGCTCTACCCAAAAACCAGAACTACTCCCAGAAGTGCCCCTTCCATGGGCAGCCCCTGCTCATCTGGTGTCAGTGTGCTTCTCACAGTCCTGCCCTGGGCTTGTATTCCGTCTTGTGCGTGAACACTCTTAATAAATTCAAGGGCCATAGATGGAGTAAAGAAAGGTTCTGGGGTTGGTGCCTTTGATGTCAGATTAGGAGTCCTGCTTGCAGAAGTTCATGTTTCTCTTAAATTCTTATCTTCTTGCCTACTCTAACTCTGGTGCACAGGACTGGACAGTTTTCCCTCTTATGAGAGCGGGCCACAAACAGTCGGCTTTCTCTCTTCTGCTTCTCCAGGACCTTAGTGCATCACTGTAGCCCTCTTGCTCCTGTTCAAAAGGCTCTGTGGACCTGTTGCCAAGTGGGGTGGGAGGGGGGGCACTGCCTCAGTGTACTCTTCCTCCTAAATGGAATATAATTACACATCTTTTTCTCTGTGTTTGTCCCTGAGGCTTCCTGTCCTTCATGGGACGTGTTCCTCCATGTCTAGCCTGTTCCCTGTCTCTGGAGACTCAGCCTATTTTGACGCTTTTCTTTAAAAATAGCTTTATTGGCCAGGCATGGTGGCTCAGGCCTGTAATCCCAGCACTTTGGGAGGCCAAGGCAGGCGGATCACCTGAGGTCAGGAGTTCGAGACCAGCCTGGCCAACGTGGTGAAACCCCATCTCTACTAAAAATACAAAAATTAGCCGGGCATGGTGGCGGGCGCCTGTAATCCCAGCTACTCGGGAGGCTGAGGCAGGAGAATCGCTTAAACCCAGGAGGCGGAGGTTGCAGTGAGCCAAGATCACACCATTGCACTCCAGCCTGGGTGACAAGAGTGAAGCTTCGTCTCAAAAATTAAATAAAATAAAATAAAAATAGCTTTATTAAGGTATAAGTGACATACATCAACTGTACATAGTTAAAATGTACAATTTGATGAGTTTTGACATATGTATGGCATATGTATGTGTTTTGACACACCTGTGAAACCATCATGAACATCAAGATAATGAACATATTTAGCATCCCCAAAAGTATCCTTGCACTCCTTTGTAATACCACCATCTTGTCCCTAGGCAACCAACTGATCTGATTTCTATGTTATAGATTAGTTTATGCCTTCTAAAATTAACATAAGTGGAATCACAGTATGTGTGGATTTTTGTGTGGCTTCTTTAACTCAGAAAGTGATTATTTTGAGATTCATCCATGTTATTGTATATATCAGTGGTTCGTTTGAACTCTTGCTGAGTAGTGTTCCATTTTGTGGATATACCATTTTCATCTGTTGTTATACATGTGCATTGTTTCTAGGTTTTGGCTATTACAAATAACATTGTTATGGACACATGTATACACTTTATCTATTTATTTTTGGGGTGAAGTTTTGCTCTTGTCACCCAGGCTGGAGTGCAATGATGCTATCTTGGCTCACTGCCACCTCCGCCTGCTCAGTTCAAGTGATTCTCCTGCCTCAGCCTCCTGAGTAGCTGGGATTACAGGCAGCCACCATCATGCCTGGCTAATTTTTGTATTTTTGTAGAGACGGGGTGTCACCATGTTGGTCAAGCTGATCTTGAACTCCTGACCTCAGGTAATCCGCCCACCTTCGCCTCCCAAAGTGCTGGGATTACAGGTGTGAGCCACTGTGCCGGGCCTGAATATACACTTTCATTTCTCTTGGGTAAATAACTAGAAATAAGAACGGCTTGATCACGTGGTAGGTGTATGTTTACCTGTGTAAGAAGCTGCCTGTCTTCCAAGGAAGTACTATTTTACTTTGCCATCACATGATGCTTAAATCACTGAAAGAGGTTTCCCCTTTTCCCATTGCTCTATTCCATCTGCATCCTGCTTTCCAGGACACCTCCCTTCAGGTGGCTGGGTGGCTGCTCCCTCCCTCTTAAGAGAAAACAACAAGAGAGCAAGGAGATCACTTGTCACATCCAACCAGTCTTTACTCCTGTTGTTTAAAAAAGGAAAGGAATCATTTTTAAATTAGAGAAGAGCTCTAGCTGTAGACTCAACACATTTTAAGTGCAGTTTTATTATTTTTTAGTGCCTCTGACAGGTGCATTTTCCTCATTTAATGAGAAGATAAGAACAATTTTAATTGACACGTTAATTGAAAGCAAATTCTTCTGACGAAGTTATTTCCAAAGTACTTGAAAATAATGTGTCTTTTTATTTGTTTATACTATTAGCTAGTAGCACACTTTTTAAATTACCTACATTTCTTCCTAGAATGGTACTAATTATAGGTTATTTTCAATGTATTATTCTGTAAGAATTACAGCCCAGTTACTTCTTCCCCATCAATGACACACTACTAAAGTAGCTTGAATGGCTGAGTAGTTTATTTCCTTAGTTACTTGGGCTATGTTTAAATTACACAAGTGTCTGTTTTTGTAGACTGAATTAAGATGTCTTTAGTATTCCTACAAAATACAGTAAAGTTTATAAGTTTAATAAGTTGTGTGATTCTGCAGCCTGGGGCACAGCATTGAAAACATTCTGTGTGGAATGCAGCTATCACTTATTCCTGTTAGTTAGAGAGCATGACATGACAGTGTTAAAATTTTTTTTTCTTTTTACTGTAACTGGAAATTACCAGGGTGAAATGTATTCTGTGTTTCAACCTTTTACCTTGAAATATCTAGTACTATAATGAAAAGTTCTTTGCCTACTTTCCTATTTATGATGATTTTTGCTTAAGAGCTGCAAAGGCTGCTCTGTCTACTGGCATGTACTCTAGACTTCAAAGAAATATGGTTAGGTTTTTGTCTTTGTTGTTTTTTTTTTTTTTTAAATTAGGTTGCAGGCAAACCACATGTAAACAATTCTTAAAATTTTGAAAATATACCATTAGTTCTGGGGCTATCTATGTGTATATACAATTAAGTTATTATTGGATGGAGCATTGTATTTTAGAACAGTCTTTGAAAATGTAGTTTGATTAAAATAAATCTTTGCCTACCAATTAGTTTGTACATAGTGGACCTTCAAGACATCCTCAGGAAAATTTTCAGGATGCACATCTAAAAAACAGAGGCAGATATCCTCATCACACTTGAAGAGCTTCTTGAACAACTCACCACTGGCATCACCTCACCTCCCTCCATCCCTTCCTGCTCTGCCTGCATTTCCAGTTCCAGACTCCTTGCTGGCATTCCTGACAGAAATCTTACACCTGACAAAAATCAGGCCAGACTCATCAATTTCTGATTTTGGTTCCCGGCTCTTTTGGTGACATCATAACTACTTTTTTTTCAGACAGTCTCGCTCTGTCGCCCAGGCTGCAGTACAGTGGCACAATCTCGACTCGCTGCAACCCCCATCTCCCAGTTTCAAGCAATTCTCATGCCTCAGCCTCCGGAGTAGCTGGTAGTACTACAGGTGCCCACCACCATGCCCAACTAACTTTTTAGGGATGGGGTTTCTCCATGTTGGCCAGACTGGTCTCGAACTCCTGACCTCAAGTGATCCACCCGCCTTGGCCTCCCAAGTGCTGGGATTATAGGCGTGAGCCACCACGCCCGGCCCATAACTACTTTTATCTTGAATTCTCTCTTGTCTTCTTATGGGTATGTCTCTTAACAGTCCAACTATCTTAAGTCCTCCCTCCCCCTTAAACACATATTACACATTCCCTGAAGTGTAGACATTTTATATACAGTTGTTATCTGGTTGGTTAATGTATTTTGTGCCAGCCTTTCTCTTTAGTTCTTTAATTTACTCAAAGTTGCTACACTATAAACTTTCTTATTAGTGCTAAAGTAGTAATTCCAGGTCCTTTCTTAAAAGCTTATCCAAATGCTGTGATGTTGCATTTGCATTTTATTTATTTATTTATTTTTTGAGACGGAATCTTGCTCTGTCGCCTAGGCTGGAGTACAGTGGCGCAATCTCAGCTCACTGCAAACTCCGCCTCCCGGGTTCAAGTGATTCTCCTGCCTCAGCCTCCTGAGTAGCTGGGACTACAGGTGCCAGCCACCATGCCCGGCTAATTTTTGTATTTTTACTAGAGACGGGATTTCACTATGTTGGCCAGGCTAGTCTCGAACTCCTGACCTCAAGTGATCCGCCTGCCTCAGCCTCCCAAAGTGCTGGGATTACAGGCATGAGCCACTGCGCCCGGCCTACATTTGCACTTTAAAATAGAAATTTGTTTTTATTTCTGGACCTCTGTCGCTGAAGAGATGAATGGTCTTGTTTTCTTACTTTTGAAAATCGGTCCTTAGTGTTTTAATGAAAAGGGCGTTTGCGGGTGCTTTTCCTTAGTTGCTTGATGCTCCCTGTGCTCTCAGCACAAATGCACTTTCTACTGTCACAGGGAGACTATTTTGCACTAAACCTTTGTAGAAATTCAAGTGTCAATTGTGAAATTGAGCATTTTCAATAGAAGGGTAATAGGATTTTAGAGATAGACAGGGATTCTGGGAGATCATCTCATCAAATGCTATTTTCAAAGGAGGAAACTAAGGTCTGTGAAGATTACACATCTTCACCTAACTTCCTCAGCCCAAGCCTGACCCAGCCTCAAGTCACCCGACTCCTAATTCCCACTTTTAATGACCTGTGCCCCCACTTCAGTGCTTCAACAGATGCCACCTTTTTAAATTGTTTTTTTTTTCTTTTAAAAATGAATGGGTGTTCCCCAAATTTAATTTGGAGTACAGATCCAGTTTCATAATTTAAGAGCTTCCAAAACTGGAAGTAGATTCTAATTTTTATCATTTGATAGAAAAGATTTCATTTTGTTGATTTTTTTCTTTTTTTAAACCTATGTTGTCAGAACAATTATAAAATTGCTTTCTTCCTTTTAAACTTCAGCTCATCACTGTGTATATTTCTAGCAACAGAACAGTGCTCTCCCTGGATGATAGAAAGCTAGCGGAGAGAAGATCTCTGTGTGGCTCACCCCACAAGTGAAGACAGATTTTGTTCTATCTAAAGAGTACCCTCCAAAAGGAGAAATAACAAAACCAAGAAAAGGCTAGTAGGAAAGTATTTGTGGGGTTCAGAAGCAGCCCATAAAATAGTCTAGATTAAGATGCCTGGCGTAGTTAGAATATGTGTGAGAACTTCTTATTCCGACTTGTATGCCACTTACTTGTACTTAGAATTTAAAAGGCTTGCTGATTTGTAGTGTTTTTGAGTGTTCCCTGGTGAGAGCAAGAAATAGAAAAATGAATATAAGGACAGGGAAATACATTTGGATTTTTATTTGTGTATTTCCCCAGTTAAATTTGTAGGGCTGAACTGTCCTTAATTATTTGTTTCATATCCAGGATAGTTGTAATAATAATCATTCTCCTTCACTTACCAAGTCTCTCTTAAAATCTGCAAGAGCTCTCCTTGTTTCTCAGATGGTCTTGCTTCTTTTTGTTGTCTGTGTGTTTGTTTTGTCTTAGTTTTGGCTACTACTTCCCTTTTGTGAATAATTATCTTCCTGTCTTCTGAAAATGGAAGATAAAAAAATAATAAAATAAAAAGTAATTGTTGCCCTTTATATATATCTGTTAAATAATTATGTCAAGCATGTTCTCCACTGATCCTTATCACTTGTCTTTATCTGTTCTCATTTATGCATATACTTAATCTAATTTTTTCTCTCCACTGACCGATTTTTCAATATTTGCATCATTTTATGTTATTTTCATTTTTTTCCTACTCTTGGGGTATATTTCCCGTAAAGTGTAGGTAGTTCAAAAGATGATGTTTAGGCTAGGAAAAGCCCAGGTGGTAGGAATGATCCCAACCAGTGTTTTGTTCAGCCCCAGGTTGATAGTTTTTTAAAAGGTACTTGTAAACCCATTTTTTTGCTTCCTCTAACCAATATGAGGTTGTATTAAAGCCAAACTTACTGAAAGCTAAAGTTACCAACTTTCTTAGTCTGACTTTGTGTATCAGATTTTCCAATTATTGCCACTTGTATCTGTACATTTTACTGATGCCTCTGTATCTCCACCCAAACATTTCATATGTATGTGTAATCAAATAACCTCTTTGGCTTATCCATCATCAGCAATATCACATTAATCATTTTTTTTCTTTTTTTTCTTCCATTTCTCAGAGTCTCTTCTTAGTATTTATGGTTCATGAAAGTGACTGTGCATCTTTCTTCCTTGGGATATTAGCATAGTAGACCCAAACAAAAAGCTTCAATTTTTATGGATTCCAAGAAGCAGTGCATTAGTCTGCAGCTGATTTCTGCAAATTCATCAATTCAAGAGGGTTTTATTGCCCATGTCTGAGATGATTGATCCCTTCAAAACTCTGCCGTATAGAAATAAATGTCTTAGTTATTCACAGAGTTAGTTTTTTGTTTTTGTTTTACAAAGTATTACAAAAAGCTTCTATCAGGAAAGTGTGTGGGGTTGGGCTTTTCCAGGTGCAGAGGCAGGTGATTCTCCATTTGCCACAGGTTGCTGGAGCTGCTTTTCAGGATGCTTGGGAAAGGGCAGAAACCCTCTGCAGCCTCCCAGCCAGGCCTGCAGACAGCGGATGGTCTGTCTGTGCCTCCCTGGGCATACCCCAGCTGATTGGGTCATGCTGTTGCCCCTCAGCAGCACACACCCCTTGCTTCCTCCTCTGAGATCTCCCCACTGTGGTCCTCAGCCTGCCTGTTTCGCCTTTCTCTCCTGTGCAGGTTACCAATTCAAAGTCCCTAAGAAAGTGGCTCATCTAGCACAGGGTGCCTCTGGTGGCCAGGACCCCCTGCCAGGCCCACTCTTGTACTGTTTGTTGTTGGAGAGATGAGGGCAGGCACTCCCTAGCCACCCAGCTGTGCCAGTGTTGGCCTGCTCACACGTGGGTTGTAGGCGTGCCTGGAACAAAACAATTGGTAAGTCCTGGCAGCTCCTAAATGAATGTAACTGGATTCTGCTTCCTTCTTGGTTTGCCATATATGGAGAGAACTTTGCTTTCTGAAAAATTTTAAAGGGAATGAGGTAATTTCCTCATAATTCCTAAGATCTCCGGCAGTGTTGTAAATTTAGATTTGAGGTTAGAGTACTAAAAAATAAAAACAAAAGCAGAAAAGCTGCTGTGCTCTGAAATGCCAGGGTGTTTTTAATGTCAAGTCCAGCAGCATAATAGCTTTTACCTCTTTTCCCCACCTAAAGAAAGAGTAGTGTTAAACTTATTTCCAAAATAAAAGGAGTCTGAACCTCTAGGAAACTGGTACAGTATCATCTTAGAAAAGAACCTAAATGCTAATCTACACTCATAAAAATAACATGTTTTCAAATAGTTTCAGAACCAATTCAGTCTCCTGTTTTTCTCTTCATGATACCAGTAGCTAAAAATTACCCTACTTAATGAAAATTGCAGACAATTTTTTTTCTTTATGCAGTCTTACATAATTTTTGGTCCATTTTGACCTAGTCTGACATTTTATTTTGAACAACTACATCTTAAGTGTTCTGTCTTTTTTTTTTTTTTTTTTTTTTGGAAGATTTATTGTGAAGAGCGAAAGAACAAAGCTTCAACAGTGTGGAAGGGGACCTGAATGGGTTGCCCAGTGCTCTGTCCTTTTTGTTTCCACTCTAAAATTGGTTCGGCAAGGAGTAAGAGAGTAGACCACTGGCATTTTATTTTTGAACACTCGAATTGTATAACCAGTAATCTGTTAGAGTTGTTATCCATCTTACAGTGACCCCATCATCTGACCCAAATAGCGTTTAAAATAAGAGCTCGTTCTAGAAGAACAACTTTAGGCAGCAGTAACTTTAAAACATTTTGAATACCTGCTCTACTGTGGTATAGTGATCTAAATATTAGATTTATTTTTCTTGTGTCTCATATAGAAACTCTAAACAAAGCAGATGAACAGTTGTGTCTGTACTAACACGTGACTAAAACCTCTATAGAGTTCCAGTGTGCTGAAAGCCAAATTAAAGTTCTCTTTTTTTAGTAAACAATCACACTGGGAATGAGAATATTAGAGCTAAGAGGGAGGCCAGAGCAAGGGTGGTAAACGCGGATGCTTCCAGAGGTCACATAGATAACCCACTGGAGCAGTGGGCCCAGTGGGAGAGGACCATGGTGTCCTGGAAGGTATGTCCCAGGGGTAAAGGGGCAGCTGCTGTCACTTGCCGCCTGACTTCGTGCCATGCCAGAACATGATGTCAGTGTTCTGATGTGTCAGGAGAAGCCCAAGATCCAAGCCTGAGATGTTATGAGAACTATCTTGACTATTACATATTGGCAAACAACTTTAAACATACATATACATTTGTGAGACTAACAAATATCTGCTGTCCAGAATACTGCCCCTAGGCTACCAGTTACCCATCTTGCTCCTAATCCAACCTCCTCACTTTTCATATGAGAAAACTGAGATCCAAAGAGGCTAAATGTCTTACCTGAAATGAGGATAAGTTGGGGCAAGGTGGGACCATTTGCCAAGAGGTCTGGTGAGATTGTAGAAGTAAGAAATCTTAAGGAGGAAAACCCATGAAGGAGTGTTGCTCTTATTTATTGACACCAGAGTAGCTTTTTTTTTCTCCTTTCAATGCTTAAAATAATGAGAAATAATAACATCCAAAGGAAAAAAACAAGACCCACTACACACCTCTATTTCACTTAATTTTTATACACATCCCATTACTTAGCATTTACTTTTCTCTTTCATCTTCAAAGCAGTTCAAAAATTGATTTGTTATTTGTAGTCAGGGAACTGTGTCATGATTTATTTTTTATTATTTATTAATAATAAAAAGGGAAGAACTCCTTAAGAACAGAGTATCTGAAATATAAACACACACACATATGTGGCCTCAGCTGTTTCATCTGCTAGAAATTCATCTGAGACCACTTAATTCCAAGGTGTGGTGGTGAGTCTTTATAAAACTTCTTGTTATACAGAATCTAATGAAACTTCAATATTGCTCAGTCATATTGAGACTTTATTTAATTTTAGCTGTCGTACATAATACAGTGGAGGACCTGTTGAAAATATAAAGGTTGGGACTCTTTTTTCCTCTTTGGAACTATTGGCTCTAAGTACAAAGTTAACATAGATTCCAAATAAACTAAACAATTTTAGGAGGTTTATTCACTTTTATTTAGAAAAACAGGAAACATTTTTTTTTTTTTGAGATAGAGTCTCGCTCTGTCACCCAGGCTGGAGTGCAGTGGCGTGATCTTGGCTCACTGCACCCGCCTCCCGGGTTCAGGCCACTCTCCTAACTCAGCCTCCTGAGTAGCTGGGACTACAGGCGCCCGCCAGCGCGCCTGCCAGCACGCCCAGCTAATTTTTTGTATTTTTAGTAGAGACGGGGTTTCACCATGTTAGCCAGGATGGTCTCTATCTCCTGACCTCATGATCCACCTGCCTCGGCCTCCCAAAGTGCTGGGATTACAGGCGTGAGCCACCGCGCCCGGCTAGGAAACATTTTTTATATTAGTTTTTTTTTAAAAAACTTATTTTGGAATAATTTTAGATTTGCAAATAAATTACAAAGATAGTACACAGAGTTCTCAAATATCCTTCAGCAGCTTCCCCTTATGTTAATATCTTATATGTCTAGGATACATTTTTCAAGCTATTCATTTTTCAAGAAATGAACATTTACCCAATACTATCACCTAACCTACAAACTTTATTGAGATTTATATTGGCCTTTGAAATTAAAAAGGGTATACTAAAACTATTCGACAACTGTAATAAGTAATATATCCTCACAGGCTGTGACTTGAGGAGGGAGGGGAGAGTTAGGTTCCTCCACATTCTACACTGCCCCTCCATAAAGCCATCCCAAACAGGCATGAAATTTAAGTAAACATGGTGCTAATATATTTGCTATGTAAATGCTTTTGAAGACAAGTCTCTAGCCTCCTCTTCCAATCAGGTTGCCTTGCCTCTATCCCTCCTCGGTGGAACTCTGGTGCTGTCTCTGGAGAAGACAGATGGAGTGAAGGGGCAGATAAAGAGAGAAATATGTGCACACACGGCCTGTGGAGGGTGAATCTCCAGTGAGGGGGCTGTTTTGTGAGTTCTTAAGTGTAGAAATAAACTTGCCCACAGTCTGCTTTCCATCTGGGCTGTGGACAGCCACAAGTTCTCACTTGTTATTTGCTCTCTGATATCCAGATTTTTTATTGTTTTAAAGTAGGAAACAACTTTTCAGCTTGGTAGTTTACTTCTTTAAAGTTAAGTTTCTGGTGGAATTGTGAAGGCTCTATGAATGTCCAGTGGAAGTCCTGGGAGAGGGTACATTATAGGCAACTCACAGAGGTGTAAGCAACCTGTGGAACAAATGCCACTCAGGATGTGAAAGGACTGGGGTTAAGTCATGAGGAACAGATTAGAAATGGCATAGAAAAGGGTTTGGGACTCTTGCAGGAGTGGAAAAGGGAAGGGAGATTGGCACATCAGGATGTTCAATATTTGTTGACTGATTGAATGGTCAGAATTTCAAAAACTAAACCACTAATGGGCACCAGGCATAGTTTTGTTGCCAATAGAAGGATGTCCCCGGCCAGGTGCAGTGGCTCACGCCTGTAATCCCAGCACTTTGGGAGGCCTGAGTGGGCAGATCACCTTGAGGTCAGGAGTTGGAGACCAGCCTGGCCAACATGGTGAAACCCTGTCTCTACCAAAAAAAAAAAAAAAAGTTAGCTGGTCATGGTGGCACACACCTGTAATCCCAGCTATTTGAGAGGCTAAGGCAGGAGAATCACTTGAACTCAGGAGGCAGAGGTTGCAGTGAGCCAAGATCGCACCATGGCACTGCAGTCCATGAGACTCCATGGACTCCATCTCAAAAAAAAAAGAAGGATGTCCCCATGACTCAGTGAATTCTCATAGAGCATCTGGTTTTGCCAACAGGATCGGTAATTTCCTTTTGTTTAATTTTTTTTTAACTAATTATGTGTTCAATATATTGTGGATTGTGATAGCACTAACTCAACATTTCTTTCAGGAAAATTGTGTTTTCTGGACCACAGTAATTTGAATAGCTCCTTCAACTTAGATATTCTCTTGAAGTTCATTACATGCTGTGCTGGAGGATGGGACATATTGGAAATACCCTCCTCTATATTCTTAGGTTCTTCCTCCTATGATGGATGTTCATGGGTTTTGGTACCCAGCATGAGTTACCCTTCCTAAGAGCTCCCAGCTTCCGTTTGGGGGACTACCTCTTCCGCGTCATGTGTGATTTTGGTGGAAGAGTAATTACAAGTAGCTGACTCATGTTCTGGGAACTTCAGCTCCAGTTCCTTCTCCTCCCCTGGCTCTGCTGCAGGTAGAAGAGCTCCCGGGAAATTTATGTCTAGAGCATTTGCAGCAAGGTCCTCAGGGACAGTCGGAGGCCCTCGCAGTGTTGACTGCTGCCAAACCCATGCTATGAAGGGACCATGGCTGTGACTTCTGCTTCCTGACCTTGTTTCTACTTGTTTCCAAAGTGCTGCTCCAGTGTCTGCCTCCTGTTGATTCTGTGGGTTTGTTAGCCAGCATTGGTTTTAATTGCTTGCAAGTCGGGAACCCTAATTAATAACAGTGGGCAGTCTCTTGACTTAGGACTCAAGTTCAAACCATGACAGTTGAAGACCCAGTATTAATAAATACATTTCTCTTGCCCAATCATTAAATATCGAAGGTGTAATGGACCTTAAAGCTCATCTGGCCCAAACCCCTATACTTTCCTCCAGTGGTGAGGAAATAAACACACCAAGTGAAAGAGATGTTCAAAGTGTCATAAATGTAACATGCCAAGTTGGCATCCTACATAGAGACATCAGGGTTCATTCGTCTCGGCATCTTGTCCACACACCCTCACCGTACTCCTTTACCTCTGTGACCCATAGTGTCCACTTAATGGGATGGGATGACAGGGCAGAACCTAGGGTGGCACCAGTGACCTTGGAAAGGGTCACAGCTAACTAGCCCCCATAGGGATTCGACCTGTGACTCTGGTGGTGTTAATACCAAGATTCAGACACTGAGCTGAAATGTCAGCGTCTAGCTGCATCCACAGGTGTGCCTGTGTGCTCTGATGCCAGCTCAGATGCGTCCACTTGATGAGGCTGAGACTGTGCATGAGGAGGTGGTTATCAGCAGCTCCAGGAATCAGATCATCATCTCCTTATGATTATTGGGATAAAAACAACTAGTTTTACAGCATAAATTTTATATTTTTAATGTGAATTAAAGATTGCTTTCTAACCATTCCTTATCTTATAGAAACTGTTTTTGTGAGTTCTAAGTGTAGCATGTCTCTGAGTTCTGTGGGGGTAAATGTTCTGAATCCATTTTGGAGCAAGAGTTATTTATTTATTTATTGAGACAGAGTTTTGCTCTTGTTGCCCAGGCTGGAGTGCAATGGCATGATCTCGGCTCACTGCAACCTCCACCTCTTAGGTTCAAGCGATTCACCTGCCTCGGCCTCTCAAGTAGCTGGGATTACAGGTGCACACCACCACGCCCAGCTAGTTTTTGTATTTTTAGTAGAGATGGGGTTTCACTATGTTGGCCAGGCTGGTCTCGAACTCCTGATCTCAGGTGATCCATACACCTTGGCCTCCTAAAGTGCTGGGATTATAGGTGTGAGCCACCATGCCCAGCCAATAAGTTATATTTTTAAATTGCTTATGTGAAGCTTTTCAGCAAAGCATAGCACACAAAATGATGTCTGCCAAGAATTTTCTTAATATATGCCATTATTTTTTCTTCATAACTTTACTCAATGAGTGAATATTGATTGAATGCCCACTATGTGTTAGGTATGGAGTACAGAGAGGAGTGGAAGTTGACAGGGAGCTGTCATGTCATGGAGCTTGTGGTCACACAGGGAAGAGTGACAGAAATCACATCAACACACATGGGTGCATCCCAGGAGGGTGACAATGGTGCAAGAAGTGGACAGACACACACTAAACCTGACCTAAGGAGTCACTTGTCATCCCTTCCCAGGACAGGGCTTCTCTGTGGCACAGGACCAGTAGCCTTCATACCCTTGCCACTAAAAATCTAGAAAACAGCCAGAAATTATTTTAAAAAGCAAGCATGTTCACATTGTGTGGTAATTAATAATAATAGCTATTATGTATTGAATTTATATGTAGAATAGGACTGTGGTTCTCTGAGGTTACGGGCAGTCTTGCTGTGATGGGCATGACTTGGGAGCCCTTGCCACCAGGTGGCAACACACCTGGAGAGCTCTCCTCCCTGAAGTCCTGAAATCACATCCAGCAATAGCTTCATCTGCGGCAGCATGTCCAGCAAAGAGACTCTCACTGAAAGACCAAAAAGGGAGACAAGGTTGGGTAGGAGGAAGCTGAGGGTGCTCAAGCTATGGCAGAGTGCTGGGCCACCTACTTTTCATTAGATGCCCATACTGGGGCAGGTGAATACTATTCATCCCATTTTATAGACAGGGAAACTGAAGCTTATGGTGGAATCACAGAGAGAGTGCGTGTGCTTTCCACTTTCAGTTATAAACTACTATACCAAATAGCTGGAAGTTAGCCTCTGTAACCTTCATTACACAATAACACAATAGCTGTTTCTCTTTGCTAATAGCTAGAGCCACATCTGAATATCTGTTATCTCTTGGTATGTAATACCCTCTTATGTCTATGTACTTCTATATAAGATTTTTTCATAAATGGAAACTTTTTTTTAATTTGCAAAAAAAATCATTCAAACATAAATGCATGGCTTTATGCCTTTCTTTCTGCCTTGAATGTTCCCACCACCACTCTGTGCTTACTTGTAATTATCAAATCCATGCAATCTTAAGTCTCAGTTAGAAACTCATTCTATATATTGGCTGGAAGTGATTGTAATGATCCTCAGGTTTAGCAGAGGCTCTGAGAGGTTAAAGGATGATTCAATGTGCGCTGCTCTCTTGACATCTGATATCAAGCTAGCTGCTCCTTGTAAATTGATTTATATGTAGAATATGACTATAGATCCCTAAGGTTACAGGCAGCCTTGCTGTGATGGGCATGACTTGGGAGCCCTTGCCACCTCAACACACCCAGAGAGCTCTCCTCCCAGAAGTCCTGAAATCACATCTAGCGATAGCTTCATCTGCGGCAGCATGTCCAGCAAAGAGACTGTCACCGAAGGACCAGGAAGGGAGACAAGGTTGGGAAGGGGGAAGTTGAGGGTACACAAGCTACAGGGAAATCCACTACCTTCTGCAATGTTTTTACCCATTCATTTACTTATTCACTTAATAGTCATTTATTTGCTCAGTAGCTGCACTCTGCTAGATACTTGGGAGTCAACCTAGCTAGGATTTTTTCCCAAGTGGTCTATTTATTTTGTTGAGGGAGAGGCACATCAAACAAACACCAAGGTTGGTTATTTAACATCCAAGATAAGTGATTCAGTTGACTTTGGAGACTGACTTGGCCAGCTGCCGAGGCAGAGACAGTGCTGAGGGATTGACAGCTGAATGGAGACCTGAAGAGCTTCTGGGAGCCAGGTGAAAGGGATGGCAAGAGCTGCCCAGCCCCAGGCAAGAGGGAGTTTGGAAAGTTTCATGGAAACTGCACCAGGAGCATCCTCACCAAAATCACTCCCTTACCTCACAAACACATCCCAGGCATCTGAGTCTGCACTTCATTTGTGGAACTTTCCACCAGTCCTAAAAGCCATCTTGCGCACAATAAAATAATCTTGCAATTTTCCTGTAGTTGATTTGAAATATTTTTATGCTGCAAGGAGTTTAATAACAGGCACAATGCTTGAAATGTCACTTCTTATACTTGGAGAACTGGAGTGGAGTGGAGAATGGAGCCTTTTAGGGAAGTACGTGGGAAGAAGCTGTTTAAATCCAGTAATGAATTAGTGTTAAACTTCTAAGGCTCCAGGAACTTCTTGAGTATTTTGGTTTAAAGTAGTTGGCATATTTGAGGGTTTTTCTCCCAGGTCTACTGGAAGCTGTGAGCTGGGAATATAGTAAAACAGAGGTCCCAGCCTTTTTCCTGATGAGTTATTTGTGATTTACCTGAAGCTTTAGGCGCACTAACCCAAGATGAAGTAAAGGCGTTGTAATGCCAGGTGCCAACAGAAAGTCAGGTATTCTCATGCCAGCCACATGAGCACTCCACCCCGGGGCTTCTTTCTAAAACCCTTCTGTGCTTTGCAGGCAGGTCCAAGGAGGTTAGAGAAACCCCTGCAGTCCCCCTTCCATCCCATATGTGATGATTGGATTGGGGAGTCTTGGTTAGGAGCAAAGGATAATTACCGTGTCAGAGCACGACCAATGAATTGTAACAAGCTGAGGTAAAGTTTAATTTCCTCTTCCACCTACCGCAATGAAAAGCTGTTGAATGTCAAATATGGTTTGCACCTTTGAAGTGAAAATGTTTTCTGCCACATGTCATCCCGTTGAGCAAGTCTACACCTGTTCATCTGGTCATGGGTTAGCAGAAAGAATGAAAGAGAGAAACTCTGTGCCTTTGAGCGAAGACATTTTTCAGTACTTATTACTCTGTTTCACTTTCCAGCTTTCACCTTCTCTGCAGTTTTTCTTTCATCTTGACACTATAAGGAATGCATGAGCCTTCCCTATGGAACATTGTAGATCTTGTTTAAATGGTAAAAACATCTCCAGCTCAGCTGACCAGTTCATTAGAATAGCTATGTGCTACACAAGAAACATGAAATATTTTGTCAGGTAGGAATCTAAGGAATCCTGGTGACGTGGGCTTTCCCGTCAGTCGTTTGCTCTTTTCCCTTAACTTAAGCCTTGTGCTGCTTTAGTTATCCTGTAGAATAAATGGAAAAGTAAATGGTTTTATTTTATTTTGGAGACGGAGTCTTGTGACGCCCAGGCTGGAGTGCAGTGGTGCCATCTCAGCTCACTGCAACCTCTGCCTCCCAGGTTCAAGCAATTCTCCTGCCCCAGCCTCCTGAGTAGCTGAGACTACAGACGCGTGCCACCATGCCCAGCTGATTTTTGTATTTTTAGTAGAGACAGGGTTTCACCATATTGGCCAGGCTGGTCTCGAGCTCCTGACCTCAAGTGATCCACCTGCCTCTGCCCCCAAAGTGCTAGGATTATAGGCGTGAGCCACTGCGCCTGGCCCAAGTAAATGGTTTTAAATCACGGTGCTAGGTCTGAGGAAATTATTTACAAAGCTCTATCAAAAAACAAAACTGTGGAATCTTTTAAATTAAGTAACAGTCAAAAAGCCAATGTGAATTTTTTTCCTTGGTATGGCTGCTTTGCTTCATAGCTCAGAGACTGAACCAGAGCTAGAGGTTATGAACTAGACGAGGATTTCATACATTTTTTTCTCCAGCCACTTTTCTCCGTTAGTAAATAAACAAATGAATAAAATAAAAAGGTTGCAGGGTGAACCCAAAATTCTGTAATACTGTTAAAAAATCATGATTAAGTATTATTCATTTTATACACCTACCAATGGCAATGCACTTAAAATGCCATATCAGAACAGTTGTGCAACATCTCAATTTGATAGTTTTTCTAAGAAGCATAACCAAGCTTCCATAAATGTAGTGAAAGCTTTTTTCATATTAAAGACATGTTATCGGGAGATGGAATGTTTCCTTCTTCCTACATAACTGAACAGTGATTAAATATTGACTAAGAGCCAGGAGTTGACAGCCATTGGCCTCACCCTGGTAAATGCTGATATATGATGCTGAATGTAAATACAGAGCCATCCTCTCAGGGCCATAGTTTTGTTGGTTTTTTTTTTTTTTTTCTGTTGGGAGATGGGGAGCCAGCAAGTTGTAGCTTATGCTTGAGGTGTCAGATTCAAGTGTTGCAATAGAAGTGTGTAATTTGAAACAAGTAATTCTTTAAAAAGCCACCCAACTGTCAAAAGAAAAATATATTTTTCTAATCAATCTGAATAATAAACAGAATGCTAGTTAGAAGTTTTAGCAAAACATCCAGGGTACCCACTGAATGCTGCTGTTTGTAGAAACAAAAGAGCTATCCATCACTGGGGCAGCTTATACTTTCATAGACAACGATTGTTTGGTTTATATGAAACAAACTGGTCGAAACATCAGATTTATTTTGGGGACATGAATATATGTTTGGGAAATTTTAAAACATCTTATTTTTGTTGTATGTGTATTTTCTTTTTTGTTGTTTTAAACATCTATTTAAAATATGCAGTTGATATTTTCCCTCCCTCTATGGGGAAAATCAAAGATAATAATTTTTATTACATTTCTTTCTGTTAATAAGGTTCATTATAAGATCTTATTATTTTTATCCCAAGATTTTTAAACCCTGCAGGAAATACCTGGAAGACTTACTCAACAGCTGTTTGTAGTGCCATGAAGCAAAATCTGTTAATTCTTTATTGGTTAGAATGATTTAAACATAGGTCTCCTTTTCAGCAAATATAGCAATCTAAAAAGTCTGCTTTTTTTTCCAGCAAGTTTTAATAGACATTTCCTAACCTCTAAATCATCTATGATACCCTTATTGTGATGGTCATCTGGACATCAACATTGCTATCTTCAAAGTATAATGAAATTAAAAGATACTTTTAAAGATTATTATAGTTCTCAAATTATTCAAATTGAGCCAAAATGGATTCATATGGATTTGAGTTGTTATTAATTCCTATTAGAGGTATTGGCATATGTCTGTTCAAAAACATTAATGCTTCTTAAATATCAATGACTATTCTTCCTTGAAATGTACTGAGAAATGGATTTCGTGCTGCTGAAACTGAAATGAGAAGGAATGGTCATAAATCATAGTTTAGTTTCGCACCTTTAGTCAGATAAGCAGTGAAGTGACTCTGAGTCAAAGCGTGTGTGTGTGTGTGTGTGTGTGTGTGTGTCTGCGCGTGTGCACTGTGTGTGTGTGTGTGTGTGTTTTGTGGTGTGATTGTGGTCTGTGTGTAGTGGAGGGATGGTTAATAGAAATGAAGCATCACAGCTGGACCAGCCACAGCACGTAGAATCCTTCCCTGGGGCCTCAGTTTACAAGACAAATAATTTAGAGTAACCCCTTCCCCCTTTAAAAAGCCGAATATTTTTGTAAAAATTAAAGTGAGCACTGAAGACAGTTTTGAAGACAAAGAAGAACTCACAGTAAGCGAGTCTGAGTAGGTGCGTGACTGGCCAGCTTTGGTATTGACTGGCAAGGAGAAGACTTGTTGAGGGTTGACTTTGGGTCTGATTAGATACCAGGGATTTGACCTATGTAATCTTATTTTTGTCCTCTCAACAAACTTTGTACCCCTTTTTAGTAAAAAGATGAGAACATTAAAACCTAGGAAGATTTAGTAACTTCCACATAGCTGGTAAGTGGTTGAGTTAGAATTCCAACTCCCAGGTGACTTAATTTAAAATTGACTTCAAAGTAGCTCCCATATGGACTGAATATAGGATACGAGCCTCTGCCTAGCCTTCAGTCCTTTTTGTTTGGTTTAGGTGTTGGTTGTCTTTGTAAACACTGGAAGCTGCTGAGTCATCTCCCTCGGCTTTTTCCATCACACTTTACCCCACATACATTCATACACACTTGGCTCAAGCTTTTCGGTTCTTTCTCTGGACACTAGATGACTGTCAGCCTTACCTGGGCCCTGCCCCAGAGGCTGCCCCAGCATCTGGTAGGAGCTTAGTGAGCGGAATGGATTCCTAGTGAAATAATGAATGTCTTTCCTTGTATTCTGTGTTTGAAACCTCCAGGATAGCAATTCCATCTGCTATATGAAATAAGAAAAAGTAAATATTCTTTGGTTAACCTTTGTCATTCGCCTACTTAAACCTCAATCACATTTCTTTGAAATCATGCCAGATTTGTGGAGAGCAAATTGCCAGGTAAATGGAGGGCAAATTCACCAAACTAATTCTTAGTTTTTTCCTTCTCTAAGGGAAGGAACACTTTGCAGCTTAACAGCATTTTCAAAGTTTCAAACAGGACTGGCTACTGAGTTGAAGAAGCATTAGTTGGCCCTTAAGTCCTCCCCTCTGGCCACTGTTGTCCACTTCACACATTTGGACCAACTTCCCTCATCTGAGCCTGAATCCTATTAGCCAGCACTGAAAATCTGGCATGGTTTCAAAGAAATGTGATTGAGGTTTATGTAGGGGAATGATGAAGGTTAACCAAGGAATGTTTACTTTTTCTGATTTCATATAGCAGATGGAATTGCTATCCTAGAGGTTTCAAAATAATCTTATCGAGATGACTTTTGACCCGTCTTCAATAGCATTACAACAATCCCCGCAGCCTGGAGACTAAGCTCTGCTGCTGTTTTGAGTGAGCTGGCCCCACAGAGGGTGTGACGTGGGAGTAGAGATGAGTGTCGGCCTCAAAGTCTGCTCCCATCTCTCAGGAAAGCACCTTCTTTAGATTAAGGTATTGGGGCTGACACTAAAATAGATGATATTTGAGGCTAAGTTTTCAATTTCACTCTTTCCAGAAAAACAAAGTACTGATAGGGATCTACTCTAAAAGCTGGTTTTAAATACAAGGCGTTACAGAAGTGCCAAATGCAGTCACTGCACTTAAAATCATGGCCTGTGGATAGAAACAAAGCTGAAGAGTGGCCTGCCGAGTGTAGAGCGTTCTTTCACTTGTAAGAAATTAAATACAGAGACACTCAACACAATTCCTGGATGTGATTTCCTGTTGGTTCATCTACACACTCTAGAAGATTCCTGAGGAGAGGTTTATTGCCCAAAGGAATTCAGTGGAGGTATTTTCAGGTTTGGCTGATTTCCAAGAGCCCCCTCTCAGGGCCAAATTATCCAATTCCCTTTCTTGGTGAGTTCACCACACTTCATTCATTCACCAAAAATATGCATGGAGAGCCTAACTACTACATACTAGGCACTGAGCATACAGTGCTAAAAATAAAAAAAGATAAAATCCTAGTCCTAATGTAGGATACATGCATTAAACATATGAACATATGAACCCTGTATTTGTCAGGGTTCTTCAGAGAAACATAACCAATAGGGTATAATATATATATAATTCACCTTACATATATATAAAATTGAGCATCTGTAATTAAAAAATCTGAAATCTAAAATGCTCCAAAATTCTAAACTTTTTGAGGGCTGACATGATGCTTATAGGAAATGCTGTGGAATATTTCAGATTTTCAGATTAGGGATGCCTCACCAGTAAGCATAATGCAAATATTCCAAAATCCAACAAAATCCAACATTTGAGACACTTCTAGTCCCAAGCATTTCAGATAAGAGATACTCAACCTGTATATGTGTATGTATACAGGTTGTGTGTGTGTATCTATATATACAGAGAGAGAGAGAGAGATTGATTTTAAAGAACTGGTTCATGCAGTTTCGAGGGCTGGCAAGTCCAGGCCAGCAGGCTGGAAATTCCTTCAAAAGTTAATGTTGCAATCTTGAGTCTAAAGGCTGTCTGGAGGCAGAATTTCGTCCTTTTCAGGGGACCTCTCTTTTCTCTTAATGTCATCAACTGATTGGATGAGACCGGCCCACTTTATGGAGAGTAATCTGTTTTACTTAGAATTGACTGATTTAAATGTTAATCACATCGAAAGCACACCTTCACAGCAACATCTCACCTGGCATTGACAAACAACTGTGCACCATGGCCTAGCCAAGTTGACACAAAATTAACCATAATCCCCCACCTCCAAATAACTGTCATTTCAATTTAGTGGCTCTCAAACTTGAGCAGGAATCAGAATCCCCTGGAACACTTGTTTGAAACACAATTGCTGGGCTCCACACTCCTGATTCAGGAGGTCTAGGGTTGGGCCCCAAAATTTGTATTTCAAACAAGTCCCGGGTAACGCTGATTCTGCTGGTCCAGGGATCATACTTTGAGAATGATAAGATTACATAATTCAGGGTCTGACCCTTAGCCTCGTGGCCCAGAAACTGATTTTGTTATCATAAGAAAGATAATTTTATTTATCAGGGATGTACCCAGTAAACCATGATTCCAAACCTGATGTGTAAAATAGCAATGCCAATTTATTGATTTATGATAAGCACTAAAACTACGGTGGTGAGCAGAACAATCCTGTCAGCCTGGGAGGGGCAGTCCATCCTGTGGGCAGCTCCACTGAAAGGTGAGCAGTCAGTAATTGGAAGGAACTGGGGATCCCAGCCAATGATCCAAAACAGGTGATTTAATTGCTGCAACCGCTCCCACCGCCAGAAGGGTCATATTCTCAGTTCCTGCCCAAGGCCCCCCTCTACCTGGACTTTATACTTGGATTAAGACAGGGGCAACTTTGGAGGAATGGATGTTTTCAGTTGAAAGCTTTGGTATTTACTGGGCTGAAAGAGTGCTCCTCTCTGCTCCTCAGACTCTACTCAGCAGCTGGGCTCAAAGTTCATAGAAATTGGAAATGCTTTTAGTGAATCATTAAAATGTTACCTTTTACAGAAACTTTTTATTGGATATAACTTATACTGTTTTTATGAAAGAGGAACTTGAGCAGCATTAGAATGTGTTAATGTATGTCCTTCATATGCTCGGTTTCCTTTCTTGGTAATAATTTGAGTGAAGTTACAATCTTTCTGTAAAAGACTATTTCCAGCTGGGTGCAGTGGCTCACGCCTGTAATCCCAGCGCTTTGAAAGGCGGGCGGATCACTTGAGGTCAGGAGTTCCAGAACAGCCTGGCCAATATGGTGAAACCCCATCTCTACTAAAAATACAAAAATTTAGCTGGCCATGGTGGTATGTACCTGTAGTCCCAGCGACTTGGGAGGCTGGGGCAGGAGAAACACTTGAACCCAGGAGGTGGAGGTTGCAGTGAGCCGAGATTGAGCCCCTGCACTCCAGCCTGGGTGACAGAGCGAGATTGTCTCAAAAAGAAAACAAAAAGGCTATTTCCATCTTTCTCTGCACATTGAGAGGACCTGACTTTGAAAAAATACTTATACATTTCATATTTTCAAAATTTTTCATGTCCACTTAGAAGCATTTTTTTCCCCTAAGCTTTGGCTTTCTGCCTTTATCATTGCTATTTTAAGATTTTTACATGAAAAATGGGATTTGTTTCTTAATCCTTTAAACCAAATTGTGTTGTGAAAAAGTTGTGTTTATGTTATTTATTTTAATATTCTTTTTTTAGAATCCTGCAATTATCCTCAGCATGGAAAGTTTGGCCCTAAAACCGCTTCTGAGAAATCAGAATGTGGCCTGAGTCTGGGCGGACCCCTCACACCTTGCCTGCCTTGGACTTCTTATGAAACACAATTGAATAGATAACCTAAGGCAAGGGGATAAGGTGGCCCTGGAACTTCCTCAAAGGAATAGGGACCTCAGCGCAGATAAGTAGATTCAACCACTCAGTGCAGGGAGGTGCAGTCTCACGTTTAACCTCTCAGTTTCATTGTCATATCAGCCCAGGGGCCCATCAGCAAATAGAAACCATTCTAAGAATTTCAGGGAGCAGATTTAATGCAAGGAATCAGTTAAACAAGTGAAAAAAAACACAGAAAGAGCAAAATGTGGAAACCAAGGTAACACAGAGACTAGTAACGGCAAGAAGCAGCCACCACTCCTGGGACCAAGACAACAAAAGGGAAGAGGCGATGTTACCAGAACCTTCCCGGCAGGTGCCTGCTGTGGCTCAGGCATAGCCCTCAGGGAGGGGAGACAGAGTCCTGCTTGGGGCATCTGGCAACCTCAGTCAAGTCACAGCAGGGGTGCCCAAGGGCCAGCTTTCTGCAGCTGCTGGAGGGGTGTCCTACAGGAGTTGGGCCCTCCTCTTGCTGGCCATTCCCCCATGCCTCCCATTGGCAAGATCTAGCAGGGAGCCAGGTGAGAAAGGAGCCTGGGAAACATCCTTCACACAGTCTTAGCATCAGAGCAGAAGCCCGTGGCTTCCTTTGCTTTCCCTCTTCCTTGTTGGCCTTTATTATCAGTTGTATTCACTTATCTGACTATAAAACAGGGTAATATTAGTGAGAGAGGAATCTGTTACTGATAAAGAACAAGGAAAGGAATCCATTAATCCCTTTTGATTATCATACAGATTATTCCCCAGTGATTATTAGAAAATACTTTTATCTTAATGAGGAAAAATCTCAATTTATTTTTAAAATCCTGGAAAATGGAATGCCGGGTAATATTCTTATTTAACTTTTGACATTTTTTAAAAAGTCATGTTCTATTTGGGGTATGAACGTGTGTGCCCATAATAATTATTTTCATCTGTGTGTGTCTATCTTGGGCCTAGAAAAAAAATGACTCATTTTCTTCTAAAGATTAGAATTCCATGGGCATCTCTTTTTGGTACAATTCCTTTGTTTGTTCATTCCTGGAGATAATGGAGTTGGTACTGATAGTGCCCTCCTTGTATTGTATTCAGCTCAGTTCAATGAGTCTTTATTAGGGGGCCTGTCAAGTGCCAGGCTGTGCCTCAAAGGTATGGAGGCAGAGGAGACTCAGGCGGTGTGGAAGAGCATGGCTTGGGGCATAGGACAGACTTGGCTTTGAATTCCAGTTCTACCGCCTAAGAGTCTCACCCTGTGGAGCTCAGTTGCTTCATCCTGGATGTGAGGATGAACACTGGTACTGCAAGGCTGTTAAAGAATTGTATGTGGTAAAGCACTTGACAATTGTCTGGAACATAATAAAGGCTTCATAAATGGTAACATGTTGTTATTATTTTGATAATCATCTATGGTTTGGGTACAGACTTTTTAGTCATTGTAAAATTTAATAGTAGAGTTTTTGTTTGCTTAGATATCTGTATTTCATTCACACAATTAGTTGGCATTTTAGTTGTTTATTAGTTTTTAGTCATTGGCCTAGAAGGAAATGGCTACAGTTCCCTTGCTCATCTCTAGTAAGGATTTGAAGTGGCTGGATTGTCATTTATAAGGTTTTAACAAGAGAATTTTTAAAAATTCAAATGCTTTAACCATTTTTCAGGCCTTTGGTTTTCATATTTACTTACAAGTTGATAGTTTGTTTATTGGAATGGAGATTTTATTTGGGGTTGGGTGTAGAGATGTGTTCTGTTCTAGTGGCTAGAGTACTGAATTAAAATTTTAGAAAGAATTTGGATGTAATTTTTAACTGAATCAGGAATTTGTTCATAGCCTTAAGCAACCTGTTTTATTCTCTCTGCTTGTTTTCATTGTGTGTTTGCCATCTCCTTGACTCACAATGGTCTTATAAGAGTTAATGAAAATGTTTGCAACCAGTGTATTTTTATCTTGGATGACAAGAGCTGTGTACAAACTGTAACTTACCCTACTTTTGTTAATATGCGACAGGATTCTTAGCCCTCGCCATGTATCATAATCCTTGAGTGCGTTTAACATGTTCAGACCCAAGAAATCGCATCCCCCACCATAAGATTCTGATTTATTTAGGACCCTAGCATTAGTGTGTGTACTCTTGTGTGTGCACTGTCTCTGTCTCTCTCTGTCTCTCTGTCTCTCTCAGCTTCCTAGGTAGTTTTAACATGCAATCAGGATTGAAAACCACTGGCGTAAAGGATAAAGCCAATCTTTGTGCTTGGTTCTTTCTCTTATATTGTGTCTGTTGGCCATTTTCTTGCCTATTGGATATAGGCAGATGTATTAGCTATATATTGTCCCATTAACAAATTACCACAAACTTGGCGGGTTAAAACAATACATATTTATTATTTTATACTTCTGAAGGCCAGAAGTCTGAAATGGTCTTACAGGGCTAAAATCAGGTTGTTGGCAAGGCTGATTCCTTCTGGAGGCTCTAGGGGAGAGTCTGAGTCTCACTCTGTCGCCCAGGCTTGAGTGCAGTGGTGTCATCTCGTCTCACTGCAACTTCTGCCTCCCGGGTTCAAGTGATTCTCGTGCCTCAGCCTCCCAAGTAGCTGGGATTACAGGCGTGTGCCACCAAGCCTGGCTAATTTTTGTATTTTTACTAGAGATGGGGTTTCACCATGTTGCCCAGGCTGGTCTCAAACTCCTGGCCTCAAGTCATCCACTTGCCTCAGTATCTCAAAGTTCTGGGATTACAAGCGTGAGCCACTGTGCCCGACCTGTTTTCTTGCCTTTTCCAATTTCTGGAGGCTGCTTGCATTGCTTGGGTCATGGCCCCACTTCACTCTGACTTCTGCTTCTGTCATCCTGTTTCCTCTATGACTCTCCTTCCTCTCTCTTATGAGGACCCATGTAACTACATTCGGCCCACCCGGGTAATTCAGGATAGTCTCCCCATAGCAAGGTCTTTAACGTCATCACATCTATGGAGTCCCTTTTGCCATGTGAAGTAGCATATTCACAGGTTCTGGGGATCAGAACATAAACATATGGGAGGATGGGGGGTCATTATTCTGCCTACCAGAGCAAGAATAAAATTCAAATCCATACTTTTTCTCATTTGAGTACAGAAACCTCTGAGTCAGCCACAGCTTCCCTCCTCTACAGTTTCTGATGGGTAAGAGAGGAAGATTTTGTAAAGTCTCTTAAGTGATAATACCATGTTCAGAATTTTAATTTTATGATTTCTTTAAAAGGCTGCCAATTTTTAGATTTTCAGGTGCTTTAATAGCTTGTTTCAGAAGTGGATTGCATAACAGTTGGGTCTCATTGTGCTGAAATGGTGCATTGCTGAAGTCTCCCTCAGGTAGAGAACTTTTCTGCTACTAATGCAGTGATTCTCAACAGGGAGTAGGTGTGGCTTATTCTTGAATTTTTTCTTCCAGCAAGAATTTTGTGTGTTAGACCCCCCTACATACAAAAAGACTAGATTCCGGACCTCAAGGTCAAGGCCAAAGAACTCACCTCTAGTGGTCAGTATACTTGTATTTCAACATAATTGGTTTTCTTTGTAATCCTGTTTTTTACTATATGCATGTAAGATATCATTCTGAGAAGGGGTCCACAGGCTTCCCCAGAGTGCCAAAGGGGCCCTCCATGGCACAAAAATGATTAGGAGCTCCTAGGAGAGGCCAAAAAATAGTATTGTAATAAAATGGTAGGTCTCACCACAAAGATGACCTTCAGATGCAAGAAGCTGCCCAAGGGAGGGGAAAGGCTCCTGGCAGTGGTTTCCAACTCTAGCTACTTGTTGGGATGATGGGTGGAGGCGGGGTGATGTCCTCTTAAAAAGCATGAGCATCTGGGACCCACTCCTAGAGATTCTGATTTGATTGGCCTGGGGACTCTGACCTCTATCACAGAAGAAGTGTCGCGTTTGGTAGATGTGAGGTAGAATGGGAAGACCTAAGAAAGCAGGACAGAAATCAGGGACTCAGTAAAGGAGCGGTGAACTGTACTATAGAGCTGCGATATAGATGTGGTTAATAAGTCCCTTAGCCCTCCCTGTTTCTGCTCCAATTCTTCTGCTAAACACGGTCTGCTAAAGACTCTCCGTGACCTTAGAGCAGGATAGAACCAAACTTAGACATTTGGCAGCGCAACTAACCTTCCCTAGCCAGCCTATTTCCTAGTAGGGAAGATAGGTCTCCAGTGGTTAAGAATGTGGGCATGAGCCAGACTGCTTCAAGGCTAATCCCAGCTCTTCCACTCACTAGCTATGTGATCTTTGGAAATTTACTTAATCTCTCTGCCTCAGTTTCCTCACTAGTAATAGTACTTCCCAGGATAGTACCAACAGGTGAATGGGATAGGTACTTCTGTTGGCTCAATTTCCAGATGAGACTTACAGATGCTAAGTAACTTGCCCAAGACATCACGGCCAGTAAGGGGTCAGAGCTGGGACTGGAAACTATACCTCTGATACCCAGACAGGGGTTCCTGACATGCAAAGAGTCCCTGGACTGAGTAATAAATGTGGTAAAACTATGCTATAGACACAGTGGTGGTCCAAAGAAAGTGTTCACTTCATTTGGGTAGGTTAGAGGAGGAGAATCTTGAGCTGGGTCCTGAAAAATAATTAGAAATTTGCCAGGAGGATGTGGAAGGAGATATTCCAGGCAGAGGGAACAACGTGTGTAAAATTATGGAGACAAGGAAGAGCAGTTTGCTCTGGGGACCATATGGCCATGGAGTAGGATGTGTTGACGGAAGCCAATAGTAAGAGGGAGGCTGTGGAGCAATGTTTCTCCAGGGTTTTGCTGCATCAGATATATATTAGTAGCATTTGATGTGCAGATTCTGGGCCTCTCCCCAGGCATAATGAATCAAAATCACTGAGGTTAGAGTTTGGCAAACTGCATTTTAAAGGAAGCAAGCCATATGAATGTGTAAGAACTAAGATTAGGTGAACCACAGACAAGGATGGAGGCAAAAAGTAGATCATAGCAGGCCTTATGTATGCTAAGGTGCTTGGATTTGGGCAGAGCCACTGCAGGTCAGATAGATCACTGGACACAGTGTAGAAGATGGAATGAAAGAGGTTTGTTGGGGAGTGGTGTCTGATGGTGGTGAGAATGCATTCTAGTGGGGAGATACTAGTTTTAAGAAAAGGTACTCCCGAACTAAGACAAGTTGGGGGCAGTAGAAGAGAGAACAGCAGAAATACAAGCCATATAAAGCACGTTGAATCATCAGAAGCTAGGGGGAGAGGGAAGGGGGAAGCATTGAGGAATCGGAGGAGTGTTGGTTGTTGGGCTGGCACAAAGTGACTGCTTGGAACTCAGTGAGTCTTTGATGTGCTGCTTGCAAGGGAGACCTGCCAGGGAGGAGTGATCATGCACCCAGCCTTCCCAGATTTCCCAGAGGAAAGCAGCGATGTAAAATGTGAACATAGCGTGACTGGAGCAATGACATCTGCAGGTGACAGGGAGAAAGCCATCTGCTTAGCTACAGCCCCCCTCTCCTGACACTTTTTAGTTCATGATCATGATGGTAAAAAAATTTGGAGTTTTGATTTGGGGCATAAGATGCAATGCAAAGAATTGAGAACCATTGTCTTACAGCAAAGTACTGACCTATTAAATATTTGGGGGTGACAGAAAGACCTGACATTGACCATGGGGAAGTGAAGTAATAATCACCCTTGGAGAGTATCAAGGCAAAAGTCATGAAAGGGAGGTAAAACTAAAACCATATACTCTGTATGACAGGAAGGGAAATGACTGAAATTTTCTGGACAAGCACCACAGTGTCTTTCTTCCCGATGATGTCATTTGGTTAGAACAAGGACTTAACCAGCTACTGAATTATTACAGTTTTCCATGACTAACTGACTTTTTCTGTTATGTTTGGTCTTAAGCTTTCTGTTGCCCAGGAGATCCACATCTACATGTTCAACCTCAAACCCTTCACAATTATTTTTTACATAAAGGACTGTGTTTTTTGTTTGTTTTGTTTTGTAAAATCCTCTAGATTAATAGGAGGCAACAGTACCACTCATTTCTAAAGCATACTATTTATAAGTTGGTAAGGTTGTTGCATGCTTTTGAACTTGAATATTTATTTTGTCCCTCTTGGAAACAGTATCTAGCACATCACTGTAAAACTTGATTTTATTGAATGCCCTTTAGTTTCTCTTAGGTTAAAATGTGGAGCTTATACAGTCACTTGTAATTTCCTCAGTCTTACCTTCAGATTCTTCCTCTAAAGGATTTTTCTTTCTTCCTTTCCATTTTTACTTTAAAATGAATTAAGCATGATACCAACTTCATGCAGTTTCTTATTGTGAAGAACACATTGGTAAGATTGAAATGTTATTAGTCTAATTCTGTGCTATATTTTGAAATAAAATCTTCTGGAACAAATGTAAATCTAATGATTAGAAAATGTCACTTACATTTCTCAAAAAACAAACTTACAAGCAAGCAAATTTAAAGATCTTTTTTTTTTTTTTGAGACAGTGTCTTGCTCTGTTGCCCAGGCTGGAGTGCAGTGGCACGATCTTGGCTCACTGCAAGCTCTGCCTCCCAGGTTCACACCATTCCCCTGCCTCAGCCTCCCAAGTAGCTGGGACTACAGGTGCCTGCCACTACACTCAGCTAATTTTTTTGTATTTTTAGTAGAGATGGGGTAAGATCTTTAGTTTTTATTTGCAATTCTAGAATTAGGCAACACCTCATTCTATGGAACAGAATGAGTATTCCAATAAGCTGAGCAGAGGAAGTTGACTTTATAGAGAGGAAAGGGTGGAGGAAAGCAGGAAGAGGCAGCAGAAAATTGATTGTTTGTTTCAGTTACTTTCTTTGCAAAGGTTAAAGCAGAGGGGGCTTCCTTATGCCAGCTAAAACTGGCCTGTTTGGTAATTTGGCTGTTATGTTTCTCTGCTGGTTTCTTGAAAGGTCAGATGAACAACTTAGTTTCAACTTGGTGGCATGGAACTTCAGCATGAATAACTCTATTTTGGTTTTGGTCTGTTGGGTCTAATACAGGAGCTCAGTTCAAACCAATGGCCTCCTATAAATTTTATATAACAATTAGTATTACACAAACTGGAAAGCTGGCTTTGCGGAATAAGAGCAGGTTTTGGAAATAGCTGGACTGGATCTTAATCTTTTCTGTTTCTGCTAGCCATGTGACCTTGAGCAAATTACTTGACATCTCTGTGCCTTAATTTTGACATCTGTAAAATGGGAGTATTAATACTACTTAATTTCACAGGCTTTTTAGGAGGTTTAAATGGCAATGTGTGTACCTGGCTCAAAATTACTGTTAGTTATTTTTCCTTATCTTTTTCTTCTTCATTATCATGATTTACTTTGTTTTCATAACAGCCAAACAAGGCCAGGCGCAGTGGTTCACGCCCGTAATCCCAGCATTTTGGAAGGCAGAAGCGGGGGGATCACTTGAGGTCAGGAGTTCGAGACCAGCCTGGCCAACATGGTGAAACCCTGTCTCTACTAAAAATGCAAAAATTAGTTGGGCGTGGTGGTGCACACCTGTAATCCCAGCTACTCGGGAGCCTGAGGCACGAGAATCGCTTCAACCCAGGAGGCGGAGGTTGCAGTGAGCCGATATCATGCCATTGCACTCCAGACTAGGCAACAGAGTGAGACTCTGTCTCAAAAAACAAAAACAAAACAACAACAACAACAACCAAAAAAAACAGCCAAACAAGGCTTATTTTTCCAGAGGCTTGCTACAGTTTTCTATGCCTAGTTGGCTCTGAACACATTACTAAATCTGAGCTTTTAAATTAGAATAATCATGAGTTAAAACAAAGTGAATTTAAAATTCTTTCCTTATTTCTTGAACTTTTGCTTTTAATGATAGTTGCAAAGCTCCTGGAATTTTCCACCAAGTTATCTTCCACTTGGGGCCTCATGTATGCAAATGAGAGGAGTTGGGTAATGAAGAGGGAGAGGGAGACACTGAACAGGGCAATTATTTGACCTACATTCCTTTACTCTGGTGTTCAAGAGGCTTTATTCATATTTGTGTGTGCAGTCCTTTGTAACTGTTTGCAAATTTCGTCTCCTCAGACATTCTTTCTTCCTGAGGTAATAGATGTGCACACCACTGGGGCACTCAGACACAGGTATGCTGTCTTGGCTTCTCTGTTAGAAAGGAAAGGCTAAGGCCACTACGCAGCACAGTGAAAAGAAGCAGACTTCAGGGTCCCCAGACTTGCATTTGAATCTTAACCCTGGGCAAATTACTTCACCTCGCTGAGCATCAACTTCTCTCTCATCTGTGAAATAATGAAGTAGAGGATTACAAAGAGGATGGCACTGAACCTGGCACACAAAATATATGTTTATCCAATAAAAGTCTCCTTGCTGCCTTCTTGAGGAGTGCCAGGGATACGGGTGACCGGGGATACAGGTGTCTTGTCACAAGACGGACAAGCCTGCTGGCCAACTGACAGACAATCCAACAGGTTTAAGTGTGATAATAAGGGAATATGTGTAAGTGTGATAATAAGGGAATATGTGGTAGTGGTGAGAACGTATGGAAGACTTAAGCTGAGACCTGATGAGTGAGTTAGGAGCTTGCCATACAGTCTGGTGGGAGTGCAAGAGAGAGCCTGGCACACAGAAGTTTCGTAAGGCTGCCTAGGACAGGAGGGATGGGTTGGGGCCAGATTAAAAGGGCCTTCTCAGCCTCATTTTAAAATTTGGACTTTATCCTAAGAATAGTGAGAAACTTATTGCAGCATTTTAAGTGGAGAAGTGATGCAACAGATTTGGATTCTAGAAAGATAACTTAAGGTAGATATTAGATTTGAGGGGTAGCTACACCATTGCCTGGGGTCTAGTTCAGTTGGGACCCCCAGTTGAAGTCCTCCAGATGAGAGATGATGGAGGACTGATCTTGGAAGGCTTCCAGGAAGAAGAAAGTAGTGCTTTCATTCATTCACTTATTCCCCACATATTAATTGAGTATCTATTATGTGCCATGCACTAACTTCAAAGGGTATGGTAGTGAACAAAACAAAGCCCCTACCTCAGTGGAGCTACATTCAACATAAAACACAGATGAGTCTATGAGTAAATGAATGTAAACAAAACACAGATAACACTCTGATTTTATGACCAAGTTGATACCCACCTCCCTGAACCCACCTTTAGAAGGAGAAGTCGAGTGTAATTGAGCAGTTATTACTCAGGCCCACCTCTCCAATGCGCAGAGATCTCTGGGGATATCTCTTACCAGGATAATGTCACACCTGCTCCAGCAGCCCTTTTTGGGGCTGCCCCCTCCCTCACTAACAAGTACTAGAAGGGAACCAATTCAAAGCCAGGGTCGGAAACTCAGACACTTAAAGGGGCAGAATATTGTTATGAGCTTTATGGTACACAGATGGTATCTGGAGCAAGAACGTGAACTTTGCATCAAGACCATTGGGTCTGAGGAACAGTGACCTCAATAGTAATTGCTGCTCTGTGGCTGCATGACAGTGATTCTCCACATGGGGCCTTTACTGACTGGTGGCCCGTGAAGGTCCTAGTGACATAAGGAAAAGCTAACCATGCCAGATCTTTCTTTTGTTGTTAAGGGCCCATGACCTGCAGTTTCCCTAACATTCATTTTTATACAGGGCAGAGGTATGTGTGCGAGCTCAGATACCTTAAATTCATATGCCTTTAATACAATCCAGGCAGATTTCTAAATGAGGGATGCTTCCCCACAAATGGAGAGTGAAAGTGGGCCAGCCTAAAAGGACCTCCATAGCACTGTGCATGGCCAGCTGTTTGTGGCTGTACCAAAAATGCAGGTCATAGGATTTTTATGTGAAAATTTCTATATTTAAATGTTGGCAACTAAGTCTGTTTTTTTTTTTTTTTAATATGCAGTTTTTAATCATCTGTGGGCTGGATTCTTCCTTTATCTTTTCCAAGGCTGCCTTGTAAAAACGTCCACTGCTGGCATCTGCTTTTCTTCCTTTTCACTCCCCAGTCCTGGGTCCTTTAGTCTCTCATTATATCAAATACGAGTGACTCAAATTTAGCCAAAATTTTCTTGAATTTATGGAAAAGCTATATACAAAAGTAAGTTTCTGTATACAAGTATTTTATATCAGGAAGAATTTTCAGTTGGGGATGGTAACAGTTACTGTAAGTAAGATATGGTTATAAATGTTGTTTCTCTAAGGGGAGAAATTTCTGATGTCTAGTCAATTTACAAACCTGTGTTCTAGAACATAAACATTTGTTTGTAAGTAAAAGAAAGAAAGTACATGCAGATGCATTAAATCCATACTTACACCCAGTATATATGAGTACATAATATACTTTTCTTGGGAATTATCAGATACTTTTTCCTGAATCAAATGATGAAGACTATTTAAAGTAGAAAAGAGAGAAAACCAGTCTATTCTGCATGGACATTTTGTTATCACTTTTATGGTAAGCAGTTCCATAAGTGTGTGCCTCTGTTTTGGCATAATAAAATTTTACATTACTTCTTAAATTAAGTACAAGTTTTGAAAAGGAAAAAAAATTAACCTCCTGTTATAATCAAAATCTTTCACTTTCTAAAAATCAGAGTATCTTCTTTTAAAGGGAGTTATTTATTCAATAAAAATTCTATATTTCTATATACCTTACAATTTTTTAAAATTCTGGTACACACAGTATCCTTATAATCACTTTTTCTTTCTATTTATATCCTTAAAAACATCTGCACGAGGTAGGAAAAAAACTCAGATTTTAATGAAATCATAAAAACAAAAGAACTTGATGCAGCCCACAGCACCTGCTAACCATACAATGTGTTTACAGTTGTTATTGCTACAATTAATAATATCACTATTGTCATTATAAGTGTGATTGACAGTTGAAGAAACTAAGTCTTAAGGAAGTTAAGGCCACCATGGTTATAAAATTAGTCAATTTTAGAGACTAAACCTTATTAAATCACAGGTCTATGGACTTAAAATCCATAACCTTTCATTTATACCAATAAAAAACAAAAGAACAAAGAGGGCCTTTTGTTATTGTAACACCTTTATGTGCTGGGTGCATTGTCCATATTAGCTTATTTATTTATTTTTATTTTTTGGCAGGTACTGTATGAGGTTTCATTTTATAGATAAAGAAACTGAAAAAGAGGTTAAGTCACTTACCAAGGTCACATTGCAAGTAAATGGCAAAGCCAAAAAAATGCTCCTATGTCTGAATGCCAAGGCTCCTGATCTCCTGGAGTGCATTGTATCTAATTGATAGTTGCAAGTAACCAGTATTTTACTTTTAATTGATAGCAGACATTTAAGAGGTGTGTGTCACTTGCAACTAGAGCAAATTTTCTTCATTTCATAAAATTGCCAGCTACAGTAGAAGAAAGCAGTCATCTTCAATAGATAGGGTTTTCTGTAAAATAAACAAAAGGGTTTTGTGCCTGATTTTAAAAAAAAGAATTCTATTTCTTTCCATGTCTGAGAGGTGACCTTTCTGATGTTATACTGTGGGTGGAATTCATTCTGGAGGTTGTGAGTGGGATTTTGGGAGTATGATGGGAATGACTGATGAATCCATACTCCATTTGTAAGTGGCTTGTCGTGATGATGAATAGAGAAAACATAAACAGTGGATATAGCAAAGTATCAGTTTGGATTAGGTTTAGGTGTAAGTGACAGAAAATCTAAAATGCTAGGACTTCAGAAAGGATAGTAGCTTATTTCTCATGCATGTAAAAGAAGTGTGGAGGTCAGGAGTCTTAAGGCAGGTTCAAGATGACTGAAGGTTTTTTCTTTTTTCAATCCTGCTCATCCTCAATACATGGCTTTCTGCCTCATGGTCCAAGTTGGCTCCTTAAAGACCTGCTATTGTGTTGTAATTGACTGTAGGAAGGAGAAAGGGAAGAAGAAGAACACATCTCCTTTCCTTTAAGGACACTTCCCAGAAGTCACACGTGACACCTCTGCTTAAATTCAGTTAGCCGGAATTTAGTCACATGGTTGTGACCTCACACACATGCTGCAAGAGAGGCTGGAGAATGTATTCTTATCCTAAGCATCCATATGCCCAGCTAAAAGGTGTGTATGTGTGTGTGTGTGTGTGTTGCAAAGGGCAGGGGGAGTTCTATCAATAAGGAAAAAGGAGAAAATATATTGGGGAAAGACTAATAAAGTATCCCATAGAAAGAATCAATGAAAACGAGTTAACCATGCAACATAGAAAGATTACTTCCATTCCAGCCTCTATTCCAGAATACCTACCAAGTCCTTTGCCTAGGATAGGAATTCTAGAACAGACGTGTGGGTGTAAGTCCTAAACTTTAACTCTGAGCACCTGTTTTTCAGTGAATGATAAAAATTGTTAGGAGCCCACATCTTTAAAAAGAAAGGCAAAGATAACCATATCCTTTATTTTTTTGAGCAGCTCCTTTGCACACTGCTTCACTACAAATAAGACCTACCTAAGGAATTAGATCATGCACTAAGTCCAAACCTGCAGTTACTTCAGAAGCTTGTGACTTCCATTAGAAAGTCTGAACTCTCTAACGTAGATACAGACCCTGCATGTGGGGGTTGAATTTCAAAGTTCTTGTGCTGCTTTCATTGGCATGCACCCAGGGAAGTGTATGTATACATTGGGAATGTTTAGGGACCTGGCTACTTCTCTGTTTTCTTCTGTCACAGCGTTCCTTCGTCCAGGGGAATACTGAAATAATAATTCTAGCAACAATTTTTTAAATGCCAAACCAATTACATGTATATTTCACTTAAGCTTCAGAGCAGCCTGAATGGTAGGCTTTATCCATTCCCATTTTACAGATTTAGAAGCTCAGAAACAAAGTCACACAACTAGTAAGGAGATGTGCCAAGATTTAAACTTAGATCTGTTGGACTCCCAAATCCATACCCTGCATCACGATGGCCTCACACCTTTGAAAAATAGTACAATGACCCTTTTGATGTTTCTTTTTTGTATAATGACCTAAGGAAAGCAGAGAGGTCAAGTCAACTTTCCCTGGTCCCTGCAGTTGTAATAGGGCTCCCTTCACCCTCTCAGTGATTCTTTACTGAGTTAGAGGTAAAACCCCACAATGAACTATAGGAAATCCCACTCTTTTAGAGCTCTGAGTATTTAGAGACTGATTTGGGCTGAGCAGGTGAGGGAGATTGGTAGCAGAGAGCTGGAACTGGAGGCCTGTTCTCTCTGTCAGTTCATTACTTTCAAAGGTCTGTTGCAGGGAGCCTCCTTGTCCTCCCAGTGTAAGGAAATATAATTGTGATCAATACATTTCCAAAAAATATATCTCCACTGCTAAGGACATGGTAAGGAAATGGAACAAATTAATAAAAAGGGCTTCTCAGCCAACTGGAAAAGAGGCAGGCCATGAGTATACAATGTCTTCCTCAGTTTTTCTTCCCCAGTTAAGCATTCTGGGTCCCCTCCCTCTCATTTATTTGCTGCTGTGATGTCTGCAGGGTAGGGTGAGCTGGCATAAAGTTTATTAAATAGTAGCTTGCAGATCACTTGCTACCACATTTTCCAAAGCTTGCCTTTGTCCCCTCGGTGTATACTTGAGATGCCTTCAGTCAGATGAAAATCATGGAAAACCAAACTAACCTGGCTTCACAGTGATGAGATTGGTTGGCTCCTGGTTAGGAAAGGCTTCAGAATGTGTTTGTTTCATTGGCCCAATGGGGCATCACCAGGAATGCTGTTATTTTTTTTCTTTAAACTTCTCTGCTCTGTTTTTTGCCGTCAGTTTCATTTACAGCTATCCTCCCACACCTTCCGGTTGCCAAATGATTTTCCTTTCCTTTGAGTTTATTCATCACTGTCTAGGGAGAGGGAGAAAAAGAAATGGTCACTTCCAAGAACTCTCTCAAAAGAGCCAGGAACTATTTTCCCAGTCATCCTCAGCAGATTTCTCCTCAATCTCATTGGCCCAAATAGGGTGTGGTGTTTATCCTTGAACCCGTAAGTGGAGCCAGGGGATGGGATAATGAGCCACAAGCCCTACCACCTGATCAACTTCCCCCAAGCACCTGGGCTTTGCAGGAGGAATTGAAGGTGCTCAAATAAAAGTTAAGGTAGTTACTAAAAGAAGGAGAGTGGTGTTGGAAGAGCAACTACAGTGCCTATTAGACTCCTGCTGTTCTGAGAATCAGCTCCAACCCACTCCTAGCAGCACCCAAGGAACTGGGGCTCCTAGCCTGACTCACAACTCTTGGAAGCTGCTGACCCCTAGTGTCTGAGGAAAGCATCGGCTCTAGAATCCAGAGGCATGGGTTTACCTCTCATGAGAATCACAGCGGCTGTGACACACTCACACACACAAGGAGGTTGTAAGCAAATTAAAACCTTTAGAAGTACTTTAATGAGTAAGTGAGTTTAATTGAAAGTCTTCCAAAGACACTGTAAGACTTAGGCCTCCCTCACCTTGCTGATCAGCAACCTCAGAACACTCTCTGTAGTCCTTTTCACACCTGTAAATTGTCATCCACAGTGTGTCTTTCTCTCTAGACAGAGGGTGTGCTTTTTGAGGGTGGGGCCTAAGTGCAAAACACCCAGCTCCTCACCTTGAACTCCTGCATGCTTAGTAAACACTTGTATGAGTAAACGAAAGACCCAACTGTTGTTCAGCTCTCCTTTCCTCTCCCCTTCCATAGCCATGGCTTTCTCTTATAAATATCAGCTCTACCAGCTTAATTGTACTCCTTTTTTTTTTTTTTTTTTGAGAGGGAGTCTCGCTCTGTCACCCAGGCTGGAATGCAGTGGAGCGATCTCGGCTCACTGCAACCTCCGCCTCCCAGGTTCGAGCAATTCTCCTGCCTCAGCGTCCCGAGTAGCTGGGACTAGAGGTGCCTGCCACCCACACCCAGCTAATTTTTGTATTTTTAGTACAGATGGAGTTTCACCAAGTTGGCCAGGCTAGTGTCAAACTCCTGACCTCAGGTGATCCACCCGCCTCGGCCTCCCAAAGTACTGGATTACAGGCGTGAGCCACCGCGCCTGGCCAATTGTATTCCTAATAGGACAACTAAGCAATCAATTGTGTTTTGAAGCTGCATGTTATACGAATGGGAAAATATTCCAACAACCCCAAATACACATCTAAGCAGCTGCTTTTGTGTTGTGGAATACCCACTATCTGGTCAGTAGAGAAAGCAGAATTTTTTATTATAAGCAGATCAACATTGCTACTGTGAATTCTTTGAGCAGTAGGCAAAGCTGTGTTAGAATGGGTTCTTCTTTGGTCTGTATGTGGCAGGTAACAGGACTTCTCCTGTGCTTCATGATTTGGGTTAGGAAGAGAGAGGAAAGGCAACAACATGGTAATTATAATATAGAATGACTCAAGACAAGAAAGAATAGGTTTTTGTTTTGTTTTGCTCTTAATTGACTTGTAATTCAAGCGTGAAATGTGGCAGCTTTCAGGATTGGAGAAACTTTGCACAAACCCAATATTAGAAGTTAACTGCCATTAGCTGTGGAGGGCACCAAAGGACAGAGAGGATTTCTCAATCTGGGAGCTGAAGGCGAGTTCTGGGGAACAGCAGCAGCCACAGCTGTAGAAATCCTGACAGCTGTTCAGTCTTGGCAGGCAGGGCTGCTGCTCACACTGGAGAAGCTGCGGGGCTTCCTGAGCAGGGCCCTCCACTCGCGTGGTGCCTGTAAGACCTGCTCTGGAGTGGAGGCATGCACCATCTTTCTTTTCCCCTTTTCACAGAGGAGGAGAAAAATGGGCAGATAAGTATCATAGCGGTCAGGTAGGTCATGGGATAGGGAAAAAAATCAATCATTGAAAAGGAGTGACTGGAAAACCACACTGTAACATTGTGCCCTAAAGTATTGTATCAGTTTTGCCAGCCTGCACTTGTCTCTTAATTATGTAAACTAAATGCTATGTGTTATCAAGATTGTCATTATTACAATTTTGTTACTTTGTAGAGAATAAACATAGATAATAAATATTAGTTCTACATTTCAGTTGACAGATTTCACAATTTTGCTTCAGAGTCCTTCTTTGGGATACATCGCCTTCTTGCAGAAATAAGGATTTTGTTCAGTCAGTGTTTAACAGAGACTTTTAAAAGCTACTAAAGTTGCAAACCACTTAAGAGTTGTAAGTCTATCATAGTCCACCCATTTGAACAGTCCCCTGTTTTAACCTGTATTTGTGCTTCGGGGAGAAAGTGGATGGAAGAGGCTCCACGCTGGCTTAGTCACACTGATGTATGAATAAACGGGCAAGTAATGGATGACCTGGGGTTCATGCCAGCCAACTCACCTGCACACCTGCTTTCACAAGCACTTGACAAGGCACCTACCTTTCTTAATGTGCCAAGTACATAATCTCTCTGATTCTGTAAAAAGATTAGCTGTTAGGAAGATTACAAAACTTTGGGTACAAAAATAAGAGTATTTTTAGAATTTTGTTCTCCATGTGTTAATTTTATCTTCAGTGGGTTTTGTTTGTTTTGCTACCTCTGCCCCACATCATAATTTATGTGTGTGTTTGTGTGTGTGTGCTGAATAGATGATCTCTAAGTAGGAAAATTCTCTTGGGAAAAATTCTCAGCATGAGAAATGTGGGGAAAATACAGCTGGACAGCTGTTTAATTTTGCCAAGAAAAAAATGAGGACTTGTTCTTTGCTGGTGCATGAGACAGGGCTGTGTCACTGCAGTGTGAGTTGTGAAGGAGAGAAGCAAACACACAGGCAAGTGTTTACACCTGCTGCCTTCTTAAGTCCTCCCAATAACCCTGTAAGGCAGGTACTACTTCTCTTGTACAGAGGAGGAAATTGAGGCCTAGCTAAGTTATGCAGTGTGCCCAAAGCATAGCTAAACAGTGTGGCCAATTTTTAAATCCAGATGTTTCTAACTCAAGAGCCCTGTTCTTCTTACTATACCAAATGGCTCAGCCCTCAAGTTGTTGTCTTAGAAATAAAAATACAAACAACAAGGAACATTTGTTCAGCTTAGTGTTTCTCAACAGAGTAAGAGATAGCTTCTCTGGAGCCCTTATGCTTTCACTAAAAATTCAATTGTTTTGTTTTTATTTTGATAAGAACCCATTAATATTAAGCATATTCTGGTTCATCACCTTATAAGCAAGGACTGCTCTGTGATATAAGTAATGCTGGTTCTATCTGTGTTTACATTGACACCAAAAACTGTTTCTCAACCCCCAGAGATTTCAAGCTAATTTACCCAATATCCATTCTTCCCCTCTACCTTACTAACAGAACCCTAATTTGCCTGGAATCAGCAATAGTCCTATGCTTCTCAGACTCCCTTGCAGTTACAAATGTTCATGTGGCAAGGTTTTAGCTCATGATATCTGAGCTATTAGATGGGGCTTCCCAGAAAGATCCTTAAAGTGGCTGACTTTTAAGATAGATAGAGGACATATCAGGTATTAAGCTGGTAAGAGCAGGTGCTACATTTGATCTCAGACAAAAGGTCAAGAAGCAATGGTCAATGTCTTTCTCACTCTCCAGTCTTTCTCCTCATCTAGCCAGGAAGGAAGGTGAGATATGACCATGAGGGCAAGAACACATACTAGCGTGGTGGAGGCAAAGATATAAGGAGTCTGGGTCTCTAATGACTACAAAAAACCCCTCATTATACCAGCCCAGGGTGTGGCTGTCTGCAGACACTTCATTATATACAAAAAATAAGCTAATTACCCCCCTCTACTAAAAATACAAAATTAGCTGGGCGTATTGGCACATGCCTGTAATTCCAGTTACTCGGGAAGCTGAGGCAGGTGAATGGCATGAACCTGGGAGACAGAGGTTGCAGTGAGCTGAGATGGCGCCATTGCATTCTAGCCTGGGCAATGAGAGTGAAACTCCGTCTCAAAAAAAAAGAAACTTTTTTTTTCTTTCTTTTTTTTTTTTTTATTATACTTTAAGTTCTAGGGTGCATGTGCACAACATGCAGGTTTGTTACATAGGTATACATGTGCCATGTTGCTTTTCTGCATCCATCAACTCATCATTTACATTAGGTATTCTCCTAATGCTATCCCTCCCCCAGCCCCCAACCCCCCGCAACAGGCCCCAGTGTGTGATGTTCCCTGCCCTGTGTCCATGTGTTCTCATTGTTCAACTACCACTGATGAGTGAGAACAAGCAGTGTTTAGTTTTCTGTCCTTGTGATAGTTTGCTTAGAATGATGGTTCCAAGTTTCGTCCATGTCCCTGCAAAGGACATGAACTCATCCTTTTTTATGGCTGCATAGTATTCCATGGTGTGTATGTGCCACATTTTCTTAATCCAGTCTATCATTGATGGACATTTGGGTTGGTTCCAAGTCTTTGCTATTGTGAATAGTGCCACAATAAACATACATGTGCATTTATAGTAGTATGATTTGTAATCCTTTGGGTATATACCCAGTAATGGGATGGCTGGATCAAATGGTATTTCTAGTTCTAGATCCTTGAGGAATTGCCACACTGTCTTCCACAATGGTTGAACTAATTTATGTTCCCACCATCAGGTAAGCCGAGATGGCGCCATTGTACTCCAGCCTGGGCAATGAGAGCAAAACTCCATCTCAAAAAAAAAAAAAAAAAGAAGCTAATTTTTAAAATAGCTTTATTAACATATGATTTATAGCCAGGTGCAGTGGCTCATGCCTGTAATCCTAGCACTTTGGGAAGCCGAGGCAGGTGGATCATTTGAGCCCAGGAGTTCGAGACCAGCCTGGGCAACATGGTGAAACCCTGTCTCTACAAAAAATACAAAAATTAGCTGGGGCATGCAAATGTAGTCCCAGCTATTTGGGAGGCTGAAGCAGGAGTATCGCTTGAGCCCAGGAGGCATAGGTTGCAGTCAGCCGAGATTGCACCACTGAGTTCCAGCCTGGGTGGCAGAATGAAACCCTGTCTCAAAAAAATAAACCAAAGGGATATAATTTACATACCGTAAAATTCACCTTTTTTGTTGTTGTTGTTGTTTTGAGACGGAGTCTCGCACTGTCGCCCAGGCTGGAGTGCAGTGGCGTGATCTCAGCTCACTGCAACCTCCGCCTCCCGGGTTCAAGTGATTCTCCTGCCTCGGCCTCCCGAGTAGCTGGGATTACAGGCAGGTGCCACCACGCCCAGCTAATTTTTTGTATTTTTAATAGAGAGTGGGTTTCACTATGTTGGCCAGGCTAGTCTTGAACTCCTGACCTCGTGATCTGCCCACCTCGGCCCCTCAAAGTGCTGGGATTATAGGCATGAGCCACCACGCCCGGCCTCAAATTCACCTGTTTTAAATGCACAGTGATTTTTAGTAAGCATAGTTTTGTTCAAACATCCCCACAACCAAATGTAGAACCTTTCTGTTATTCCCAAAACATTCCTCTTGCTCATTGGCAGTCTATCCTCATTCCTACTACCAGGCCAAGGCAACCACCGATCCACTGTCTTTATAAATCTGCCTTTTCTGAACATTTCATATAAATGGGATCATAGAATATCCAATCTTTTACATCTGGCTTCTTTCACTTAACATATTGTTTTTGATAGTCTTCCATGCTGTAGCACATAACAGTAGTTCCTTCTTGTTGCTGAATAATATTCTATTGTATGGCCGTATTATATTTTGGTCGTCCATTTACCAGTTGATGGACATGTGGATTGTCTTCACTTTTTAGACCTTATGAATAATGTTGCATGAATACATATACATCTTTGTGTAGATGTATGTTTCCATTTCTCTTGGGTAGATTCTCAGGAGAGGAATTGCAAGATCATATGGTAAATTTATGTTTCATTTTATAAGAAACTGCCAAACTGTTTTCCAAAGTAAGCACACTATCTTATATTCCCATCGGCAATGTATGAGGCTTACGGTTTTTTCATATTCTTATCAAAAATTATTTTGTCTTTTTATTATATTCCTTCTACTGGGCACGAAGTATAATAGCATCTCCTTGTAGTTTTAATTTTCATTTACCTCACGACTAATGATGTTGAGCACCTTTTCAAATGCTTATTAGCCATTCATATTTCTTTGGTGAAATACCTATTCAACTGTTGCCCATTTTTAATTGGCTTGTCTTATTATTAACTTACAAGTGATTTTTATATATTCTGGATACAAATCCTTTACCAGAAATAGTATTTGTGTATATTTTCTCCCAGACTGTGGCTTGCTTTTCATTTTCTTACTGATGTTTCTTGAAGCACAAAAGTTTTTAATTTTGATGAAGTCAATTTTTTCAGTTTTTCCTTTCATGGATTATGCTGTTGCTGTTGTGTTTAAGAACTCTTTGTCTAACTTAAGGTTGCAAAGATCTTCTGCTTTCTTCTACAAGTTTTATAGTTTTAGCTTTTACATTTGGCATATGATTCATTTTGAGTTCATTTTTGTGTATAGTGTGAGGTATCTAAATTCATCTTTCTGCATGCAGATATCCAGTTGTCCCAGCACCATCTGTTGAAAAGACTGTCCTTTCCCCATTGAATTACCTTGGCACCTTTGTCAAAAAATCAATGGACTATAAATGTAAAGTTTTATTTCTAGACTCTCAATTCTGTTCCATTGATCTACATGTCTACCCTTATGCCAGTACCACACAGTCTTAATTAATGTAGCTTTATAGTAAGTTTTAAAATTGGGAAGTCTTAAGTTTTCCAACTTTGTTCTTTTTTAAGATTGTTTTTGCTTTTCTAGGTCCTTTGCATTTCCATATACATTTTAGGATCAGCTTGTCAATTCCTGCCCAAAAGCCTGCTGGAATTTTTATAGGAATTATGTTGAATCTATAGATCACGTTGAGGGGCATTGCTATTTTAATAATACTGAGTCTTCCAATTCCTTTATTTAGATCTTTCTTCTTATAATTTCTCTTAGCAATGTTTTGTAGTTTTTTTTGTTTTTGTTTTTGTTTTTTTTTTTGGCAGAGTCTTGCTCTGTTGCCCAGGCTGAAGTGCAGTGGTGTGATCTCGGCTCACTGTAACCCTGCCTCCTAGGCTCAAGCGATTCTCGTGCCTCAGCCTCCTGAGTAGCTGGGATTACAGACACGTGCTACCATGCCTGGCTAATTTTTGTATTTTTAGTAGAGACGGGGTTTCACCATGTTGGCCAGGCTGGTCTCGAACTACTGGCCTCAAGTGATCCACCCACCTTGGCCTCCGAAAGTGCTGGGATTACAGGTGTGAGCCATCGCGCCCGGCCTGTAGTTTTCAGTGTATAAGTCTTGCACTTCTTTTGTTCCTAATTTTTCAAGTCACTGTTATATGGACTTTCTGATACATAAGGCCAAATTGAACTCATGATACATATTCTTATCACCAAATAAAATGGAAAATTTAAACAAGTGGAGGTGTACTTAATATACATAAATGATATTTCTATGTTAAGGCCAAATGGTGCATTGTGTAAACGAACAGTTTCACAGTGGAAACAATGGAGAAAACCGAATTATTACATGGCGTGCATATCCAGTCCAAATGAACCTTGTCCTTACAGTCAGTACCGTATGTATATAAGCCAATAAAACAACGTCACATGGCACAATAATCAGTATTGTTAATTGAAATTAATTGTATTCTATTTTTGTTTATATTTTGTAAATTCACTTGGATTTGTATAAGTGTTATTAGCAAAAGGAATTTACACCTAGTTTTACATGTATTGGCTCAATATTTTTTTCCTTTAATAGGTGTTGTCTTAGTTCATTTTCTGTTGCCATAACCGAATACCTGAGAGACTGGGTAATTTATAAGGAAAAGAGGTTTGTCTGGTTCACAATTCCAGAGGCTGGGAAGTCCAAGAAGCATGGTGCTGGCATCTTCTCAGCTTCAGGTGAGGGCTTTATGCTGTATCACAACATGGCAGAGAAAGGCCGAGAACCAGAAGGGAAAGCAGGAGTGTGCAGAAAGGGACAAAACATGAGAGGCAGCCTTGCTTTATAACAGCCTGCTCTCTCAGTGACTAAGAGATGGTATTAATCCCTTTCTGAGGGTGGATTCCTCAACCAAATGCCTCTTAAAGGTTCCACCACCTCTCAACACCATTACGTTGGGGACCAAGCTTCAACATGAGTTTTGGAGGGAGCTGACCATATTCAAACCATAGCAGCTATCTATTTTGTACTCACTATTGTGAAACACTGGCTCTAGTTTTTTTTTACTTTACAAAGCATTTTCAATTCACCATCTTATTATTCTCACAGTAACACTGGAGCTTGGGTAAAATAGGGCTTTTTAAAATTCCCGTATTGTAAATCATGAAACTAAGATTCACAGAAATTAAGTGATGTTTGTAATTGTATACGTCCATAAGTGGCAGTTCTGTGATTGCTGAGTGCAGTAGCTCACACCTGTAACCCCAGCACTTAGGAAGGATCTCTTGAGCCCAGGAGGCAGGAGGATCTCCTAAGCCCAGGAGTCTGAGACCAGCCTGGGCAACCTGGGGAGACCCCGTCTCTACAAAAGTTTTAAAAATTTGCCATGTGTGATGTGCTCCTGTGGTCCCAGCTACTCAGGAGGCTGAGGTGGGAGGATCACTTGAGGCCAGGAGTTCGAGGCTGCACTGAGGAGCGATCACACCACTGCACTCCAGCCTGGGCAACAGAGTGAGACGCTATCTCAAAAAAAAAAGAAGAAGAAGAAGTAAAATTAGGAGTTCAGGCTCCAAATCTCTTACTCTTTCCTCTATATCTGTATTGATTATTGATCACTTCCTTAAACCCTGCTAGGATACAAGAGAAATATAAAACTTTTGGAAAGCTTTATAGGTACCAAGATAAAACTAATATGAAGCATAGTAAAGCTAGGGTTAATATAATGGAGGCCACAGCCCAGACTCTAGATTCTAGCAGCATCTATAGAAAACAGACAACTATCCAGACCTGAGAGTTGAGTGGGAAACACGCCCTGAGCAATGCAGAAGATGTTGTCAGGCAGCCCAGATCTACAACACTCCCTCCACCCGCTTCCAGGAGGGAAGGACTTCCTTCTTCAGCTGCTGGTAATGTTGGCAGCTGACAGTGCTCAGCTGAGACCCTCTTCGGGATTGCCTGTGGCTGAGGAGAACTAGGATGCCCAAGGTAGGAGCAGTAGCAACCCATATCCAAAGACAGGTTGATGCTGGGACATGAAGGCCTGGACCTTTCACCCGGCTTGGATCCACTTTGAACGCCCAGCCCCGTTGCAGAGCATCCTCCTGGATCAGTCAGGCTTTTGTTTGCAGCTGCATCAGAATTCAGCCTCTCCCTCTGCCCTGTTTTACTGCCTGTATTCCCTCACAGGTGTTGCCCCAGAGCACTCTGAATAAACTTCCTGCCTGTGAATCTCTACCAGAGAGTCAGCTTCCTGCACCCAGTGCTCTATAAGGTTTCTAGGCAACAGGAAATGCCCTAAAGGCCAGAATTCCTCTCGCGGGTATAGCAGAGAGTAAACAGAGTAGTGTTTTGTAGTGGCTACAAAAGAAAAGGGCAATGGTGGTGGACTTTAAAAGACAGGATGAGCTGTCAGCCCTGATGGGGAGCCCCCAGAAAGCTGTAGCTGGCCCATGTGCCGCACATTTTGCCGAGTAGGGATACTGCCGAGCCCCCGATGTTCTGTTTGTAAAGTGGGTGTGTAGCCCAGGTATCAGCTCTCATCTTCACTGCCAACTGTCCTCTTCAGCTGCAGTCCTATGAATTGGGCCCTGAAGCTGGAACCGGAAGATCTGATTTTAGATCTCCCTTGCCAATTTTGTGGCTTTGTGATTCTAGAAGTTGTATTTCTCGTTTGAAAAATGGGTATGCTTTGAGGATTGAAATGATCCTAATTTCAGGGGCTCTTCATGAGTGTCATGCGACAGGAGGATTTCATGGTCAAGTAAGTCTGGGTGACACTAGGCCAAACTAAGTTTAATTGATTTCTGAGGATTTCTCAGTCTTTTATATGTTGCTTTTCCTTCTGAGTTCCTTAAGGAGGGGGTGTAATCCAAATCATCTGAACCCATCAGGAAGACTTCTTGCTGCGGACACCCTCCATGGAGCATTAATAAGCCTGGATCTTGCTGGAGTCATGTTGAGAAGACCTGTCCCATCCCATAATGGACAGTTAACAAATTTAAAATTAGACTCTCTTGATTACCGTGGTCTGCACTGCCCTAACCTTAAACCAAGTTAGGAGTCTCAGAAATATCGGAAGAGTTCCCAGTGATGCTGGCACTCATGATCGATGTGTTTTTGGTTATTTACATTTGGTAAGCTGTAATTTACCTCAAGGATACCTCCAAATCTGTGTTCAAGACATGTATGTTTTAAAGAATGTTACTCTCTCAAGCTTTTAGACTGGGGAGAAACGTGGCTTTCCAAGGCATACACTCTCCCTTGGAACAGTAGTAGCCATCATGTGTTGGAACTTATAGTTGACACCTTGGGGGGATGAAATGATATGTTGAAAAGGACGCCGAAGGTGTGTCTGGGCTGTGGGAATAAGAGTGCTATGATGCATTAGTGATGTCGCCCATTAACAACAGCATTCTCCACCTTCATTTTAGACCACAGTTAAGTTTACCATATATACTCCTTTACCTTTTGAAGACAGTAGGAGAATAAATTATTTAAACCCTCTCAAGTGCAGTGTGTTCAAAAGTAACTCATCATCATCTTCTCCCCTTCTATGCCAGTTCTCTCCATGTCACATGATGGTGGTGGTCTCCAGGAACACACCCATGATTCCTACCTGGTCTTCGTTTCCCATAACCCATCAGTCACCAAGTCTTGCCAATTTACCTTCCAAATGTGTCTCAAATCACTCCCCTTCCCATCCCAGATGCCACCCCCGTTCTGCAAATGCTATTAACTGTCACCTCAACCTCAACATAGTCTCTCTGCCTCTGGTCCTATTTATTTATTTATTTATTTATTTATTTGAGACAGCATCTCTCTCTGTCGCCCAGGCAGGAGTGCAGTGGTGCAATCTCAGCTCACTGCAATCTCTGCCTCCCAGGTTCAAGCGAGTCTCCTGCTTCAGCCTCCCAAGTAGTTGAGATTACAGGTGCATGCCACCACACCAGGCTAATTTTTGTACTTTTAGTAGAGACAGGATTTCATCATGTCGGCCAGGCTGGTCTTGAACTCCTGACTTCAAGTGATCCACCTGCCTCAGCTTCTCAAAGTGCTGGGATTACAGGTGTGAGCCACTGTGCGGCCTGCCTCTGGTCCTTTTTTAAAATGTATTTTATTTATCCATTTTTGAGATGGATCTTGCCCTGACACCCAAGCTGAAGTGCAGTGGTGCAGTCATGGCTTACTGCAGCCTCAAACTCCTGGACTCAAGGGATCCTCTTGCTTTGGCTTCCAAAGTAGCTAAGACTACAGGCAAACACCACAGCACCTGGCTTTTTAAAAATTAATTTTCATAGAGATGGGGGTCTTGCTTTGTTGCCCAGGCTGGTCTCAAACTCTTGGCTTCAAGTGATCCTCCTGCCTCAGCCTCCCAAAGTGCTGGGATTACAGAGGGGAGCCAGCCCGGCCTCTGCCTCTGATCCTGTACTCTTTAAGCTCCTCCCCTAATCTACCTACCTGACTGCCTATTCAAGTGTGTCTCATTCTCAAACACTGTAATGACTTCCTCAGGGTAAAGCCTAACATAAATTCAGCACTACATAACTCCTATATCAGCCCTGCTGACCTCTGGTCTCATTTCTTACCACTCCCTTGTACTCTAACAAAACCAGTCTGCTGACCTGCCTAACTCGTGCTGTCTCTAGCTTCCATGCCTTTGTTTTTGTGGTACCCTTTGCCTGAAATGTTTTGTCCACTCTATCTCTTTCTTGCTCAGTTAATTCCTACTCATCACTGAAACGCAGAGCTCAGACATCACCCACTCCAGAAAATCTTTCCTGACCCCCCGGCTTGATTAGAGCCCTAACCAATTATATATATTGTGCTATAAATAAATAATATAAATATGATATATAGTATAATTCTTTGTTTATGTGTCTATCTTTGCCTTAAGGCTGGGACTGTGTCTTATCTCTGTATTCCTTGAGCCTGTTACCATGCCTGCATTTATCTCAAGCGCTTAATAAATATGCGTGGATTAAATGAAGGAATTAAATACCTATGATGAATAAAACTAAGCTAATAGTGACCCATCAACATCAGAAATATAACCAATACTTAGGTAAAGAATTTTCTTTTGCAGACTAAGAATGATTGCTTTGCATGGCTGGTGAAGTCTGAAGGAGAAAAGCAAGCAATGGGGTGGGGTGGCGGGCTGCGGGTGGCGGGGTCGAGGAGAGGTGCATTGTCAATGACAGCAGCACTGAGCAGATTCTAATGACTTCACTGTGGTACAAAGCAACCTGGACACTGAATTGCATCTGGTTTCCAATGAAAGAGAACCACTTAGAGTGCTTAGCTGGGTTTAAAGCAGTTTCCTCACTTTTGTGTGGCCACTCTGGGTGTTTGCCCGTATCTGTACTTCTGTAGCTGACTTTTTAAAATGCCTGAACTTTGGCTTGTTTTTCTTCATGGATTACTAAAAAAAAAGAATACTTTCTTCTACTAATTAGATTAGATTAAAGTTAACCCATGGGACCCTTTGGCAAAGTACTGAGTAGATTAATACTTCTTTTCAGCTAGAGTTTTTGTTTTGTTTTGTTTCTGACAACAGAGAAGGAATGGAGTGTAACCTGTTACCTTCTGGTGAAATTCCTCATTGTGCTTTTGTCGCTGTATTCTTACTGTGTGCAAGACCCGCCAGTCACAGGCTCTAAGTCTAAGCCTTGGTTTGAACGGCCTTGGGAATAAAGTAGGTTTCCCAGACCCTCCCTAGGGCCCTCATTGTTTTGATTTTCCTTTTTACACATATCCACCTACAGTGTGCTACAGCCCAAAACCCAAACTTAAAAATAAACATGCAGTCCCCTTTTATTTATCCAATGGTGAGACAGGCCATCAGCAGCTGCAGTAGACTGAAGCCTAGAGGTAGACCCTCAAGTCAGACAACAGCCCTCTCCACAATAATCAGCCAAGGAGTGTTCACAAAGCCAGCATATCTTACACCCAAGCAGGACAGGAGTGTGGATCGAGGAGTAAGCTGCTGTGGTGTGGAAATTTCATGCATCCTCAAATGATGTAGATGAAGAAGGCATTTTACATCAAAGTAGCACCTTCTATGCTCTTATCGTATGGCCCCAGAGTGCTGTGCCTAATGCTAAAGTTCTGGGGAGAGAAAGTGGTTGAAAAGCTGTAAACAAATAGTTGGGTAGACTTTAAAGTGGGGACAATAACACTCTGAGATTCAAAGTAGAAAAGAGCAGGCAAAGTGCAGCATTGATCACTTGGAAACCTCCTGACATTTTGTCACCAGCTTCTCTCCTCTATCTCCCCTCTGAGGATTTACTAATCACCTCAGCTTTGTGTCATCCTCCCCAGGAAGGGGCAGTGTGGAGCCGTGGTAGAGCACTGCCTGGGAATCTGCAGGGCCAGTGGGGCCACCTGCCCGCAGCAGAGCCTTTGTGTGACCGTAGGGAAGCCTGGGGCAGGGAACCACTGCCCCTGCTACCAGCATGCTGTCTGTCATCAGCACCAGGAGCTGTGCCAGGGGCTTTGCAATCCTGATCTTATGCAGCCTTCATACTGCAAGCAGCACTTGCTGGAGCAGCCTGTCCAAGGTCACAGAGCAAAGGTCAGCTGTGTCCAGCATGGAGGCCCTGCTCTAGTCCATGGTCATATCACAGGTCCTTTTCCTTTTTGACAGCATTTGGCTTTTGTAGATTAACAAAATTATATATTCCAAGTTCTTAATTTTAATTGAAAAAAAATTAACTGTGTGGTCCTTACCCTCTGTCTTAGTTGTGTATTGCTGTATAAATAATAGTTTACTACAGTTTAAAAAAACAGACATTTACTATCTCACAATTTCTGATCATCAGGAATCCCAGAGCTGCTTAGCTGGTGTTTGTGGCACAGAATTTCTCATGACACTTTAGGCAGAATGTGCATTGGGGCTGCAGTCATCTGAAAGCTTGACTGGAACTGCTGGAGGGTCCTCCTCATTCACATGACTGGAGGCTGGAGCCCTCAATTCCTCACCACGTGGCCCTCTCCGTGGGCTGTTTGTGTGTTTTCATGACATGGCAGATAACTTCCCCCAGTGCTGGTGATCAGAGAGAAAGAAAGAGTGTGGGAGCTTGGGGGAGAGAGAGAGAGGAAGAAAGAGATGGATGGATGAAGCTGCTGTGCCTCTTTTGACCTAGCCTCTGTGGTAGCAGGTATGTCACTTCTGCTTTTTGTTTCTGTAGAATAAAGTCACTATATCCAGCCCACACTTAAGGGGAAGGGAATTAAGCTCTCCTTTTCAAGGGAAGAATATCAAAGAATTTAGGGACGTATTTTAAAACCACCTACCTTCCCCAACCCATATATGTAAATCTTCTGAGGCAAAAAACAAAACAAAACAAAAACAGAAAGAAAAAAGCCCAGCATCACTACTAAAAGTAAATGGCACTGCTCTTTATCTGCTTGACTGTCACTTGCATGTTCTGGTCACCAGTGGCTCCAGTTAAAAAAACATTTCCCCTTCCCTAAACTGCTTCATAAGGAATGTTTTCATAGCAGAGAAATCTTTACTTTTCAAAGGAATTTATGGGGACTGGAAAGTGTAGAGATAATAATAGTTTGTCCTCTTGATTAAGCCCTGACTCTAGACCAGGCAGTGTATCTAGGACTGACTTCCATTCTTTGTACTGCAGGCCAGTAGCCTAAGGGAAGCCACCAGGTGGCTGAGCTGGTGCCTGGGCCCTTCCACAGATTCTTCTGCAGGTGCTTCCATCTTCCTGTCACCCTTAGGTGAGGCGTAGCCCTCAGAGGATGAGGGTTAGCCCCCAGCTCATTCCTGCATGATATTCCTAGCCACAGGCCAGATGGCTCAGGTAACCAGATCCTGGGAGCCATGTCTCCCAGAGCCAGTTGATCTTGGTTGGGATTGGCCAGATATTTCTGGCAGTTTTTTGGGGGGATCACATAGACTTGAATGAAAGCTGTACAAGGTTACAAGGCTCACACACCTGGCAACCAGGAGAACTCTGCTGTTGGCTCTTCCCACCCCTCTGACCAAACTCCTGATGAACATTCTGAAAAAAAGACTTCTATGGCCCCAAAAGAGCAACCCTAAAGTTAATTCTGTAGTTTAAAGTGATTTGGGGGGTAAAGGAGCAGAACCAATTCTAGAATAAAGGTGTTTTTACAGCCCACCTCCAGCCCCCACAACCCTACCTTAATCAAAATAAGTATTAGGAACTTATTCCACTTAAGGATAAATCAGACACTAAGCCTAAACACTTGAAATTATAATTTCTTCCTGTGAGATGAAATGATTAAAATTTCTACAAATTATGATTACACACAGATCCTTTAAAGAAAAATATATATGTATGTATTTTCAAATGAGTTTATCAATATGGTATAGAATATTTTAAAATATTTAACTTTCAGTCTGTCTGAAATGAAATGAATTTTAGTTTATAGGAGTGGGAAGTAAAGTAACTGAAATCTGAAGAAAAGTAAGAAAAGAAGATTGTGGGTGCAAGAGTGTTAGGAGGTCAGGGTTGAGAGAGATCAGTAGTTTATTTTTTAGGCATGATACCTTTAAGATACTTGTTAAATATGCAAGTGGAAATGAGCAGTAGGTGGTTGGATAAAGGAGTCTGGAGTTCAGAAGAAGGTCTAGGCTAGAGGTACAAGTGACTAGCCAAGAAAATGGATGACCTTACCCAGAAAGTGAGTTTAGATTGAGAAGAACTCTAAGGACTAATCCTTGGATATTGTGTAGTGTTATACAATAGAACTTTCTTCCAAGATGGAAATGTTCTCTATCGTCACTGTCCAGTACAACAGCCACTAGACACATGTGGCTGTTGAGCACTTAAAACATGGCTAGTGCAACTGGGAAACTGAATTTTTAATTTTATTCAGTTTAAATAGCCACATGTAGTTAGTGACTACAGCTCCAGTGGGTAAAAGTGGAAGAAATGGGGGATGAGCAAAGGAGAAGCCTTTAATGAAGGAAAAGAACCAGAGGAGAACGTTGTCTTAGAAGCCAGCTATGTTGAACGTTGCTCATAGATCTAGTTGAGGAAGATTTAGGATGGTGTAGCATGGTGAAGACAAAAGCCTGATTGGAAAGTGTTCAAAGGAGAAAAAAGGGGAGAGAGAAATTGTAGACAGCAAGTCTGGACAAGTCTTTCAAGGAGTTTTGTGGTTGTCTAGGAGAGTGTGGGAGTAAACAGACAGGGAAAATGTAGAGAGGGCCAGGCAGTGCCGAGGGCGCTCTTGAGGTTAGTGGTCATGAATTTAAATGAGACCAGTTAGTGTGATCATACAGTCATTCCCCCTTATCCACCGAGGCACATTCCACCACCCCCAGTGGATGCCTGATACCATGGATAGTACTGAACGCAATTGCCATCAACTGAAACATGTTTCTGTCCATGTCTTCAACCCATAAATTTAATGCCTTTCCATCTTAACTAAGAACTTATACACTGTGCTGTAACTTCTGCAGTTCGAAGCATGACAGTGAAACTAGCACAAATTTATTTTTCCTTTTTCACAATTTCACAGATAAAAGATTTGGTTTTATTGTAGGTCATAGCAACCTCAGCATTCATTTTTTTTCTTTCCTTATTAAGTCAAGAACTTTTACCTTTTCACTTAAAGGAAGCACTTTACAGCTTCTCTTTGGCATATCCGAATTACCAGCATCACTACTCTTTCATTTGGGGCCGTTATTAGGTAAAATGAGGGTCACTTGGACACAGCACTGTGATACTGCGACAGTTCATCTGATCACCAAGCCAGCTACTAAGTGACTCACAGGCAGGGACTGGAGACAGTGTGGATGCACTGGACAAAGAGATGATTCGGTCCTGCATGGGACAGAGCAGGATGGTGTGAGATTTCATCACGCTATTTAGAATGGCACTCAATTTAAATTTTATAAATTGTTTATTTCTGGAATTTTCCATTTAATGTTTTTGGAACTTTGTTGACTGTGGGTAACTGAAATGGCAGATAAGGGGAGACACTGTATATTTTTCTCCAGCCACATATGTCAGCTGAGAGCAGGCACAGAGTAGCAAACAGCTGAATTTATCCACAGGTGGGATTTAACCAAGTGAATATGAAGTGAGGGGGCAAGTGAGAATAATTGATTGAGTTAAGGGTTGCAATGATAGGTAAGGGAATCTAAGACACAGAGAGAGAGGAGAGGACACCCTGAGAGTACAGAATGGTGAAAAGTGGACAGTATATGGGGTATAAGGCCTAGTGCAATGGAAGAATTATTGGATTAAGAATAGTTGGAAAGAATGAACTGGAATGACAATGCAAGATTGTTGGAGAAGGGGAGGCTTGAAGATGAAATTATGGAGGGCATGAAGTTGTTGGTAATGGCAAAATAGGATATGGCCATGGGAGCAGGTATAATTGAGATGGAATGGAAAAAGACGGAATTTACAGGCCAAAATTTTGCAGGGACCATCTAACAGACATGGAAATTTCCAGGATTTATATAGGTTGGTGCAAAAGTAGATGCGGTTTTTGCCATTACTTCCAATGGCAAAAACCGCAACTACTTTTGCACCAACCTAGTAACAGAACTAACACTGGAAAATGACTCTTCAAGACATGAGGCAGAGTAATCTGGGGAGGAATAGGTGGCTGCAACGGGGAGGGCTAACTGGTGTTGGTATCAGCAGTCTGCAGGTAGGAGATTCAGAGCAGGGTGTTAGGAAGGACAGACAATTAATTGTTTGCAAGCAAGAGAGTAGCAAGGAAGACACCTACTCATCCAACAGGCTGTTTGGCAAGAGGGAGGTGGGAGAGAAAACAGCCACCTCTTGAGAGCCATAGGAGAAGGCAGTGCCTTCAGGCTCTGTTAGAGCAAGACAGTGAAAGGAACGCTTATGAGAGAGGGCCCACCGAAAGGACTTATGATGGACTTGGGGAGGAATAGGAGTTGGCCAGAGAGGGTTGGACAGAGCCATATGGAAAGGAGAGTGAATAAGGAGGTGAATGAGGGATGACCTGGAGTTGAGGAGTATAAATTGGAGTAAGAAGTACCTTGAGGTGAAGCTTGATGGGGTCTCCAAGACAGACAGTAGACGTAAAGGTGCTAGTGTGGGAGGCAAGAGAAGAGTTCATACTTAGAGCAAGATCTCTGGATCTTTGGACTGACAGCAATGGGCGGTAGGTGGTCTTATGAAGAGGATGAGGGTCATGAAGGAAACCTCCTCGAAAATTACAGAATACCCCTCAGGTGTCCTACAGTTCCTGCATCTCTTAACCTGCTTTTTCTAAACTTGAAGCAGTTATGCTTAAACTCATCAACGACCTCAGTTAGATTCCTCTTCTGTAGTGTGGAGTTAATCCTATGGTAGAGCTCAGTGTTGGAGCAAGGACAAATGATGACAATGTCAGGGCCAGCGTGGGTCCCAGCAGTGGTGCTTGGTAGAGGTCAGTTTCCTCCTCTCCTCCCTCAGCTCCCTCTTGAATTTCCCCTCCTATGAAGGGAAGTTGTCTTTCCATTGGTATTTGCATGCCAAAAGTCGAAGATGCCTTTTCCTTCCCAGACTGAAAACCTATGTAATTCTCGACATAAATGACTGTATGTCTGGTTTCTCTCTACTTCCATCTGCCCACCTTTGACAGGCTTCATGGGTATGTGACCTCCGTAGGCTTTGAAAGGCCCTGCTCTTGGTTTAATGTTCTGCTGTTACCACCCTAAAATTCTTAATGTTTTAACAATGGTTCCCCATTTTCATTTTGCACAGAGCCCTGCAAAGTGCCCATTCTAAACCCTAAAAACTAAGTAACTGGTGAAACATGACCACGGGACAGTCAGGTAATTTGATTTATCATCCCATTAATGTGTCAGCATTTCAGGATGAAGGGTATTTTGAAAGTAATGGAAAACACCTTAACCATATCCTTTGTAAACAAGAACGTAATTGAGTACATCTAAACCCCTATGAACGCCCAACCTTTAATCTTATTTTTTCAGCATGAAAAAACATCATCTCTTTCAGAAAGATTCTTCATTTATTGTCATTAACCCTCATATTAATAAATTGAAAATCTGAAAGTTATTCTTAACTTCAAGTGAAGCTTGACTGAATTATTATTATTCATGCCAAACAGAGCATTGAATTCTTTCTTTAGAGCATTTCTTACCTGGATGTAGAAGTGCTCTTGTTAATTTTACAGCAGACATCTGTTTCCTCCAATGTGTATGTCCAAGAGGTGTAGCCTTGAGATGAGGAAAGAAATAACATGGGCAGGGCAGGCATGCATACCAGACTGGATCGTCATTTGTCATTTATCTGGACAGAAGGCATACTGGCCTCATTCCACTCACCAGCTGGGAAGAACAAACTCCCTACACAGATATAGCCATCAAACTTAGATTATGGTGACTAATGCTAAATGAAGAGTCCACACGGGCTTTCTAGGTTCAGCAGGGCCAGACCTGTACTCTATGTACTCTTGACCCAGATTCAGAATTAATTTATCACCTTGACAGGCAACCAAGTGCCTGGAGTACTGAAACTTTAGTAGTTATTTAATGTGGGAATCACAGTAATGATGCTGTAATATAAAACAGCAAATATTTCCTAGAGGGACAGCATTTGGATTGGAGAGAGACTCACACCACATCCACAATTTCTTCTTCAAACATTAGAATACTTTTTGGAAAGCGACAGCCTAAATTGTAGGTTGTTTCTTGGTTTTAACTGTCATTTGTATTTGTTTGTTTTCCTCTAAGAAAACAAATATGCTCTTTTTTTCTTTTCTTTTTAATTTACTTTTTTTCTCTCACCTAAACCCCCATAGTAGACAGGCAAATTTAAAAGTATGTCTTTCAAAAACCCAGTTTGTCTTCCTACTGGCCATTTTGCCTTCTATTCTCTGATTAGAAAACTAATTGTGATACTTTATTATTCTTTAGATATAAGAATTCTGACTTTTTACACTTATCAATAGACTTTTTTGAAGTGTACAAGTTGGCAATATTAAGTTATTTGTTTTGCTGGGCTATTTCTGGAACTAAAGATTTATCACATAAGGTGACAAATTGAGAAAAGGAAAAAAACTAGGCTTTTTTTTCTTCTTAACTAATTTTTATTAAATTGGGGGCATCTAGTTACTGCAGTTGAGTAAGTGTTAGCCTTACCTGGGAAGCTGTAAATGATTATTTTGCCCTCAAGTGCAGCTGGCAGAGTCATCCATGTCCCTGAGGCACATCTGCAGAGTGAGTGGGCCCCTTTGAGCCTGCCCAAGCCACAGCTCACAGTGAGGAGGGAAGTGTAGCCCAAAGGTCTTGCCAGGCTTAGCTCACAAGGTGGCAGTCACTTAGCATCCAGGAAAGCTTCATTCATTGTCTTGAGGTGAGCAAGTGGCCACTTGACCAGCTTTCCCACAGGTAGTCAATAGAACTAATGACAGCTGGTCACAGGCACACTCCTGCCCTCGATCCCAAGGCCCTAAAGTGAGAGAACTTCTCGAGAATTTCATTCATTCCAATATTTTTTGGACACCTACTATATGCCTGGCACTGTGCCAGATGCTAGATGGGCAATGGTTGACGTGATACATATGGCCCTTGCTCTCTCACGGAGCATACAATCTAGTGGAGCAAATCAACGTTACAAATCCCACAAATTAGAGGGAAAAAAAAACAGTATGCTAAGTGAATTTAAAGCAGGACCTTATTTAGACAGGGGGCTAAGGAAAAACCTCCAACTTTAAGCAAGAGAGGTGACTCAGGTGAAGGCAGAGGGCTTACAGGTTGAGAAACAGCTTGTGTGAGGGCCCTGAGACAGTTGCAGGCACGAGCTTGGCTTTTCCAGAAAACTCAAAGGCCACCAGTGTGCCTAGAGCTGTGTGAGCAAGATTTTGAGAGGTGCAAAGAAGTCAGGAGGGTAGATCAGGGCCAATAACATAATGCTGGATAACAGCATTAGAGATTTAGGATTTTATCCTAAATGTTGTGGAAAACCGAGGAGTTTGAAACCAAGATGTGACAAAATCTGATTATGTTTTTAGAAGTATTTTTAATTCACAAAGGGTAAGGTTTAATGGAGGGCAAGCCCTTAATTTTTTGTATCACTTTGGGAACTAAATCAAGGAGCATGAAACCATCAAAATGATCGAATCAGGGGCAGCCGGGTGAGTGAGTGGGGCTAAATTTGTGCCATCTGAAATTAGGGTCAAAGTTCTGATGGCTTCAGTTGTAGTGACAGTTCTGCTGCAGAAATCCCGTCTGTCCTTTGGAAAATAAATTTGATTTTAAAAACCTCAAAACATAGCCCAAGTAGCTTAAACCATCAGTACAAGTTTCCACTGACATCTGCCATGCAAATTTGTACTTCTTCAGCCAGTTGCTCTTCCTCACAGTTAACGCTGGAAATCAGAGGCCATGAGAAGAAAGCAAGTGTGGATATTTGGGCATGGTAGATGGTGTTCATTTTCCTAGATTTTAAAAATTTGATTGAAAGTCAAGAGTGAAAACAAACCAACCCTAAAGTCCCTTAGCATCATCTCAGATAAGGGGAGAAGAGAGATGTTGGAATGAGGTAGGTAGGTTTATCTAAGATGCTGAAACTCAGAAGGACTGCTCATTTCTATCTTGACCTTCTTAGTAAATAATAAAAAAGCCCCAGCACTTTCAACAAGTGAACACTTTGTGGGCCCAACTTATGTGTCTGAAAGAGACTCTCTTTGCTATTCACCAGGGAAAACTGGTTTAAATTGGAGGGTTTTAGAAGAGTTGGGATTAATGTGCAGATTGATTTTACTGCGTATGAATCTTCTGTGACTGATGGTTTAACCCTTCTCATTGAGAATGAGTTTACCTGGTGTCATGTGTTGGGAGTAGCATAATTTCCTGATCAGTACCTTTATAATTCTGAAATAATTTACTTCTAAAAGATGAGAAACTTTCTTAATTCAATAGCTTTAGGACAAAGCAAGTTAAGTAACTCAAATGTTTTTGTGACATTTTTCTTTTACTTCAGAAAACTTTTTAGAATAGTGTTTCTTCTACTATTCAGATGACTAAAATAATTTGAATATTTCTTCTGAGAGAATGAAAATGAGAAAGGATGTACGAACAGTCCATGTCGCTGCTTAACTCGCCCTAGAAAAGCTGGTCAGAGAACAGACCTAAGGAAACTCTTTAGTACGAAATTTCATTATAACTAATAGCAATAGCATTTCAGCACTACCTCTGTATTTAAAAAAGAAAAAAGATTTAGGGACCCTTGACAAATTTAATAGCTCCTTAGAGATGATGTTAACAGTTTAGTCATAAATTTTATGTTTCTGTCCTGTGTTCAGTGACATACCAGGAAAACACATTTTCAGAAAAGGTATGCTATGTAAATTCTTTTCATTACTATTTTACGTTATCCTACAAAATAATTTTTTTGAAAATAGAAGCCTGTAATCCCAGCACTTTGGGAGGCCGAGGCGGGTGGATCATGAGGTCAGGAGATCGAGACCATCCTGGCTAACAAAGTGAAACCCCGTCTCTACTAAAAATACAAAAAATTAGCCGGGCACGGTGGCGGGCGCCTGTAGTCCCAGCTACTCGGGAGGCTGAGGCAGGAGAATGGCGTGAACCCGGGAAGCGGAGCTTGCAGTGAGCCGAGATTGCGCCACTGCAGTCCGCAGTCCGGCTTGGGCGACAGAGCGAGACTCCGTCTCAAAAAAAAAAAAAAAGAAAATAGAAACGCTGGAAATATTTTTTTAAATAGTAACTCTGATTTTCATAGTAAATTCAATTTTCATAATGAACTCATGATCTAGTGTGTTTAGTTTTTGAAATGTCCATGATCAATGTAAAAAGAAAAAACAAACTCATCACCTTTACTCTCATTAAATTTCTATAAGGAAGACCTTCAATTGAAATCTAATTTTTTTTTGTTGACTCACCCAATGCTATATATAATATATTATTGTTATATTGTATTGCTGATGTGGAAAACTCATGATATAAAATGAAATTGATATAAAAAGACAGCCATCTGACAGCCTGAAAGTGGGCGGCAGGGGCAGTTTATAACTCAATTCATATTGTAGATTAGGAAATAGAGGCTGACAGCTATGAAGCAGTAGCCCAAGGAAACACACCTAATAAGAAGTGCAGTCAAGTCCAGAACCAGGTCTTTGATTTGATCCAAAATTTTATCAACTCTAGAACCATCAAAGATGGCCTAGATTGCAACTTTGGATGAATTAGCATTAGTGTAACCTTTATATATATATATACATATATATATACATATATACGTATATATATACGTATATATACGTATATATATACGTATATATACGTATATATATACGTATATATATGTATATATACACACACATACACATACATACCAATGTAGCTGAAGATTTATGTATTTATATTACAGTTATTAAAGGTATTATTGAAATGTTAATGAGAAAATGTATCGTACTTTTGACATTTTTTTTTCATAATACTATCCCAAACAGATTAAAAAACACAATAGTCCACTAGAGGGCACCTTTCTTCAACATCACGGTCTGTTCTCTTCCCCAGTACTCTATTAACCTGGTTTTAATCAGCCACTATCGCCTCGGAGCATTGAAAAGCTTTTTTATTGTCAGAGATTCCATGTACTGCTTTAGCAAAATGCATTTGTATTGGTAGGCAAGGCTATCTGTGCTGCTAAGATACCTGGAATGATAAAGGGGAAGCATGACCCTTATTCCCCTACACACATACACGCATGCACACAAACTTTGTGTTAGTTTGAGCTTAGCCCTTCTTGACATGACAACCCAACTTATTTTTATTTGGAAAGTCTTGCCTTAGCCCTGGCAAATTTATACTACTTTTCACTTTTTCTGCCACTGCGTTCTCTGACTCCAAATGCTGGAAAACAGAGAGTAAAAGAGATGGTCTTTAAATGTTGACATAAATTGGGGACGAAACGATGTAGACTTCACCCAGATTTACCTATCCGTCAGTTGCTGTTTTTCTACAGCATGTGAATTTCAGTTACTGTTGGGCATAAAATACTATGGGAAAAATAATAGGATTGTGTCCAATAAACAAGTACTCTGGCAGATTCTATTGAAATATAAAACCATCTCATTATTCTAGAGGCAAAGGGAGGCTGCCTGCTATAGCATTGCCTAATGTATTACATTTCAAACTGTGTCTGTAGAAACCCAGGGTTGCTGGAGATATTTTTAGAGATTAATTTGTACCTATTATATGAGCGGCTAAACATCTCATCCCCAAGCCCCCCAAAAAAAATCAAACTGGAAATTAAAGAGTTGTGAAATGTGAAAATAATTCAGAATACAACTACAAATGAGATAGTCTATGGGACTTTGGAGAAAAGTCCTGTAAAGCTGTGGTAAGAAGAATATAACGTTTCAGCCCAAACTGTAATGATTTAATTCCCTCATAATCTGTGCAAAGTATTTCTCTCAACCCAATTTTTCGACGTCAGCATATTTAATTTATCCTGCCAGGTGAAGTAGTCTTTCACAGTCCTCAAAATCAACGAACTTATAAATATGTGTCATTGACCATGAAGGTGGTAGCTCTGTACTGGCCTTTCTAAAAAATTCATGCCTGTGCATGCCCAAGCAATAAAATTACGCAAGTTGCCCAGAGGCCCAGCTTGGTTCAGTGCCAGGTTAGGATCAGGCACATCTGTTTGGCACAGTCTCTCATCAAGCCTAACAGTCGGTTGTGCAATGACAAGCAAACACCCAATATATCAAATGAGAAGGTACTGTTATAGATTAATGACCTATTGTAAGTTTGGGTACTCTGTCTTATCTTGTTTATAATCAGAAATATGAGTAATTGCTATATATTGTTAGTAAACCAATTTTGAATAAGTTTCTTGCTACTTTGCTTTTAAGATTCTGGACATGTTTAATGAAGAATACGCAGAGATTGCAACATAATCCATTAAAAGAACCATTACCATTTACAACTACTTACTTGTGTGAAACAGGATTCTTTCGATGTGGCACAACCAAACAAAATCTTATTCCAGATGTAGCTTTACATTTAGTTCTATGTAAAGCTATATCTGGAATAAGATTATAACTGACATCTATAAATTCTGCTTTCTCTTTTTTTGTATCACAAACAGCATCATGTTCTCATTGAGAGACACATGAATATAGATTTGAACTCAGAATAATTTTATCCTGATAGAAACATTTGATTGTTTTGCATGTTGGTTTTCATATTGATTTTCATTTTAAAAGCAAATTCTAGTATTTAAGAAAATAGAAGAAAAAGTGACAACCAATTAGTGATTCACACTAATAATTTTCTCAGGAAACTATTTTTTTCATATAATGTGAAATAATAAACATAAGCATAACCAAGGTCAGAATAGTCCAAACTTCTGAGTAAATTAATTTACATAGGTTATAAGACTCTCAGGTAAATTTCTTATTTATAATTATAAGGCTAAAAAATTATAACCTGTCTCATTTTTATTCTTCCCTTACTTTCTATTTTTGGGCCTCAGAGTATTGTTGGAAGTGGAGAAGTATCCTGACACCAGCTGTCCTCTTCTGGGGCTCTGTTCCACATCTATAGTGTGGGAAATGACCTTGACGCAATAGTAGCCTGCAAGTACACTACCAGACATTCTATCCCAGAAGTCACAGGCCAAATTAAGATGTTCAGATCACACAGTTCTTTACCTCTATTTAAAATGCAAGGCAAGAAGCAAGGGAAAGAGATGGGATGAGCTGACTACTTAGGATATGGCACAGGAGTATGGCAGGACCTTGAGTTACACAATATTTATATGTCCAGCCTCTCTGCCACAACAGCCTTTCCTGTTGAGGATATGGTTATGAACCACAGTTGAGGTTTGAGAAAGGATTCCTGTTCCACTTAGACACAAGGTATCTGCCAGTGACACACAACTTGCTTTGTAAGAGACAGAGCCAATTCCCTCTGGCTTCCTCTGTAGCTTGCCTCTTAGCCTGATGAGAAGCTGGGGATTGCATTTACATTTCTTGGGCAGAGGACACATTGGACCAGAATGGGTGTCATCAATGGGAAATCAACATAAAATCTAATGAATGAGGGCCTCATGTGGCTCAGATGATTTAGTGTGTCATGAATATTAGGCGGTTCTTTAGTCTTTTCATCCCTTTCTATGCTTGGCACCTACACACTTGATCTAGGCTTAACAAATCTGCTACTAACTTACTTATTGATATTTAACACATCTCATGAATTCTGACTACAGTAGTCTCCCCCTTGGCCTGCCAGGGATACTTTCCAGGACCCTCGGAGGATGCCTGAAACCGTGGATAGTCCCAAACCCAATATATTATGGTTTTTTCCTATACATACCTATTATAAAGTTTAATTTATAAATTAGGTACAGTAAGAGATTCACAATAACTAATCATAAAATAGAATAATTATAACAATATGCCAGCATCATGGCTCTTGCATTTTGAGGTCGTTATTAAGTAAAGTAAGGGTTACTTGAATACAAGCATTATGATACCAAGACAGTCAAACTGATACTGAGCCAGCTACTTAGTGACTCCTGGGTGTAGAGTGTCCACAGTGTGGATATGCTGGACAAAGAGAGGATTCACATCCTGGGTAGGATGGCACGAGGGTTCATCAGAAGAATGGCACAGAATTTAAAACTTATGAATTGTTTATTTCTGGAATTTTCCATTTAATAGTTTCAAACCATGGTTGACTACAGGTAACTAAAACCTTGAAAAGCGAAACCATAGATAAGGGGGAATGATTGTATGTCTGTTTACTTACTCATTATCTAAATGTAACACATACATTTCACCTGTGTCTTATAAGCTACTACATAGTCATTATCTATACTTAACACACGTTTATGAGTTTCATCCATCTTCTTTTTCTTGTTCATCTGTAGCAGAATTGACTGTTGTCAAATAATACAACAAAGCCCCTACAAAATCTCTTGGAAAGAGATTTCTTACTGGTGCAGCCTCTGATTCCACATCCTTGCCCTAGGGGTTTTAACCTGCAGCAGCTCCAACCAAGCAGCTTTAGGGACCAGATCAAGGCCACCCAGCCATCTGTGCTCCTGTATCTTCCCCTATCGCCACCACAACTTCCTCTTTACTCGACATTAATTTGTAACTTTACTCACCATATCTTCAGTCCCAAGACTGAATGAATGCCTGCCAGACACTCCTGACCCAGTTCTTCTAGCACCTGGCCCTTATTTTCTATTCACCATCATCAGTTTCTCCCTTTGCTGGCTCCTTTCCTGCTGCCCACCTAGACATTTGGGTCTCCCACATCTTAAACATCAGCTACATTGGCAACCTCTCCAAGCTACCAGCCTAATGCTCTGATTTATTAACAAGCTTGTTCACAAACTCTCAACTCAGACCCTCAACTTCTTAGCCACAACCACCCAGCTTCCACCCCTAACACACGACTACTGAAATTATTCCCTTGGCATAACTCGTGACTTCCTAATAGTCCAAATTAATGGCTTCTGGTTGTTTTTCTCCTCCGCGTCCCTGCAGTATTTGAAGAAACTAGGCTCTGTCAGCGTTCCCTCTCTTCTTGTCACTTCTCACTGTGTTAGTTTTCATTCTCTTCTCACTTTGTTGACTATGTCTCCTTTGCATCCCCTTGCTCTCTAAATGTGGGCTTCCTACCCTTATCTGCAGTCTCATTTTCCTTAGTTTCAGTTACCATCGGTCAACTGTGGTGTGAAAATATTAAGCTATTTTGAGAGAGAGACCACATTCACATGACTGTTACTACAGTATATTGTTATAATTGTTCTATTTTATTACCTGTTATTGTTGTTAATCTCTTACTGTGCCTAAGTTATAAATTAAACTTTATCACAGATATGTACGTATGGGAAAAACATGGTATGTATAAGGTTCAGTACTATCTTCAGTTTCAGGCATCCGCTAGGGGTCTTGGAATGTATACCACATGGATAAGGAGGGACTACTGAGTTAGTTTTCTATTTCTGCTATAACAAAGTCTTCCAAATTTAGTGGCTTAAATCAACACAAATTTATTGGTATTATAATATCAAAAGTTGGAAGTCCTAAATGGGTCTCACTGGACTAAAATCAAGGTGTCCACTGAGCTGCATTCTTTCTGGAGGCTCTAGAGAAATATCAGTTTCCTTGCCTTTTCCATCTTCTAGGGACAGCCCACCTTCCTTGGCTTGTGGCCTCTTCTTCCATCTTCAAAGCCAACAACAACATTGGACCAAGCCTTTCTCATACTGCCGTCTCTGGTTCTTTCTCTTATGCCTCCCCGACTTTTACTTTATAAGACCCTTGTGATTATTACATTGAGCTCATCTGGATAACCAGGCTACTTTCCCCATCTCAAAGACAGCTGCTTATCATAATTTTACCTTGCCGCTTGGGGATTAGGTTGTAGACAGTTGACCCAGGAGACAGGGGACATTATTGTGCCTTCCACAGTGATGTCTTTGTTTCTCTTTAGTTCTGTCTCTACAATCTCTCCCTTAATCTAATTCATTTTTACAGCTTCAACTGTCCTCTCTGTGCAAAAGACCCCTAAATTCTACCTGTCAGCCTGATCTCTCTTAAGCTCCAGCTGCCTCTTACACCTTCAACTGCGAATTTTATGATGAAAATTTAAACCTCCTTACTCTACCCCAACCCTCTCAGAATCAGTTCCTTCTGCTAACTTCCCTGTTTCTTTTCACAGCACCAGTTTTACTCCAGTAATGGTCTCAAAACCTCACAATTCCTTATCTTGCTCACTCCCCCATGTAGATCACTGCCTAAGTGCCATCAGTTCCTTTTTTGGTGTCTTGGGATGCATCCCTCTGTCTTTGCCCTTCCATTCCCATGATCTCCTCTATCCTCCAAAGGACTCTATTCCTTGGACAGTTGATGTTGTTCTTAATTAGGAGAAGAAAACATCCATTTCTCTTCCTTTCCTGAGTACGTAAGAGCTGTTTTACATTACTCCCATTTCATCATGTTACCATGAGGGTCATATGCATTTATTCAATTGTTTCAAAGTATTTATTGAGAACCAGGTACTATGTCAGACATTGGGGATATAGCACTGAGTAAACCAACCAAGATGTAAGTTCTAAGGAAATTCACATTAATCTAGATCTACAAAATACAGACATTAAATAAGTGAATAACCAAATGAACAAGATTGTTGCAGTCTCCTGGTTCACTCTAGCTGAGCGTTCTCTTCTCTTGAATTTCTAGTGAGCAAACAAAATATTCGGAGGCATTTAACTCATCTTCGTCATATCTAGTCATTTGTGTACTGCCTCATTTCTCTTACCAAACTTCTCGAGGGCAGAAACACTACTTCACATGGCACATGATAGGAGCTTGTTTCAACTACAAAAATCAAGGAAGATGTTGAGGAAAACACTTTGTGTTTCTGCGAAGCATTTTTAAAGGTTTATTGTCTGTAGATGATGCCAGTTTTGTTGGTGGCAACAATACAGGTTGAGCATTCCTCAACCCCAAAATCTAAAATCTGAAATGCTGCAAAGTCCCAAATTTTTTGAGTATTGACATGATGCCACAAGTAGAAAATTCCACACCTGACCTCATGTGACAGGTGGCAGTCAAAATGAAGTCAAAACTTTGTTTCATGTACAAAATTATTATGAAATATTGTATAAAATTACCTTCAGGTGATGTGTATAAAGTGCATATGAAACAAAAATGAATCTCGTGTTTAGACCTGGGTACCATCCCTAAGATATTTCATTATGCATATGCAGATATTCCAAAATCCAGGACAATTCTGGTCCCAAGCATTGTGGATAAGGTTTACTCAACCTGTAGTGACAAGTAATTCTTTGGGTGCGGCATTCAAGGACCTAGTTTCCCTGATATCCACAGTATTAATTTTTCTCGTCATTCCTTTTCTTTCATTGCCCAGTAAAGAAGTACAACTTAAGCTATATGTCTACTTGCTTTCCCCAATTTCCTGAGGAAAAGCTTAAAAGTTATTACTTAAGATGGTGACTTCCCTGCCCATCTTTCCCACCCCCAATACTTCATTTTTTCTAACATTTCAATTTGAACAGAGTAGTAACAACATAGTAAGAACAGAATGGAAGGGGTTTTGGACAATAAATATAGTGGTAAAAAGTCATATCCTCAGGCCATCTGAGCATACAGTTTCAAAAGTGAGTAACTGGGGTCAGGAACTGACTGGAAGGGGCATATGAAACTTTCTGGCATAAGCCGTGTGAGTTAAGTGCAAGAGTTGACTTTCAAGTGGACTTTTTCCCACAAATACCCATTGCTGCACCACTTAGATTCAACAACTGATATTTAATAAACTTGCTTTGTCACAGCTTTCCATTGACCTATCCATCTACCCATCCATCAATTCCTCTCATTTACTTGATGTACTTCAAAGTAAGTTGCAGACATCAGTAAGTGCCCTAAATACTTTAGCCTGCATATCATCAATTTGAGTTCATGTTTATTCTTGTTTATTCTTTTGGGGTAAATTTTATGTACAAAGAAATGCACATATCTTAATGTTTTATTCAATGTGTATTGACAAATATACACACCTGTATAGCCAAACACTTAATCAACTCACACAGCTTATGCCAGAAAGTTTCCTATGCCCCTTCCGGGTCAGTTCCTGACCCAGGCTATTCACTTTCAAAACTGTATGCTCGATGGCCTGAGGATGTAACTTTTTACTATTATATTTATTGTCCAAAACCCCCTTTCATTCTATTGTTGCTAATTGCCACAATTGAAAAAAAATGCTTTTCTGGATTTAAAGACACAATAGTTTGTAGGTGGCAGAAACAATATTTTAATAAGGAAATAATCTAATTTTTCTTCCCTTAAAACATACCTTGAATTGAGTTTTAGGTAGACCCACGCTGCAGCTTCACTCTTACTTTATGATAGATTTTGATTTCAAGAGCAGCCTCAGTTGGCTCAGTCAAAAGGGGTTTATTTCTCCAAGTCTGGTGGGTCCTCAGTTAGTATTCGTCTTAGTCTGTTAGGGCTGCTGTAATAAAATATCATAAACTGGGTAGCTTATAAACAACAGAAATGTATTTCTTAGAGTTCTGAAGACTGAGAAGTCCAAGATTAAGGCAGTGTCTCATGAGGCCCCGTTTCCTGATTTATAGATGGCAATGGCATCTTCTTACTGTGTCTTCACACAGCAGAAGGGGCAAGGTAGCTCTCTTGGGCCTCTTTTAAAAAGGGCATGGATCCCATTTGTGAGGGCTTCACCCTCATGACCTAATCACCCCTCAATGGCCCCACCTTTTAATACCATCATACTGGTGATTAGATTTCCACATATGAAGTTTGAGGGCACAACATTCAGACCATAGGAGCATTGTTTTCTATGGAACACACTTATTTGGTATGAACCCAGAAAATCATGTTTGTTTCTTTGTTTTCCTTGCTTTGATGGCTTTTTGTTGTTGGGCATGCCACAACTTTCTTAGACCTTGGTTTCCATATCTGAACAATAACAGTGTCAGGCTAAATGATCTCTTGAGGTCCCATCTAAATTTGAAACTCAATACTTTTTATGGGAAGGGAAGCTGTGAAGATCTGAGAAGAAAAAAAAAATCCCTATGCTACAAAGACTATGCTTTACATAAAAAGTTCATCAATATTTTTTAGTTAAAGATAACAAATGTTACTGCAGTTTGGTAAACTATTCTAGCTTAAGTGTTCTTGGAACAGCTGGTTTCTGTTTAAAGTTTTTTGCACTAGCAAATCATACTTCAAATTATAACACAAAGTTGTTTCCAATGAATGACTATAAAGAGAAGCCTGTCTAATATATTCATTTTTTTTCATCTTGTTTATACCTCTTGGGAGAGTTTTTTTGACAGGATTTGGGATACAATTGTCAGAAATCTGTTCTCCCTAGAGCCACCTCTGAGTCATTTCCACTATTTATGGAACAGCAACTGTGAAGAGTGGAATCATGTTTAGACTTTTTTTTTTTTAACAACACATGATAAATGTCTTTGGGAGCTTATGTAATATATCCCATTGTCTTCAGTTTTCAGAAAAGACAGAGTCCAGGAAGCAGCTTTTTAAGCTTTGCACAGCTTGGAAACATGTTCCTGAGTCTTAGGGTCATAGATTGTCAAGGTAGTAACTTGAGTAAGGTTTTAACTGCCTTTGAAGTTAGAGCTGTTCTGTCTTGGAAAGTGTTTTTTATATTAAACAGATTTCCACTTCATCTTATCTGCTACCTTGCAAAGTGAACTTTTTTCCTTTGGCCTGCTCTTCTTTGCTCATATTTAGAATTCCAGAACCTTGGCTGGACACGGTGGCTCAGGCCTGTAATCCCAACACTTTGGTAGGCCAAGGTGGTTGGATCACCCAAGATCAGGAGTTCGAGACCAGCCTGGCCAACAAGGTGAAACCGTGCCTCTACTAAAAATACAAAAATTAGCCGGGCGTGGTGGTGCGCCCCTGTAGTCCCGGCTACTCCGGGGGCTGAGGCGGAAGAATTGCTTGAACCTGGGAGGCAGAGGTTGCAGTGAGCCGATCACACCACTCCAGTCTGGGTGACAGAGTGAGACTCCATCCCCCGCCCGAAAAAAAAAAAAAGAATTCCAGAACCTTGTTGGGTGGTTGTATTGCAAGGCACTCTACACAGAAGTCTCTCTCAGAGAAGAATGGAGTTTTAGGATGGGGGTGTATTGTTTATTGTTTCTTATCCCTGAAAAGTTTCCATCTTCTTGTCTTCATCTTGACTCATTCCCTACCCCCAGGCTTCTGCTTTATTCATCAAGCTTTCATTGTGCAGCCAGTGAGCAGGCCTAGAAAGTCCTGCACGTGTTATGTGACCCACCCCTCTCCTGGACTAGGAAGGATTAGGGCAGTGAGCTTCTGCACGGTGAGTCTCCAGAGTACTTTTCCTTTGAACCTGCTGCTGAAATTGAAGCCTCTGAGGATACCAGGAGTTGAGTTTTCAGGGCCATCTTTTCGTTCTCCTCACTAGGAAGGCTGAAATGAGTGTGCTTGTGAGTGCGTCAAGGGAGTCGAATTGAGATAGCAATAGCAGGCTTTGCTCCTGCTTGAACCTCAAATAGTAAAAATTAAGAATATTTATAAAAATAGGTTTTTCTCATTCCACAAAACAGATAAGTTATTAAAATTACATTAGCAAATAATCCTAACATAAACTCCCACCATTTTTAAGAGAGTGCTTGATAGGAAAACTTGTCAAACATGTCAATTCCATTTCTCATGCAAAAAGTACTTGTTTTCTCTGTCAGTAGCACAGTGAAACTGCGTGGTTAATGGGAAGAGGAAGAGTTTTTGAGACGGCTACATAAATAGAACATAGGACAGATAGATACTAAAATAGCTTAAAAATAATGTCCCTATTGATTTTTTTAATTTGATGGTTTAAATTCAGTCACATTTTTGTTAAGTACCATTTATGTACTCAGAGCTATTTTATTAAGAAACAACATGGGCCAGGCGCGGTGGCTCACGCCTATAATCCCAGCACTTTGGGAGGCCGAGGCAGGCGGATCACAAGGTCAGGAGATCAAGACCATCCTGGCTAACACGGTGAAACCCCGTCTCTACCAAAAAAAATATAAAAAAATTAGCCGGGCATGGTGGTGGGCGCCTGTAGTCCCAGCTACTCAGGAGGCTGAGGCAGGAGAATGACATGAACCCAGGAGGCAGAGCTTGCAGTGAGCTCAGATCTCGCCACTCGCCACTGCACTCCAGCCTGGGCAACAGAGTGAGACTCCATCTCAAAAAAAAAAAAAAAAGCTAAAAAAGAAAAGAAACAACAAAACTAATTGCCTGTGGCAACTGAGGAATATAAATAAGAAAATTTTATTTAACTTTTCCCCCTTAATTTTCTCATTACATTAGCTTGAAGAATTTATAGCCCAGTTTTTTCTTTTTGTGTATCCTCAAGTCCTGAAGTGGCCCTGAAGCCACTCAGAAACTGGCCCCAGTTTTTTCCCAGAAACATGTATTGTCTGACTTGTATTTCCTTTGAGTATTGTCCGCAAGTCCAGAATTACTCTGTCTCAGGGAGGATGGGTCTGTTCCAAGAATTGTATGTGCTGCATTGGGGGGTGTCCATATTTTCAAGTCACAGCGTTGGGTAATAATATATGTACAAAGCCTTACATTAAAAAAAAAAAAACCTTCCAATTAAGAGTTTAGTTTTCATGAAGTAAATTATAGTGACTTTAATATTTTAATAAGCTCTCTCCCTAAAAAAACTTATAACAGCAATTATTCTATCTTATTTCTATTTGACTTAAAAAGAAGCTAGGAGCCAAAAATAAGCAGGGAATTTAAAGAATTACAAAATAATCCTTTTAAAGAGTAAAGACCTTTTAGTTATAAAGTTGACAAACACTTCAAAAACTCAACATAGAAAAACATCCTTTCATTGTTGGTATTCAGAATGGATTGTTCTCTCTTTAGCATGTTAAAAGTTCTAAAATTATCTTTAAGGTCTTTTTCTTTTTTTTTTTTTTTTTTTTTTTTTTTTTTGATAAGCACCAGCCAAGCAGCCTTAGTGGGTAGGAAGGATGATGCCGGAGGTTAGAAATGTTCAACTGCAACATTGATTTGTGTCTGTCCCTCTCCCTCTCCCTCGCTGGCCTTTTTCTCGTTAATGAGGACTAGAATGTTTCCACATCAGTTAACTGCCTTCATAAAGCACCAGAAGGTCACACCAGCTCCAGACTGATCCTTTTCTTTGTGCCTATAATATAATTGGCTGATTGTGCGGGTGATGAGCGCCCCCTCCCCCAGCCCGGTCCCAGCTCCATGTTCCTAAGCCTGCCTCACTGGTTTCGGAGGGCTGGAGAGCAGCTCAGCTCGCTAGCTGCGCGCTTCCCGGCACAGGCAGTGCCACTGCGCAGGTTGATCAGCGAAACAGCATCCATTTTAATCTGCGGGGAGCCCCTGCCTTACCAGGGCGTTCTCTCCGCCCGCCGGTGGATGCTCCGCGCCTGCCCTCCGCAGCCTCGCTCAGCAGTCCTGCGTTGGGGTCTGCGCCCTAGGATGCACTGAGATGGTACATCAGGATAACTGCTCGTATCAGGTAAAATTTAAAGCCTGATTCTGAGGCCGGCATCCTTTGGGAGAGGAGGCCTTCCTCTTCCAAAGCAGCAGGTTGCCTCTTTCCGGATATTCAGGGATTTTGCCATCTTCCGCGCCTGGCCTTCATCACGTGCAGTATCTGAATTGTAATTAGCTTTTCTGGGGAGTAATGGGGCAGAAAACACTGCTTCCTTGGCCTTTAAAGCATTTGTGAAATTCACGGAGGTGATATGTGCTTTGCATATTTTGTACGTCTGCAAAAAAGAGGAATTGCTTTGGACTGTAATTTGAATTTAAGGGAATTTCAGAGGAAAATCTGTTTGGAATCTCACATCGATAACACTGAAAAACGTGATTTTTGCTCGTTGCATAGGATGTGAGTTGCTTCACATCCAGCTTTTAGGACTATCTTTAAGAAATTATGTAAATAGATAGTCGCGATTGATAATCTTGGAAATTTTCAAAAATCAGCCAGTATGCACTTGATGTTTAAAGTTGCACTTGTGTGTCTTTCCGAACTTATTTTTACTAGTATGTTGTTTTAAATGGTTGGTAAATAAGCATTAAAGTATCAACATGCATCAAAAACTCCAAATAGAAAAATCTTAGTAATTCATATTCATTTGTATGCTAATTTGCTACTGGAGTTATGAATTAAACACTTAGACAATTTCAAAAGATCAGCTCTAGAGTGTTTAGTAACTCCTTGGTAGGACTTGGACTGTTGAGGCAACATAGAAAGTATCTTTGTTGAAAACAGACAGCAAGAATGTTCTCAGAGAAATTGCTCTTTGCAGCAGCAGGCAGGGCTGGTCCAAATCTTGGAGAGTTAATATTGGGATATTACTCAACTGACTGAGTTTAGAATCTCTGAGAGACCAATTCTCTAACTTAACAATGCTTCTTCCTTGTGTGAGGTCGGTTACCTGAGACAAGCAAGTGTTTCTCATAAGGTCAGATTTCACAATGGTAAATATGTGCAGGCAAAATAGTACATTTCACAAGACTCAAGGCAGTGGTTTCTCAGCTAAGTAACGTGTGCCTATGAAATGTATTTATATACTTTGTCTTGCTTAATAACTAGAAATTTGTACTTACAGATTTATTTCATAGTATTTTCATTTTATGGTACATTTAGGGCCATAGATCCTAAATATTGAGCGTCATGCTTCACAGTAATTCTTTCCACGAGAAAGGGGTCAGAGATGCTGAGAAAAAAACCAACATGTCACTTACACATAATACAGAACTTGAGGGTAGGGGATGTCAAGTATCCATAGAGAGCCTAATCTACACATGGCATGGCTCCAGGTGATTGAATTACTATAATAATTAAAATAACTCTCTCTTTTCCAAGAATCTATTTATTTTTGAAGGGCAAACTACTATAAGATTATTCCATATGTCTTTTCATTAGGTTGAACATAAAAGCATTGTTTTTGTAGGTTGAAAATTGGTCAAATATCAGCAATTTCATCTGGAGAGAAGGGGTTATATTAGCATTCTACTTCTTCCAAAGGAAGATAAATTGATTTTATTTTACATGAGCTGCAATATATAACAGTGTCATTATGTGTTTAATAGTTTTGAAGTATTTATTGCTTATTTTCACAATAAAATTAAGTGTATTGGTTGGGTAATAATGGTCAATAGATTTTGCATCTGCATGGGATTTTATAGTAGAACTACCTACATGTGTATGTTCTTTTGAAGTGCTCTCTCTTTATACATAGCTCAGCAAAAACAGAAACATTAACCTTGAAGCCAAATCTTAATCCCACTTAGAAACCTTCATTTTAGAACCCAGCTGGCACCACATGCAACTAGATTCAGAAAAGGTGCTTTCTTGAAGTCCTTAGCTTGATGTTTGTAGTCACTGATGATATCTGCAGTTGAATGGCTTTCGGAAACTTCCCCACCATTTTACAAGGACTTACTTATTTTTTAAGGATGATATTGCAGTGGTTAAAAGCAAATTTCTTAGATTAGCATTTTTAGTCAGTTGATAGAATTCATTTGAAATATTGATTCCTTTTCTCCCATAAATGATGTATGCCAAGATTTCTTAATGGGTAGTCCATGAATGGGGGCTTCAGGGGCCATTCCCCTGAAAATTGCATGCACATTTTTGTGCTTTTGTATAGATGTACATCATTGTTGTCGTGGTTGTTATTGTCATCATAATTACAGCAATAATAGCCTTCTATGTGTTCTACCTACCCCTGCCCTTGCCCACACTCCATAGTCTATTTTCAACACAGTTTCCAAAATGAGCTTTTAAAACTGAAGACAGATCATGTCCCATATCTCAAAAATTTTAGTTTATCATCCTGCTCAGAGTAAAAATCCAAGTCCTAACAGGGCTTTATATCAGCTCGTCCCTGCTTCCTCTTGGACTCCGCTCCTACATTCCTGATTTCCTCCACTACCTTCCTACCATGCTGGGCTGGCCCTGCACCTGCTATTCCTTCTGCCTGGCATGCACCCCCACCTCCCCTATCCACCCCCTCCCCGCCCCACTGTGTAGGGTTGCCAGATTTAGCAAATAACTTACAGCATTTGGGACATACACTAAAATATTGTTCACTGTTTATCTGAAATTCACATTCAACCAGGCATCTAATATTTTACATCTTATAGATATTTACCTTATATTGTCGCCTCTACCCCCATCCATTACTCTCTCACTTTCTGCGAGTCTTTGCTCAGATGTCACTTCTAGGTGAAGCCTTATCTGGATGTAATCTGTAAACTTCCAGCTCTCCAGTTCTATCCCAATATTTCTTTCTTTTTTTTTTTTTTTTTTTTTTTTTTTTGAGATGGAGTCTCACTCTGTTGCCCAGGCTGGAGTGCAGTGGCGCAATCTCAGTGGCGCAATCAAACTCAGCTGCTGAGTTCAAGCAATTCTCCTACCTCAGTCTCCTGAGTAGCTGGGATTACAGGCGCCCGCCACCATGCCCAGCTAATTTTTGCATTTTTACTAGAGACTGGCTTTCACCATGTTGGCCAAGCTGGTCTCGAACACCTGACCTCAGGTGATCTGCCCGCCTTGGCCTCCCAAAGTGCTGGGATTACAGGCATGAGCGCGGCCTATCCCAATATTTCTATCATGCTTCTCTAATTTATTTTTATATTTATTTATCGCCATTTATCATAGTACATATTTTACTTATTTGTCTATTTTCTGGCTCCCTCACTCACTTCATGAGGGCAGGGATTTTATCTTTGTTCTGTCTGCTTTCTCAGTGCTTAGAATAGGTCCTCAAGTAATACAGATGGATATGTCTACTATTTGTAAAATTGACTAACAAAAAAGGCATTGTAAGGCAGGGCGTGGTGGCTCACGCCTGTAATCCCAGGACTTTGGGAGGCCGAGGGCTGCGGATCACGAGGTCAGGAGATCGAGACCATCCTGGCTAACACAGTGAAACCCCATCTCTACTAAAAAAAATACAAAAAATCAGCCGGCCAAGGTGGCGGGCACCTGTAGTCCCAGCTACTAGGGAGGCTGATGCAGGAGAATGGTGTGAACCCGGGAGGCAGAGCTTGCAGTGAGCTGAGATCACGCCACTGCGCTCCAGCCTGGGCGACAGAGCAAGACTCTGTCTCAAAAAAAAAAAAAAAAAAAAAAAAGCATTGTAAACATTCTATGGCATTTTGGTTTCTTGTTTTATGACTTTCAGTCCTACTCCTTCCCCTCCTCCCACCATGAACCTGCACTGTTTTCATTGTGTGTGAGCTGGTTATCTATCCCCTTGTTTCTTGTTAGTTTTCTCATCTGTGAAATGGAGACTTTCCCAGTTAACTTCCTGGCATAAGAGTTGCCAGGTCCCCTGCCAGAGGCTGCCTTTCTGCATAAACAAGTCAGTTATCATGAATTAAGAGCCCCCTTCCTCTTGTGTCATTTCTTCTGAGCACATCAGGGGTTTGGTGAGGATTGTTCAGCGGCCCAGGGAAACTGTGTCTCACTTCATTTCCCAGTTGTATCTTGCTAATATGTAGAAATACAATGGATTCTTACACATTGCTTTTCTAAATGGATGATTTGTTTTGAAAAAGAGAGTTTCGCTGCTACCAAGAGCCTGAACACCCCTGTTTGAGCAAGGGCTTGTATGCACTGTTCTTTGAACAACGTAAACCAAGGAGGAATAAACAGAAGGAATTCTCCTACAGAATTTTTCATGGTTGTTTGTTTTGTTTTTAAAACTGCTCACATCGTCGTCATCTTCATATACTTTTCTTCCTTACAGGATTTATGTTAGCAAAGAGGTTACTGAGGCATGTGTTGTCATTTGTGGTCTTAGCCCTGTTAAAAGATAGAGCTATCGACCTCCATTTTCCAGTCTTGGGAGGAAGCCAATCTCTTCAGGAAAGAAACTTGCCCACAGCTTCAGGCCTGGCAGCCTTCAAGAGGCCACATTTTTCTAAATGGTTTTTGATAGACAGCTTAGAAATATTGTAAACTTGAAAGCACAAGTTTAGGTCGAAGGGTCCATTTTGCTTAAAAGCTCTTAAATATTTTTTCCCTCTTTCCTGGAGTGGGGTTTTGGGATAAGTGTGTATATAAAAACAATGACATGCTTTCATACCTTTCTTGCCATTGCTTAAATTCCCTTATGACCGCCCCAGATATAGATCACACCCTGACATTCTTAGCTACTGTGGGAATGGAGACTTGAAGAAGAAAAAGTAAAATAGTGTGTGAATAACACTCATCTTTTTCCTCCCTTGGGAGCATAAAGAGTCCCTTCTTCAAACACATACCAGGTCATGAGAAGCACCGTCAGAAATCTTTAATGCTTCCCTCTGTTCCTTAGGATACATTTCAGACTCCTCTGCATGGCCTTCAAGGCCCGACATTTGTTTCTGACCCCTAGGCAGAAATGCTTCTCGCTCCAGACCCTTTACTCCTGCCTTCACAGTGCCATCAGTTCTTAGCTGCAATGCCTCAGGCTGAGATGTCTCCTACCCACACACCACCTGCTCCCACCCACTGCAGGCTAATGCAGCTTTCAAGGCTCAAATGCCACCTCCTTCAGGAAACTTTTCCCATTTATTTCTCAGTCCAGATTTCTCCTTCTCAGTACATTTTGTTTTTACTTGTATTAGAACCCATTTACAACTATTTACATATAGGTCTGTCTCCTCCATTAGACGACAAGCTTCTTCTTTTTTTTTTTTTTTTTAGATGGAGTCTTGCTCCGTTGCCCAGGCTGGTGTGCTGTGGCGCAATCTTGGCTCACTGTAACCTCCACCTCCCGGGTTCCAGCGATTCTCCCACCTTAGCCTCCTGAGTAGCTGAGATTACACGCGTCCACCACCATGCCCAGCTAATTTTCTGTATTTTTAGTAGAAACGGGTTTTCACCATGTTGGCCAGACTGGTCTCAAACTTCTGACCTTAGGTGATCTGCCCACCTTAGCCTCCCAAAGTGCTGGGATCACAGTCGTGAGCCACCGCGCCTGGCCGACAACAGGCTTCTTGAAGACAAGGGGCCTTCTTTAAATTTTCACAAGTCTCTGCCTTATACACAGAGTATGTGTTCAATAAATGTTTGTTGGATTGAATTGCACTTTATGCAATTGTTGATGTTCTGAGTCCCTAGGATCAGGGTTTCCCATCGTAACCCCAGAGATAAGCTCAGATCCATACGTTGTAACAAGGAGTTGGTGAAGCTGACCTCAGAAGTCCATGTACCTGGCTTCTCAGCCTCTTGGCCAGTTGCCCGCACTTTAAACATCTCATGTGCCAGAATTGGGGGTGCAGTGCAAGGCACAAAATAAATGAATGACTGGGATGCACAGACATTCCAGCCTTCCCAGAGACAATGCATTAAGAAAATACCTCCATGCCTACTTCTTCATCCAGAGAATTTTCCCAAGATGAACCTCATGGTCTGTCCCCAAGTGCTTTGCAAGTACTCATCTCCAAGCTGCCTTTCTTACTATAATGAGTTTTGCAAAGTTTTAATACATCCGTCTGCCTTATAGAGGGATAATTTTACCACCGCATGGAATACCGAAGTTTTCTGTGGCCAAATGTTTCAGCCCAATTGAGGTATCATACCCAGCACATAAAATAAAAGACACCCTGTGTTGCTCTTAAGTGATAAAACTAGGGAGTATATCAGTTTAAGTAGTATATCATGATATTCTTAAAATTCTTGTTGGAGAAAGTGGTAAACAGCCTTTTATGCCCAGATTCTAGTGGGTCATTAATGGTTAACAAAGGAAAGCAAATATATTCTATCCCTATCGACACCAGGACAAGTGAGGACTAGTCTCTCAATCCCTTCTTCCTGTGATTGAGAAAACAAAGTATCAAATTTGAGTTCAAGATTCCACCCAATTTAAGCCTGGTTTCTTCCACAGCAGGGAAAAAGATATTAGAATGGAAAAGGGAATTTCAAAGCATTTTAGTGCTCTATTTGATGGAGGCTTTTAAATATAAGTTCAATGAGACAATTTTCTGTTTTATTCTATAGATTTTTTTGATGGGGAATTTTTTTTCTATAGTTAATAGTGCTGAAGAGTACTTGGTCTTCATTGTTTTGCCTGTTTAAAGTATAATTATTGTCTGCCTTGTTGAGATATAGTTCTGTTTTTCCAAAGAGGGAGTAACCTTTGAAATCAATAAAAAAATTTTGGAGATAAATTTATATGCATTTTTTTTTTAGCTCAGATGTCTGAAAATCTAATTTATATGCTTTACCACAAAAGGAGCACAATGATAAGAGCCCCACATGGAAAAAAAAAATTAGCAGGGCTTCATTGTGGGCCTGATCTGAAATAGAAATTTAGTACAAGCACATCATTTCTATTTAAAGTAGCATTTGGGCCTCAAACTTCATGATTCAGACTTCGAGTGATTTTAAGAAGTACATATGTGAAACATATTTTAATCCAAAGGTCTAGTATTTATTCTTGGAAAGGATGGTGGTGATGGGGGGTGGGAAGGAAATGGGGCATCTCTATGGAAAATATCACATTGCATTGATGCTTGCTTGAAAGTAGAGACACCCTATTCATGCACATACATAACGCACAAATATATAAAATCTTGGGGAACTAATCACAGTTTTACATACAGAAGCCCAACATTAATAGAGCCCTATCCCATTGAAGTCATATCCCATTATTTATTTATATTCTCTATAACAAGGGAAAGTTTGAAATCTTGGTGTACTTAGTATTCCCCTGTGCACTATATAGAAGCATCAGAAACTACCAAACTTCCTGAAATAGAAAGTAATTTGACAAAACTGCTTGAATTCAAAAGAAAACAACCATCAGAGAGGCCTAAGTGACAATCAGTGTAGGAAAGCCATTAATGGGGAAAGAACACACAGAGAAACATAATGAGGACATTAAAATTGGTTCCACTTGGAAGCTGTGCGATGGTCATCAGAGTGACCACAGTTGAGTTTCTCGTGCTTGGTTTTAGTTGGACAGGAAGATTTACAACTATGGCCCACGATCTTTTAGATGTAGGAAAATGTGTGATACTCTGTCTACTCCCAGCACTGCCACCTCCCCACCCCACACTTTTAATACCATTATTTTAATTTTTTAAAAATCTATACAGCAAAGTCCTTTAAATGGCCTGCATATTTTCATGGCTTTTCTAGCTATCAGAATACTTTAATTGAAAAGCAAACCAAATTTAGATGAACTTTGCACAGAAGAAAAAAATTATTTGAAAAGAGGTTATAAATCTAATACATGGAATATGGATGTTAAGGCCGAGGAGAAGGCAGTGGGAGATGAAGGGTTAATCAGGATGAAATCGAGTTTCCATGTATGATAGGAAAATCTTTTGACAGTGCATAAGTGATCTCCCAGTAATGTGGTCAGTGTTCTCAGAGTTAATAATTTCCACCAATGGCTGATAATGATCATTTAAAAGCATTAACTCACGTGAGCAATGTGCCTTTCAATTCAGATCATGGCTCAACAGGAAACCAAAGCTCTTCATGCTAGTCCTTGAAATTCAGAGCAGGGAGTGGGAAGAGGCTTTTTCAACCTCAGGGATTCTAAGTGACTGTGAGTAGGTTTTCTAAGGGAGAGCGCTAGTATCTGGGCCCATCTTATGCATGGACAGTTCATTCTAGAGAGGGCAGCAGCAGAGGAGGTACCAGAGACAATCCCCATAGAAGGATAGGAGTGGCTGTCTCCCCATTTGCAAGCTACTGGCAAACCATCAGGCATTACATTCAGCTCAAGTCTCTGCCAAGGTGGTGTTTTATTTTGTGTTTTCCATTCCTGTATTCATTTGGACCACATGGAAGTGAAATTAATTACAGTGTTAATCCCAAGCATGTAGTCAAGGTCTTGCCACCCTGCCTGGAAATGTGGTTTGAAATAGAGGGATAATGGCTGATAATGATTTTTTTTTTCAAGTTCTAGAGCAACCCTTCTACACTTTAAGGTATATTCAAAAATCCTAGGGGTCTCTCTTTTTTTTTAATGCAATTTCTGATTCAGTGGTTCTGGAGTGGGACTGGAGGGCTTACATTTCTAGAAAGCTCCCAGTGCTGTTGATAATCTGCTTGGAGAACACACTTTGAGTAGCAAAACTCTAGAAAGTTTCACAGATAAGTGATGCCACACATAATAGGAAACTCTCAGATATTTTAAGCTGGCACAAGCTATCCTGAAAACGGTGGCACAGCTCCATCTGGAAAGGGTTTGGGCTATGAGCTTATCTACGTGCTGAGCTTCTTTAGGGAGGGTGCACAGTGATGTCACCACCACTGAGAACTGCCCTCAACTGCTTGCATTCATGTTTCAGGAGCAGATGTTCTATCACTTGTCTCTGTATAGTGCTTATTAGAGAACACTTACGACAAAAAAGGAGCTAGCAGGTAGAGGAGTGGAATGGTCTTTTAGTATTCTCAGTACTATTCCTTGTTGCTGTTGTTTTGTTGGGAAATTTCCATCTCGAATTTTGAGGTGCCTCTCTCCAAAAGATAATATATTATCAATGTATGTGTATATACATGTGTATGTATATCATTACTATATTACTAGTACACATATATTAATCTGTATGTATATATACATAATCATGAGAGTTCAGTTTTTCTCATTTTAATTGTATATTTAAGCCCACTCTGTTAAAATTAAAGTAAAAAGATACTAGTAATCAGGCATATCATTTTATGTATCTTACGGAGTCTTGCAGTCTCTAAATTATTATAATTTCATCCATGTTAGCTATCGATTATAGGTTTCTAAGTGGACTACGACATTAACCCAGATAAGAATGAAATTCATATTGTAGCTGAACCCCAAGTGCAGTGGACTGAGGTCTGGAAATCAGTACAGTCATGGAGCCAGGAGCAGAATACTGCTTTGCTGCTACTGTGAAAGAGCCATTTGTATGGTCTTTAGAGCTTTTCAAGCTGTAGTCTGCAGAGTGAGTGGGGTCTGCAGGGTCCTAGGGCTTCCTTTCCACAGAGCTTTCCTGAGAGGCTGTGCTGGGGCTGGGATAATAGGAGAATAGAGCATCCAGGTGGGGTGTGGTAGCCCTCCTCATTCAATCAAAGCAGACCCTTTTTTCCTTTTGAACATATGTGAGTTCCACAGAAGATTTCAGTTGAAAAGCACTATTAATGTTTCCTACTGTGGACAGCATTTAGAGGAAACATTTTAAGCAGCACGTTCATATTTCCTCTGTTCACGTACTTAGTCAACAGCTCTTCATTGTGCGCTTATCGTGTGCAAGGCAGTGTTCTACATGCTATGGGGTAAACAAGATGACAAATCCCTGTCCCCTTAGAAAAGAGCTTGCAACCACAGTGGCTGTTGGAAAGAAGCAACAGTGGTGCTAAAAGACACCAGGTAAACTGGAAAGGAAAATTCATCATATAGCGTACTAGGTTCTGACATCAGTGAAGTAGCTTCCATTTCATTTCTTGAGGCTTCATCAGAAGAGATATGCGACAATACGTGCTGGGTGTTCCAGATGTATGATCTGGAAAATGTTGATTCAGCTCTTGATATTGTTATACAGGGAGCTGTATTAGTCCATTGTTACACTGCTATATAGAAATACCTGGCCAGGCATGGTGGCTTACACCTGTAATCCCAGCATTTTGGGAGGCCAAGGCGGGTGGATCACCTGAGGTCAGGAGTTCGAGACCATCCTAGCCAACATGGTGAAGCCCCGTTTCTACTAAAAATACGAAAATTAGCTGGGCGTGGTGGCGGGCACCTGTAATCTCAGCTACTTGAGAGGCTGAAATCGAAGAATCACTTGAACCTGGGAGGCAGATGTTGCAGTGAGCCAAGATTGTGCCACTGCACTCCAGGCTGGAGATTCCATCTCAAAAAAAAAAAAAAAAAAAAAAAAGGAAATACGTGAGACTGGGTAATTTATAAATAAAAGAGGTTTAATTGGCTCATGGTTCTGCTGGCAGTACAGGAAGCATGGTGGGGGAGGCCTCAGGAAACTTACAATTACGACAGAAGGCAAAGGGGAAGCAGGCACATCTTCACGTGGCCAGAGCAGGAGGAAGGGAAAGAGTGGGGAGGTGCTACACGCTTTTAAACAACCAGATCTCATGAGAACTCTTATCACCAGAGCAGCATTAGGGGGATGGTGCTAAACCATTAGAAACCACCCCCATGGTCCAGTCACCTCACACCAGGCCCTACCTCCAACATTGGTGATTACAATCGAACATGAGATTTTGGTGGGGACACAGATCCAAACCACATATCTGGAGCTCTACTAGATTTGTCTGTGTTGAACTCTAATCTTTAAAAGCTATGCTTGGATGGGCGTGGTGCTTCACATCTATAATCTCAGTACTTTTGGAGGCCAAGATAGGAAGATCACCTGAGCCCAGGAGCTCAAGACCAGCCTGGGCAACATAGTGAGATCCCATCCCTACAAAAAATTTTTTAAATTATCCAGGCATAGTGGTGCACTCCTATAGTCCCTATACTATCTAGTCCCAGCTATTCAGAAAGCTGAGGTGGGAGGATCACTTGAGCCTGGAGGTCAAGGTGGCAGTGAGCCATGATCATGCCATTGCACTCCAGCCTGGGCAACAGAGCAAGAACCTGTCTAAATAAATAAATAAAAGCTATACTTGATTATTTTATTCAGCACAATTATTTCTTACAGAGGCAGCCAGTGTGGGATGGTTAGAGTGTGGGCCACAGAGGCAGAGAGCCCATATTCATCTTCCTTAACCTCACTGAGCTCTTTCATTTTGCTGTAAAACACAATTGATAGTAATATCTACTCCAAAAGATTATTGAGAGGATTAAAGACATATGTAGGAGGAACATATAAAGTGCCTGGCACATAGCAACCCCTCCCTCAATAAAGGGTAGCTGTTAATATATGCCAGGTAAGAAGATGCATGCTTCCTTCATTTTAACTAACCTCCTTTGGCAGGATTTAACATACACAGGGTCCTTCAAACTAGAGCATACTTTAACCCCAAAGTCTTAGCCTTGGTGAATTCTCCTGTATTTTGAGCACCTGCACGGGGCACTGGGAGCAGCAGTCTGTGGCCAGCATTGCCACAGCCCCGGGAAGCATTCTGGGCTGCCTGCATGCAGACAGTGGGACCCCCATCTGGAGTGAGGGTCCTGGGGTTTGAAGGAGAGTAAGACAAGGGAGATCTCTTCCAGGGAAAACCCTGCCCAAATGCAAATGTGGTTCATGAGAGACAACTTGTTATTGTAACATCTGACAAACATGCAATTAATTCTTTTTGGAACTGAGGTGGGGCAATGAGAATGGAGTAAAGGGAAGATTTCACTTTGGTTTGGGGGCTACAGAGGGAAGTATTTGCTTTATAGAAGTAGGGCTATTATAAACTACTTTGAAACACATTTATGCCACAAGTCTTCTACAAATTGAATTTTTAAAAAATGTGGAGAGAAATAAGTAGACACTGAAGGTGAGCATGTCAGCAGCAGTTCAGATGCCAAAAGGTTATCTTGAATAGCCTTTTTGCTTTTAGAACTCTGTTCTTAACAGTATTGTGGTTGCACAAGAATCTATATTGGAAAATTTATTGACTAGTATACTTGCTGCTTTTTATCTAAGCTTGTCAGAGTGTAAGATGGTGTTGCTAAATGAAGGCTTGCCCTTTGAATTCTTTTCTGACCTATTTCTCCTGCAAACAGTAGCTTTATTTTTTGGAAATAAACACTGGGCATAATTTTTAGTTTATGACAGTAGTAAGCTGATTCTGATGAGTGTGTGTTTGTATGTGCACTTCTGCTTGTCTGCTTCTTGCACCAAAACATCCTCCAGCTGTGGGCCTTTTCCCTCTCTTTAGTAAAGCCTGTAAACAAAACCAGAAGCCATGGGAAAAGTGTAAAGAGAGCAGCAGAAAAGAACGTTTGCTTTTGTGAAAAAGCCCGCCACTGCTTGAATTTTAAAGAAAAGTTGATGGATCTTTTTCTGTTGCCTATATTAATAGAACAAAGCACTGCTCCCAGGGCAGAAGGGTCCTTCTCTGTGTTGGAAGTGAATTTCAGTCTCGTCCTGGAGCTCCTACCAGATGAGACTTTTACATGAGATTTTAAGAAATGATCAGTTAAAGGGGGAAAAAAGCAAACATCTGTGTTACAGGTCAGCCTTTAAATTATACTGTTTCCGTTTTGTCATGGGATACCCAGCTTTTAACTCAGTAGTGAAGTCGGCTGGGCTGGAAGTTTTCACATCTATTTTTATCCCACACAATCTACCCCTGGTTCAGATTGCTAGTTTCCTCACAGAGCTCCAGTCCACACTCGGCCCTGAACGCGGAGTTGAATCAGCTGGCTGAAGCTGAGTGCCTCTCTTTTCCTTTCTTGGGAACAGGAAAGGTGCTGTGGAGAGGAATTGGGGCGGGATCATTCAGGGGAAGGTGACAGCAGATGGTGGGAAGGCCGGAGTCAGCAAGCCAAGTGTCAGGGGCAGAGTGAGCCTCAGAAAACAGCAGCTGCCCGGTGCCAGAGCAAGGAAAGGCCAGGGAGGCTGGGCGGGGCAGTGTCTGTGGGACAGAGTGGGGCAAGAACACACACGGCCGGGCACAGCCTCTTAGCCAGCTCTCCATGTCAGTATGAGCAGTAACCAGGGAACTGGGCAATTGGCACATCAGCCTATCAGAATTCATGGGAGGTTATTTCTTAAGTGAAATTCTAAAGAGTTAAAGGATGAATTTGGACAGTGATGGAATGGATGACATCATCAGTCAAGAATCCTCATTGGATATGGAGGGGAATTATAAAAAGGTAAGGGGGGAGAGCTCTTTTGTTTATAAACAATTGAACCATTTTTCTAACTGGAGAAAGATCACCCTTGAGGAGTGGCCAAATTCCACACTCAGTGGCTATTGCCATAATATAGTCAGGAAAAACTAAATGCACAGAATCAAATGCATTAAGCTAGGAAAGTTCTTTCTGCTTTTCCCAGCTTATGTTCATTAATATGTTACAGCAGCAACTAAAACACACATGTTGTTATTCTGAAGTTGAAAAAATTCTATTATGCATTTAACTGCTAGGCAGGCTTTTTATGTGAAGGAATTTTTTAAAAATTATTGACATATATTTACAGTTCACTGGCAAAAAAAATTACTAGAATGTTTAACCTATTTTTCCAATTTTTTGTTTGATTTTATTGGCAATGAAAAATATCAAGTTTTAGTTAACATGTTTGGGGTTTTTAAAAGTTGATACAGTATCTGTTCATCTTTTCCCTGCCCTTTTTTTTGAAAGTCAGTAAATATATTTTGAGAATGTTTTATATGGTAATGTTCTGGTAATCACAGGCCCGAGTAAAAATAGCTTTAGTTATATGGGTGAGGTCATGAAATTAAACTACAAGTATATGCTTATCTGTCCACAGAAGCCTAAAACACACACTATGTCCTTCCCTCTTCATTATTTGCCACAAGTCAAGTGTAGTTCACAACATGGCATAACATGAAGAATAAAATCCCTTCCATCATGGGCCTGGAAATGAAGACCTCTTTACCTCAGAGGCAAATATCAGTTAATGATAGAACAGTAAAACTTGCTACTTAATTTTTAATTTGATCAAATACATCACTAACTTTTTTCCCAGGAATGACATATAGAAAGAAGCTTCTGTCGTGATAGATCCTTACGTATAGTAATGTAAAATATGGTAGTTTATATCTTATATACATATATGTGTGTGTGTGAGTGTGGGGACTGTTTTAAGTATATACTGTACTTCCTAGAGGAGTTCACAACAGCTTATGTTCTTTCTCCACAAGCTGAAACTTAAATATGTGAAAGCGGTTTCAGTAACCTGCCATGTTGCCGTTTGTGTTTTTCATCCCTTGTGATCCCCAAGACAGGAATGAGCACCAAGGTGATAGTTCGCTGAGTCTCATAACCCTAACACTTCCCAGCTGTCCGCTTCTGCCGGAAGCGATGTGCAAAAGATGCTTGGGACACTCTGCCGTAAGAGTCAGATTGCTTATCCAGCTCTGCAGAACAAGTGTAGCCATCTCATACTTCTGCTATTTTCAGTGTCAAAGAACTGGTCATGGTGTCCTTTGTCAGACCATTTCTCAGATAGAAGAGGATAGGTCAGTTTGCACTTAGGAAAAATGAAACATACCATTGCTAATGCATTAACAATGAAGTCATGACTGTTCTAGTTTTTTCCTACTTAGAAACAGAGGGAACCCAGATGCCTGGAATAAGTAAGCAGTGATACACCAGCAACCTGAGACAGGGCTGACTAAAGCTACAGACATGTACGGCTCAAGGAGCTTTAAAACATCAACAACAACAAAACAGAATTGCACTGTGTAACCCATTATCTAACAAAGGCAGTAGAATGCCGCATATGATTTCAGTATCTGATAGGTTAGTACAAAAAAACTGCAAGATGAAACTTCTAGATGTGTGGAGTGCTCAGAGATCAGTTCATTATGTTCCGGATCTTAAACATGAGGGTTGTTCTCTTGTCATTCCGGCCTTTTAAATACCTTCCTCAGGCAAAGTGTTTTCAAATGTTTATGTGTATCGTGATTATTATGAAGACTTCATTATAATTATCCTTCTTTTTTAAACCCACTCTTTGTAATTTTACTATGAGCTAGTGAAACAGGGCAACATACACTTTTTTAAAAATATGAGGAATAAGAAAATAGTTACCTAGTATAAAAATAACTTTCCCTAATTAGAATCTTCCTTTTCTAATTTTTTCGCTAATATTTTTCCTGTTTTGTTGGCTAAGTAGAAAATTAAATTAGATGCCGTAAAGTGGGGCTCTGCAGGCTTTTTTGACCTTGCATTCATCAGTAAGATGGTTTTGAGTCCATGCCTGTAATATACATATATTTTATTCAGAAATAGCACCCACCACTATAAAATACAATGTGTGTATGTAAAACATATACACAAATAGATATTTTAGAGAATAAAATGTTTAAAATATAAATATAAGTAAAAGTTGTAATTTTTTTTTTATCTCCTGTGGTACTTTCACCCCATTTTGAGGTCAATTGTCAAAAACAATTAAAAAATTGATACATCCCTGCTTAGGTACCATAGAATTCCCTGAACCAATTGCACTAATAAATACCACATGTGTATAGGGATTATTTTACAGGGTTGTTTTAAAGTCAGACAAACAGCCTTCAGGGGGAAAGGTCACTTTCTGATGACTAAAATTAGATTCCACCGAAGCAAAGGAAGAAAAAGATTATGCTTCTGTTCTTTTTCCGTGGGGAAGGTTTTGACTGTAAGAAAGATGTTTCATTAAGGACCTCTGGTTTATTCAATAGTAATAGTAAAACTGCCCTCAACAGAAAACATATCTTAGTGTTTAAGAAGAAAAGTGCAGACCTTAGCAGAATCCGAGGTGTATGTGTTCAGCCCATTATTTCCCTGCCCTGCTGTGAGCAAGTTCTGATCCCCTGATAAAGAACCACAGAGCTGATTGTCTTCAGGACCAACGTGGTATGCAGCATCTAAGTCAGTGTCCTCATCCATTCCACCATCATTTTTCCAAGAGCCCTCTCATGTTCCTGGCACTGTGCATGGCTCTAGGATCACCAAAGGGGGACTGAGCTTTCCCTCCAGGAGCTGACCGTCCCAATGGGGGAGGCACATAAAGGAACAAACTACATGGAACTGATGCTGCCTGGAGTGTCCAGATAGCCGGTGTGGACTTCTAAAGTGTGCAGCCATTTAGATCTTTCCCTGCCCCAGGAATGTGTACCTTAAACACGAGAGTTGTTTATGTGTACATTCTTGGGGCAGGGAAAGATCTAAATGACACTAATGGAGAGAGAGAAAAGGAAATCGGGAAAATTTAATATAGAATATGGCAGAAGACTGGCTCCAACTTTGTTCCAGAGCAGAGAAAATGCAGGGAATCTGGTATTGCCTTCTGTTCCTAGGCTACTGTGCACAGAATCAGGGAGCTGACAGCAGGGCGGTGAGTGGGCCCAGGGCCGGGCCAGCCGCTCGCTTCGCTTTGTTCCTCAGGGGTGCCGTCTCTAGTGTTGTGCATCCAATTATGGTGAAAGATTAGGGAGGACCCTGTGAAAAAATTAAAAGGCTGGAAGGAACAATATTTAAAGTGAAGCCACAGCTGCGCCTCATGTTTTTTTTAAAAGGTGAATGGAAATGACTGCTTGAGATAAACTGCAATAAACAGGAACACAGAATGCCAGCTGCCATTCCAGACAAGCTCTCTGCCCTCCCCACACAATTACTGAGGAAAAACAGCCGTCGACCTCCATTAACCCTCACGTCTTCCTGCCTGTGAGGGCTGAATACGCTTGAAGAACCATGTTAAGTTACCGAAGCCTGGGACCTAGCCCCACCTCAGCCACCTGGGAAAAATCTCTTCCGCTTTGTGGGCCAGGTTCTCCTTTTCTTAAAAAGAAAGAATTAGCCTGGTCGGTCTTAGATGTTATAAATATAAAGCTTCCTGGCTCGTGGTTCAGGTTTCTTATCATATCACCCCATTGGCACACCTCGGTTAGCCAGCATGGTCAGGGAATGGGCTGTTTCAGGTAACTAGAATTTCCGGTGAAATGCAAGTGTGTTAGATGTATTCTTGTTCTCACACACACATGCACACAAACGTGCACACACATGTCCCCTTCCATGTCATGGTCATCTTCTACAGCACTCTCTACTTGGTCTCTTTCCCTTCTCCTCGCTAGTTGCCTTAGGCTTCCAGCTCTCCTCATTTTCGTGTGTGTGTATGGCTTTTTTAAAAATTGAGATATAATTCACATACATAAAAGCCACCTTTTTAAAGTGTACACTTTGATGGTTTTTAGTATATTCATAAGGCTGTGCACATCGTCTAATTCCAGAATTTTTCATCAACCCAAAAAGAAACCCCGTACCCATCAGGAGTCACTCCCAAATCCTTTCTTCTCTTAGCCTCTGACAACCGCTAATTTACTTTATGTATTTATAAATGGACCTGTTCCAGACATTTCTGGCTCCTTTTTTCTCCCTTTCTCCATTCTTCTCACTACCTTCCCCACCCCTTCCTTTTAATATTAATAACAGCTACCACTTTATAAATTTCTGTCTGTGCCAGGCACTGCGCCAAGCACTTTCTATATAGTATTTCATTTAATTATTAAAACAACCTAAAAATAGGTATTATTTCTTTTTTCAAAAGAAGAAACTGAGGCTCCAAGAGTCTCAGTAACTCGTAGTAATGTCAGAGTCAACATGTTAAGCAGGGTCTTCTTGACTCCAAATACTCCTCCCCACCTTCTTTCTGGCCATGAGTCTGTGTCCACCTCCCCCGGATCCTAGGTCCATTCTACACAGGAGGTTGAGGACACCAGCTTCCTGGCTGCTGATTAAGGCTTGGCTGTTTCATAACCATGCAGTAGGTGTTTGGGACTGTTGTGTTCCTGTCAGTGATACTGAATGACTGTGATGGGTTTCCAGGCTTCTAAAATGGCACCTGTTAAAAATAGAGTTGCCAGATAACACTGTCTTGTGCTAAAAAGTATTCTCTGGGAGGCAATCATTTGAGAAGTAGAATGAGCTCAGGTTCGTTCCCAGCTGTTTGTGTTTTGGATATGGTGCTCACAGGGGAGGACAATCATTTAGTTTTCCACTGTATCCCTTGAGGAGTTAACGTTGAAACACCTCCTCTACCGTAGCCATCTTTGTAGATTGCACCTTAGACTCCTTCACTTTCTGCAAGGTTCCCATTGTAAGTGGCTACTGAACTTTAACCCTAGGTGTTTGTTAAATACCTTTGCTTACCTTCTCAATCGAAATATTCAAGTGTTGTGGACTCTGCGCAGCGGCATTTCTATCTGCCTGCTTCTGTTTATGTCACTTCCCTGTAGCATAAGAAGGAATGCAGTCAACACTAGGCAAAACCATCCTCACAGTTAGTTATTATAAATATATTTATTTATAAATGCAGTTAGTTATTAATTGTAAATAAATATCTGCATTTTCTGTACTGACATCCCAGTTCTTTTGATGTCAGCCAATACTGAAGTAAAATAGGTGTCAGAAGACACAGGGCCCCAGAGTCCTTCCCCTTGGGTGCCCATCCTGGGCTTTAGATATCCGAGGCCAGCTCTCTCGTGGGTACAGGTCCTGAGCAATTTACACCCAAAGGCCTTACTGTTGCCCAGCAGCCCAGGCTGACACTTATTTAAGGAAACATGTTTAGGCAGGTTGGTACGAGGATGCAAAGATAAGAAATTTCAACAGCATTTCGGGAAACCTGTATTTGGCAGCTCATCTTGACCTTTCTGGATGTTTAGTGTAAGTGACTGAAATGGAAAATGTCACAAATACAAAATGAAAAGAAAGTGTCCTGACTTACTATCCGTTCAGTGATGCAATTGAAAGATACTATTTTTTAACTTATATTTACTTCCACTACCAATTAAAAAGCACTTCTCAGGGGATAAAATAAGATTCAAGAATTTAAAATAACCTGCATGGTGCAAGAATTTGTGCACCTGACATTCAACAGCATACAATTTCTTTTCTTCTAGAATGCTGTTTTTATATTCTGGTCTAGTGACAAATTCATGGTTTGTCTCAGTGAGAAAATAACTAGAAAGTACTATTAGTATATTTGGGTTTTCTTTTGGCCTTTTCATTTCAAAGAAAATTAATAACATTTACATAACAAACAAGTAAGTTCTATACTTCTGGTTCATAATGTTTAAGAGCTTCAGACTCCTCACACTGTAATGCTACCTATAAATGTTAGAATAAAGCTGTCTTATAAGCTGGGGGAAGAAATAAGAGCGACTACCACTTTCCTAAAGGAAGAGTACTTTTCCACAGAGAGCTTCAGAATCCCAGTTACGTTCCCTGGCGGATGCTGCTAATGGTGATGATGCCAGATATCACTAGGCAATAGATTGCACTGAAGCAAGGGGATCATTAATTGCTTCAAAACAAGCATCCTGGTAAGGCCTTGGCAGAGGCCAGGCTGCTACAAATGAAATCCACCTGGCTTCAGAGTCTGGCCATGCCACATGGAACAGATGTGTGCTCAATTACAGAAGAACCAACTCTGTGTTTCATCTAGCTACTTGATCTTCTCAATTTGTTTAAAGCTGTGGTTCTCAAAGTGCCTATGCTAGCATCATCAACAGCATCTGGGAACTTGTTAGAAATGCACATTCTCACCTCCACCCCAGACTTTCTTGAAACAGAAAAATAGACTGTGTACTTACAAGCCCTCCAGGTAATCCTCTTGCACAGTCAATCAAGTTTGAGTGCTATTGGCTTAAAGAAATGTGTGACAGGGTGTGTGTGTGTGTGTGTGCGTGTGTGTGTGTGTCTGTCTGTCTGTCTGTCTGCGTGTGTGCACATGCATGCTCCTCCCTGGTCTCCACTTGGCCAACCAGTGTCTCAGCAACCCCTGGCATCCTGAGTTCCTTTCTGGGCCACGGGGGACCAGTGTATTCATTAGCTTCTGGGATGATGCAGCCCATAATCCTTAGGAAGTTTTTTGTCAATGGCATATTGTTTTCCTTTTTAGCATTGGTGGCAAGTATTTACTTCATTGCTTTAACAAGCATTTCCTGGGGCCTATAGGTAACACCAGTGTAAAAGACAGAGAAAGAGCAGTCAAGTCCTGTGAGGCTTCTTAACCTTAGAGAAGATCTCCTGCAAAACCTCTAACCTTTTGCAACTCCTGGAGCTTATTAGAAATGCAGAGTCTCCGGCCCTGTCTTTGATTTAGAACATGCATCTTAGCAAGATCTTGAGGTGACTCATAAGTACCCTGAAGCCTGAGAAGCATTGCACCAGGTAACAACTTAGCAGTGTGAAAAAGAGGATGCTAGACGTGGTATCTGTAGGGGTCATTAGTGAATTAGTACTGAGACAGTGAGCATTATAAAACAAGTACATCCGATAATTTTTAAAAGTCTATTTCAGTTCCCATGGCAAAGAGTGAAAAGTGAGAAACAAATGCATCTGGGAGGAGGGGAAGCTCAATCCAGGGAAGAACAGAAAGACAGGAAACTGGGGGAAACACTTTTCTTTCTCCCACTCCTTCCCACAACTGAATCTTGTCCAGGCCTACAACTGTCCCTGCTCCAAATCTTACATCTGCTTTTATTCCCACTTCTGTGCCTTTCTCATCTACTGGATCCCCTGATTCCCTAGGCCAGGTTTCCTTAAATCCATTCATCCTCAGGGGAGTTTGAGCAGCCCCTTCCTCTTGGTCTGACAGGCCCTTTCCGGCTCTGTGGGTTTCATCATCTGTGCAGGACTCAGAAGGAAGCAGCTGTTTGTTGTGTCCTAAGCACCAGATGGCTTTAGGTTCAGGTTTAGGATGTTATTTCCTGAAGTGTGTTCCTGAGAACCCTAGAGGCCCCCCAGATTTTCCCACAAAAAATATAGTTTGTTAATTAAATAGATTTTGAAAATGCAGAAAACACCCAATCTTCCACTTGTAAATTTACGTGCAGATTAGCATGCTGAAGGCTTCTTGCTTCAGAGACACCACAATGCTGCTAGTAAGGTGGGCTGGGCCAGAGGCAGGAAGGCAGAACCTGGGGAGGGGATGCAGGAATGATCTTGGTGTGTAAGGGATGGGGCCATGCCATATGCCGAAAAAAAGGGTGGAAAGGTCCTGGGGACATATTAGATTTGAAGATAGATGATACCTACCCATGCTGAACATTTTGCTCTTTATTTCATTACTGAATGCCCCTCTTTGTTCTTGTCCAGATTGGGGAATTGCAGTAGAACAGGGCACATCAGGAAAGGCTGAGCATTGGTGTTCAGAGTCTGCAAGTGCTCAGTGGTCTGTTCTAAGATCATGGTGGCTTGCATGGCATCATTGAAAGTCATTGTGAGCCTCATCTGCTCAGGCACAGCGGGTGGCAGTAGGGAATTTAGCAACAGATGAGGACAAAAACTTCCTGGGGCTGAATAGCGGTGAGTTTCTAATCACATTTTTACTTTCATCTGGGGCTTGAATAGCTTTTCTGCCTGATAGTGATGAGCCCTGTTCCTCAGTTGCCCTTTGTTTTTGCTAGCAATACTAATTTTAGATGTTGTACTTTTGTTTTATGAGGGTATTTCCCAAGGCTGTTTTAGGAGTGGACATGGTTCTGCCTGTCATAAGTGCAGCCAGACAGTGGTGTTTTGAGTCAGCCTCTTCCTTTTCCTGTACCCTTGTCTGTTTCTCACCCTGGAGCGTATTGGGCTTGGCTGGATTAAGGGGGCTGGTGGAAGACATATTTGCCTTGCAGGTATAATTCCTCAGAGAACAAACCGCCCTTGAAACCACACACACATATATTTTACACATGTGGGCAACTGAAAGAAAATTGGGTTCTCATTGTTAAATTTTCAGATTGAGTAGTAATGGTAAGGAGAGTGGTCCTGATGGGAAGATATTTGTATTGTGGATATTTGTGGTTATGATTTAGCCCATAGTATGTATGCTTTGCCAGTGTTTTCTCTTTTTCTGAGAAAACATCACATCCATCTCAGGGAAGAAGTAGACCCATAAGTCTTTGTGCCACATTTTATCCTCTGCATGGTACCCACCATTATTATTAGTCTGAACACCTTACTCTTTAATGTGGAAAAGTGATGAGAAAAAGCAGAAAGATCTGGTATTAGGAAGCATGGACTTGGATCCTACTGCTCCTGCCTAACAGTATGGTAACCTTTCATCTCCCTCAGTTTCCTCATATTCAAAGCAGAAATTGTTGGAGTATGAACTATAATGCTACCATCTATCACAGACTTACATTACCACAGGTCAGGTACAGCTGCTAAGTAATTTACTTAAGTTTTCTCATTTAATCTTCCAGCACCTAGTGAGATCCTTTACCTCTGGACTGGGAAGAGTTTTCCAAGCACAAAAGCCACTGACAGCATGACAGATGAAGCAAGCTATTGACTTAACTACATAACATTTACAGTTGAAACTCAAAAGGACAAATACTCTACTATAAAATGTTTAAAATTCTCAGACCTTTGTAGGAAAATAAGCAAAGCTAGGAATAAGTAATTCAGAGAAAAGAAAGTACAGTCACTAAAAACATTTAAATATTTACTCTCACTAGTAATCAAATAAATTGAAATTTAAAAACTACTTTTTGCCTATGAAATTTTTTAAAAAACTTTTTTTTTTAAGTGAAAATGTTCAGTGTTAGCCAGGATGTAGTGAAAGCTGCACCCTCTTACATTGCTGGCGGGCATGTGGATTGGAACAGCTTTTTTCGAGAGCAATGTGACAAAATGTGTCAAGAGCCTCAACAAATGTTCACACTTAGCTGATCTGCTAATTCCACTTCCAGGAACTTATCCTGAGGAAATAATCAGACATGTGGGCAGGCATTTATGTAAAGAGGCTAATTTCTGGTCAGGCATGGTGGCTCACGCTTGTAATCCCAGCACTTTGGGAGGCTGAGGCAGGCGGATCACGAGGTCAAGAGATTGAGACCATCCTGGCCAACATGGTGAAACCCTGTCTCTACTAAAAATACAAAAATTAGCTGAGCGTAGTGGCGCGAGCCTGTAGTCCCAGCTACTCAGGAGGCTAAGGCAGGAGAATTGCTTGAACCTAGGAGGTGAATGTTGCAGTGAGTCGAAATGGTGCCACTGCACTCCAGCCTGGTGACAGAGCGAGACTCCATCTCACCAAAAAAAAAAAGAGGCTAACTTCCATGTTATTTTTAATTTGACACAACTCAAATGGCTAACCATAGAAGGTAACTCCATAGGATGGAATGATATGCAACCATTAAAGATTGTGTTTTTTTTCCTTTCTGGCTGCTCTGGAGGAAAAAATTTTAAAAGATTTTAAAATTGTGTTTTTAAATAATTTGAAGGGATACAAGGGCAATTCTGAAAATCTAATAAATAATATGATCTCAACTTTATAAAAAGGAAAATAATGCACACATATGATAAAAACTAGGAGGAAATATACTAAAATGTTAGCAATCATGTCTCTCTAAGTGGTGGGATTATGAGTGATGTTTATATTCTTTAAGCTTTTCTTGATTTGTTCAGTGGTATCCAGAGACAGAGAGAGAAGGAGAGGGGGAAAGAGAGTGTATTATAAAACAGTCCTCTTTAAACTGTTAGTGAAGTATTTGGGTGTAAAGAACTGCAATTAATGTAAATGGAAATATTTTTAAGGTCTCCTCCAATATCTGTAGCTCTAGTTTATCAAGAAAGATAGACATGGAATCAAGGGTATATTCACACATTCATACCCTGGGATAAGAGTTTTCTTTAAAGCCTGTTTCAGACCCTAGGCTAATGTCAGGCCAGCATGTTGTTGAACATTAATCATTAAAATTCATGTTGCTATCTACTGATTTTATATTTGGATATTCAGCTATACTCAACAGTTTTCTGCCTGTTGAGGACTTTGGTGAGAATCTCTTTTGTCTGTGATATGGATTGAGAAAAAGGTTCACTGACTGTACAAAATCTGCCTGGCAGATATGGGGATTTGAAATGAACTTGTTTTAAATAAAGGTGTCAAGTGATGTGATTCTGTTTTGGCTGGACCATCCCAAGTGCCAGCCTTGCATATTCGGAAAGGTGGTTTGCCCTAATTAAGGTTCCAAGCAGTACAGTTGCAAGTGGTTAGTGAAATAAAAGGCATTCTTGCTTCCCTCCATAACCTTATGGTTACTTTCTTAAAGCTTGGTTTTGTGCTAGCCCGGCAAAAAATAAGAACTATGAAAGCAGTCTTTCACATCTGTAAAAAAAACAAAAAATCTGTATAAAAGTAGTCTTTCACCTTATGGCTGTACTACACACACACACACACACACACACACACACACACACACACACACATATGCTAGCTCCTAGTATGATGCAGTTTCATTGATACATGCTAAAAGGGGGTGCTATATATATAGACAGAGATAATCACTAAGTGTGTACAGTAGAAAGAATGCTTATGGTGTCCAAGGATTAAAAAGTGTGAGAGAAAAGGAGAGTAGAGATGAGGTTTCTTTGAACTAGTTCTCAAACCTGTTGAAATTAAATATCTGGCACTAGAGCCTGGGGCATTCTAATGCAGCCTGTTGAAGCTGGATCTTGGGAACCACTGTCTTAGCTGTACTTTGCTGTCATGTATTTTATTCTGTGCTGTCTAGTACAGTATCCACTAGCCACCTGTGATGGTTGAGCTCTTGAAATGAGGTAGTGTGCCCGAAGAGCTGAATTTTTAATATTAATTAATTAATTCTTAAGTTGAAATGCAAATAACCACATGACACTAGTAACTACCATATTAGACAGAGAAGCCTTAACCTATTGTATACTGTCCTTCACTTGGGAATGAAATTATTTTCAGTGCGCCCTTCCCACAGGCTATGCATTTTTGTCATTGTGACACAGTGATGCTCCAGAACCTCCTACTGGGAGAATGAAGGCATCACCAAGCCTTTAGTAGCCACACCCAGTCACATGACCTGCATTTTGTAATATAGTTTGCTCAGTGTGGTCTTCAACCCCTTGCTCAGTGTATAAAATGGTACTTCTCAAAGCCTTTGTCATCTCACAAAACTAAAATTTCATCCTTAGCCCAGGATTTTTGACTCATGTTGTTTGTTTTTTGTAGTAGTTTCATTTTTAACCAAGGAAATCATTTTTAATCTTCTCCCCTGTTGTTTAAAGGGTTTAAAAGTTCAGCATGGTGAGTTTTTATGGGGCGTTTAATGAGAAGCCAAGCATTGTAAACATATCCAAATGATCACAGTAGTGTAGTTTACCAAATCCTTTTTCTATGCACACTGACCTGACCTCCCTTCAAAATATGAAACAGATGGGCCCAACTAGAATTCTCCAGCTATTCCGGACATTATTGTCAAGGTTTCTCACATTCTAAAACCTGGTGAGATGAGGCTAGCTCTTGAATGGAAACAACAGTCCCCAACAAGACTGTAAGCTGCATGGAGGCAGGTGCTATGTCTGTCTTGTCCTGGGTTCTCTTCTGGCCTTATTGTGGCATCTGCCAGCTCCCAGAGGCTGCATGTTGGTGAAGTGAATTACTCTTCTTGCCATAGAGAAAATGGGCTGGCTAAAGGGACGTGTAAAGCAGAGAGAAGACAAGATCAGGGAAAGGGCACATTTGGGATCAAAGTGATTTGATTCAGGAGAAAGTACTTGCCCTCCACAACTTTACCTATACCTAGCAGGTAAGAAGAAGAAAGATTACGTGACAAATAATCTAGTTCTATCCTCGTGAAAATCATTTAGCACCACGATGGTGATTACTTAGACTAGAGATTAGAATGAGCTCTGAAGAACTGAAATTCAAGCCAGAAGAGACTGGTAAAATTTCAGCTTTTAATAATTCAAATACTCTTATGCCGCAGCCTATTTATTTGTTTTTCATCTAATGTTACAGTTCTAAGAAACTTAGCAAGTTAGACTGCCTGTGGTTGTGCTATATCTGCCCACTTATCAGCATTTTTTATTTTCTTGAAATTTTAGGCACAGAAAAATGAGAGAGAGTCTATCAGACAGAAGTTGGCACTTGGAAGCTTCTTTGATGATGGCCCAGGAATTTATACCAGCTGTAGCAAAAGTGGGAAGCCAAGCCTTTCCTCCCGGTGAGTGTTCTTTTGAGTTGAATTTCTGATATGTACACAGTGGATTCTGTCACTTGACTATTCTAATAAAAAAAAGCCTTTAAATCTTCTGTAGTTTTTTTTTCCCCCTCGCATAATACTGCCATCTTTATTTGGGTTTTAGACAGACCCTTCCCCACTTGTTTGTCGGTTTCTTTGTTGTTGTTGTTGTTATTATTGGCTCATTTCCCAGCTACTTGAGGTCAGATTTTTATATTCCATTTTTTTTCTAGCCACAATACTGATTCTGTACACTGATAGAGGAATCAAGCCACACTCCTAAGCAAGCTGACTTATGATTAGAGACATGTGGCAGACTACCAAATTTCCCATTAAGCAGTCCCAGATCACCCAGAATCACCCCCCTGACACATTTGATTGCAATAAATACTCGTAACTGAGAAATACAATTCCCGCTTTGATCATTCAATGTTTATTACAGTTCTTAACCTGTCCTTCTGGTGGTTTTTCTTTATCTTAATTTATTTCAGGATATCATTACTCTTTATCATAATTTATTTCAGAATATTATTGGTCATTTGCGTAGCTTCTAATTCCAAGTAAGATATTTAAATTATAATTTTATCCAAAAAACAGTGCTATAGGCCAGAGTTTCTCGAACTTTAATGTGCTTATGAATCATCTGGGGATTTTGTTAAAATGAAGACTCTGATTCAGTAGATCTAGGTGGGGCTCAAGATCCTCCATTTCTATGAAGCCCCAGCTGTGATATTCATGCTGCCATTCCATAGGCTACTTTGATTAGTGAAAGTATAGACAGTCTGAAAAATTAGGCATTACAAATACGGGTATTCCAAGTGATGAAAGCATGTAGAATGTTTTTACTAAGATGATAGTAACTGATCAGCATTCTCATGGTCTCCCCTCACTCCCCAAATGTCTGTTTCCTCTCAGTCTTCCTTTTGGCTAAAAGCAAATATACTCTGTTAAAATACTCAGTTATTTTACCATCTTAAGCTAGGCATTGGAAACAAATTATAGTATTTATGCATCCATTTAACCAACATATTTCTTCCATGTCTGCATGTGAGGCCTGGAACTAGGCATTTTTAAAATATCTATCTGTATTCCATATGGCTTTCAGTAAGGTTTGTACTACTATCTTATCCTGAGAGATTCTAAATCAGCAAAAATCGGAAAGCAGAAAGCAGACACATGCTCACATATACACCTATTTGTGAGGCACTGCAGGCAGATCAGTACATCAAGACAAGAGTGCCAGTTTCACCAGACAGTGTTCCAGCATCTCTTCCTCTGCTGGGTGCCAGCTCTGTCTCAGAACATTCCCTTGTGTTCCTACACATCCCTCCAGAACTGGATGGTCAGCCCTCCTCTTTCCCTTAGGAGCACCTCTTTCCCCTCCCAGTCAGATGTGGCAGAAGGCGCTTTGGCCTAGGAACCTGGAGATCTGAGGATTAGTCCTAGTACACTTCTAATTTTGAAACTTTAACAATTTACTTAGTTTTACCATGTCTCATTTTCTTCATTTTTGTGAAATGAGAGCATTGGACCATATCATCTTATAGATCTCTGCTACTGCTCTCTAATATTTCCCAGAGTGCCAAAATGTCTTCTTTTAGAAGCCCAATCTCTCTGTTCAGCAATGTCATATCCATGTTACAAATGAGAGGTTTTGATTTTGAAAATCAGTGATTTATATATATATATATAAATCAATGATTTATATATATATAAATCAATGATTTTTATATATATACACACACATATACCTATGTACATATACATATATATGGGTTATATATAACATACGTATATATTAGCTAATATTAATCTATATGTAACATACCTATATATAACCCATATATATGTATATGTACATAGGTATATATGGATGTATACATATATATATGTGTCTTTGTGTGTGTGTGTGTATATGTATACTCCAGATATATTTATATTATCCTTGTGCCACTCTCCAGAAGAAATAACTTTTTACTCCTTAACTGTTTCTTCTGGTATTTACCTACATATCTCTAAATAAAATGCTTATCTTCTTAGTTTTTATTTTAACCATCAGACTACCTGCTATAAAAAGATAGTGATTTAGCTCTTTTTTTACAGCCCTCCCAAAGACTGTCATCTCTTCTATTCTTCCTTTAGAGTAATTTCACAATTTAGAGTCAAATAGCTATTTAATGTTTACATTATTAAGATTATGCATTATTCATCGCTTCTCAGCCTTTTAGCTAAGATCAAGTGTAAATTATGCATTATTCCCACTGAACCACGTAGTAAACTATGGTTACTTGAGAAATTTTATTTTTTGTCCTGAAATTAGAATTGCCTCCTTTCTCCCCATGTTCTGCATTTGTATTCCAGTGTGTGAATATACCACAATTTATTTGGCCTCTCTCCTGATAATGGGCATTGGATTATTTCAAAGGTTTTGCTCTTGTAAACAATGCTACGTATAAACATTCTTGTATATGTCTTCTGCTATACATATGCAAGAGTTTCTCTTTGGGGCATACCTAGGAGTAGAATTACTAGGAAAATACATGATTGTTTACACTTAGAATATAATGTCAAACTGTTTTCCAACATGGTTGCAACAGATTATACTCCTACCAGCAATGTTTCAGAGATCCTGTGGATCCATAACGTTACTAACATTTGATATTGCCAATTCTTTTAAGTTTTTGTGAAGATTGAATAGGTATAAAATGATTTTTATTGTGTATATTAGCCGTATTTGTTTTCTCTTCTGTGAAATATCTGTTTGGGTCCTATGCCAAATTGCTGTTGGATTCTTTATGCTTTTCTCATCAACTTATCGAAGTTCTTCAGTCATGATACTAATCCTTAATACACTGTATGTATTGCATATATCATTTCCCAGGTTGTAACTTATTTTTCACTTTTTTAATATGTGTTTTATGACCAGAAGTTCTGAATTTTATAGGTTGATTTTATACTGAATTTTATCAAACTTTTCTAGTCAATGGCTTTCTGTATCTTGTGTAAGAAATTTTCTTCTCCCCCAAGATCCAATAGACATTCATTAGATTTCCTACCAAGAGTCGAAAGTGTTGAGTTTTTAAAAGTCTGCAATCAGTCAAAAGTTGATTTCTTGATATGGTATGGAGAAGTCAAATTTGATCGTTTTCCTTATATATGACCATTTTTTTATCATATTTATTGGACAATCCCTCTTTTACTCACTGATCTTATAGACTACTCCCATATATACTGTATGTTAATGGAAATATATTCTATTTTATTATTGTTTCTATCTCAGCAGCAAAACTATAGTGTTAATTACAATAGCTTCAAAATAAGTCCTGATATCTGGACAGGAAAGTCCTTTTTGTTATTCTTTTTCTTCAGAAGTATGCTGCCTGTTACGGCTTTTTTTATTCCTCCACATAAACTTTAAATAATATAATCAAGTTCAACAAAATACTCTCTTGGAATTTTGACTGTAATTGCATTGATTCTATAGACCAATTTAGGAAGCATTACATTTTCTCATTGTCTTTCTATCCATGAATATGGTCTGTCTCCCCCTTATTTAGATCTTATTAGGTATTTCTTAATAAGGTTTAGACATATTACACATCTCTTGTTATATTTATTTCTTTCTTAATAAGGTTTAGACATATTACACATCTCTTGTTATATTTATTTCTAGATACTTGCTATTCTGATAAATTCTCTTCAGTAATGCTTTCTCATTTGCTGCTGGTGAACAGAAATGCAATTAACTTTGTATACTAGTATTATATTCAGCCACTTTGTTATTACTCCTATTACTTCTCTACTCTCCTATTATTTCTAATAAAGTTGTCTGTAGATTCCCTGGGATTTTTAAAGAATGATATCATCTACAAATAATGGCAGCTTTATTTATTCATTTTCAATTCTCATGCTTTTGGTTTCTTTGTCTTATTGGATTGGCTAGGTACCCTAATACAGTGAGGATTAGAAATAGTAGTAGTTGGAATCCTTAGCTAATTTCTCATATTAAATGAAATGTTTCTACTGTTTTCCCATTTCAGATGATGTTAATTTTATGTTTCCTTTAATGATTCTCTTTATGAGATGATGTTCCCTCCCAGGTATAACTTACAAAGAATTTTTATCATGAATGGGTATTTAACTGTATCACATGCTTTTTCTTCATCTGTTGAGTTGAAGAAAAAGTACAATTTCACTCTGTTAATCTATTATATGAATTAATGAATTACATTTATAGATTTTCAAAATATTAAACCATGCTAGCATACCCAGTCTAAACCTAAAGTGGTTAGGGAGTATTATATTTTTTCAGATACTGTTGGAGTATTATATTTTTTCAGATACTAATATTATAAATAAAATCTGAGTAAATAATTATAAATAAAATTCATATTTTATTTGTAACATTTTGTTTAGGATTGTTAGGTTTATATTCATGATTGACATGAATCTATTGTATTCTTTTCTTCTGACATTTTTGCTTGGTTTTAGTATCAGGGTTATGCTGGCTTAAAAATGGATTGGGAAGTATTCTCTTTCATATTGTCTAAGAAAAGTTTACATAATATTTTTATGATCTGTTTCTATAAAGCTTGGTAGGACTCATTTCTCTCTGGGCCTGGTGTTTACTTTGTGTATTTGCTTTAACGACAGCTTCCATTTCTTAAGTGGTTATAATATTATACATACTTTTTATTTCCTCAGATCAGTCTGATGAGTTATATTTTTCTAGGAATATGTCCATTTTGTTTGTTTTCAAAATTGTTGGCATGATGTTTTCTCATTTCTCTGAAAGTATTAATTTTAATTAAGTTGTTTAAAATGTTTTCCTGTCCATCATGACTTTTTCTGAGTTTATTTTTCATTTGTTTTGCTTTCTGCCCACCAATAACTAAGTATAAGACACTAAAAGCTGTTTATAAACTGTGGTTGGGGCTAGTTGGCATGCATCATCTGCTTAGAGAGCCCTTCCCTGACCACCCTATTAAAAGTAAACGTTCTCGTACCCATCACTTTGTCCGGTCTTACCCTGCTTATCTTCTTACCCTGATTTGTTTGTTGGGGGGGGTGGGGGGGGGCTTATTATAACCTAACGTTGTAGTATATATACTTTGTTCTGTCTTTCTCTAGCTCTAAAATATAAGCTCTAAGAGAGCAAGACTTCGTCTCTATTTTGTTCACCACTGTAACTATTGCCTAAAATAGTATCTAATACATAATCACTAAATATTTGTTGAATAAATGAATGGTGAACTTCACTATAGAATGGCTGAATAAGGACACAGCTCTTTCATTGGGATGCATCTAATTGAAAGTATCTAGGAGTCTTTTCTCTTGGGCTATGAATTGCGACTGAGAGAAACCCTCCAACCTCATCTTGAGGCATTTTAAACCTGGCTGCCAATGTTTTAAGACTCTAGCAGGGGAAAGATAGGAACTGTAGCATATAAAATTTTACTTAATTTCCTTGATTTCAGTAAAGCATCTCTTTGCCACCTCAGCTGTGCCTGAGCATGCTCCAGTCTCAACCTCTTAAGACAATAAATTTCCTGATTCTGCCAGGCCACAGGTGGTCAGGGCAGATAGCAGGGCAAGAGGGTCCTTTCAGGTGTTAAATCAATCTTTGTGTTCGGTCCTACTTCACTCCCCTACTTTCAGCTGTATCTGAGCATTTCGAGGATCCTGCAGTAGAAATGCATGTGCTTCCTCTACCAGCCTCCCCTGTGGGCACATGGTAGATTGAGGTAGTTAAGTCAAATACTCCCCACCCATCTGCATATTATCTTCTAAAATTTCATCAAAATCCCTTGTGTGCTGTTGTTTCCATTTCCTTTTTCTTTGTGCATATAGATTTGTACCTTCTTTTTTTCTTTAATATTATTTTAGTAAGATTTCAGAAGTGAGAGTAGATACTTGTGCTTAATATGCCATGGTTAACTAGAAGGTTTTCACTGTTTTTAATAGCACAAATATGTTGATTAAAACCCTGTGTGGAAACCCAGCTTGGCAGTCCTCCTTTGGTTCAGGAGGACTGAAGGAGAGAGACTGGAATACCTCTGCCCAGAAAATGTGTCCCCCATCCTAATTGCCCCTTTCCATGCCTGCCCTTTGGTACCTCTCTCCATCCTTCCCCTACAAGCCCCTGAAGCCTACCTGAAACTCTTCTGGCAAAGCAGAATTTGAAAATCACTGAGTCATCTGCCCCCTGTGGAGACACGGATATCTAAACACAAATGTATTTCACAGTAGCTCATAACAAGCTACACTTGTTGACTCACCATAAGGAAGATTATTTATATCCTGTTCTTTCTGATACTTTCATCTCCACATTCTGGGATGAGATCATCTTCTGAGAACACGATGACTGTTTGGGATCTCTCTCAGAATGATGGTTAATAATGAGACTACATATTTCTAAGAAATATCACTTTATCCCTATAAATTTAAAGTTTGCAAAGACTGACTGTCATCCTCCTCATCAGTAATAATGTAGGAGAAAAGCCTTTAGAATGTTCAGTTGCAATTGTGTAACCCATACTCCCTATCCCTGTTAGAATTTGTTTCTGCTGCATCACTATCCCTGAAATTCTTCATTGAACTGGAAATACCTTACCTCTTACTTACAAAAGTACTTGAGGGATGTCAGAACATTGAGTTCACCAGTATGGTACTCCAAAATGTACCAGAGCACATAATAGTATTTGAAAAACCATTAGGTAACTTACAGAAAAGCTATCATTTTTTATGCCCTCCTCCAAGGATTACCTCTAGTATTCTAAAATATTACACAATTTCAACGTGAAATAGATTTTAAGTGGATCTTTTGAGGAGTAATAAGATTAAAACCAGGTAAACCTGATATGAATTTACTACTCTGAAGAGCTCAATGCCCAATTTTAAATGAGGCTGGAGATTTAAAATTAATTGACCAAGCAGTGGATTCCTAAATGCTAAGCTTACTTTTTAAGGCAGGGCCTACTGAGGTGAGTGGGATCTTTGGCAAACTAATGGAGTTCTGTTTATGTTTCTTTAAAGGCTGTATATTTGCCTGTAGAAACTAACTCCATGCACAGTATGTGAGAAATTATCAAGTAACATGAGGGTCTGGGAAGACTGGAGTTTCAACTGTTCCTGTGAGCGTGAGTTCCTCTCAGTTGTCTGTTGGGTTTTAGCCCCACTGGATTTTTCTAGATGTTGCTATCTCCTAAAGCACTTCTTAAGAGTGACAAGTTGTTAAATGAAAGCTAGGCTTACAATAATCCCATAAAGACATTTCATGCCTAATAGTGCAGCAAAATAATATTTGATGTTGCTTCATAACTCAACTAATTAAATTTGACTTATACTGAAATGTGGCAAGTAGAGTGTCATTTTTTTCTTCAAAATTTGCTAATCCACACATTATCAGCCCTTTACAAACTGAAACTGTATAACCTTTGTCATTTTTTCTATTTAAAAGTGTTTCCGTAAAAAGTTTTTTAAAGCTTAAAATGAAATGAGAAAAATGAATTATCTATTTTTGAAATAAGGTTTCTAAGAAATATTAGGGTTAGTCATATTCTTGAAGAAACATTTTTTCTATTATTACTAGTATGATACTTTCCTATAAAATATGTTTTCATTGGCCAAACTAATTATCAGTTAGCATTATGTTTCAGATGATGAGCTTGTATAGCTTAGTGTAATTAAAGGAATAGAAACAGGCTTAGCTGCTGTGGGAACACAAGATAGTCTTTATTAATAGATATCTGGGAAATCTTTTATTTTTTAAACATTACAACCTGACCTAACATTGTGAAGGAAGTTTTCTCTGCCTTCTCCTTTTACCTTTTCTCAGAGTAACCACGAAATAAATTTGATTCTCACCTCTCTTCTTACCTTACCCCAAGAGAGAACTTATTTACATACATATACATATAAACACAGTCTTTTTCATAAAGTGTGCAATGGGATGATGTGACCTGAAATAGGCTATACCATTTTCTCCAAAGGCTGAATATTATGAAAAACAGAAATTCCCCAGAGAACTTTTGAGCAGCTGCTTTGAATAATGATTACTGTTTACTTAACTCAACCATTCCAACATCACCCAATCAAAACTCATTTCTTTCTTGGCCTTATAGGTTTATTGGTAAATGGCTGAGACAAGGCCAATAATGGACACCTGCCATCTCCTTTTGTGTTTGGGCTGGAGGGCAAGGAGTGGGGGGCACCCTAACTGGGAGCTGTTATCAACTGGACCAATAACAGTGAATCCAGAGAGACTTCAAAGAAATAGGATTCACAGGGACTTTAAAAGTGAGGAACTGAGAATCTGTATATACAATGTGCCACGAATCACAGGTCGAACCAGCATCATTTTGCCAAGAAAGTCAATCATCCTTTTGTCTCTAACAGTAATAATTGTTGTATGATTTTCTGGAAGAAGTAAGCACAACGGTTATATCTGCCCAGCGTTAATGAGGAAAGAGGTTGTCTAGTTCCAACTCAGTGAAATTGCCTGTCTGTGGCATCTTTCTTGAAATAATAGATGCATACTGTAGCAACCTATTTATAACATGCAACATATCTTTAACATTTCATATTAGTCTCATACATATATACTAAAGATTTGCTTTAAAAACCCTTCATATAAGTATTTCCAAGGTGTGTGTCATTGCAAATGGTAGCTAATGATGACTTCTTTTTTTTCACTATTTGAAAGGCCACTGGGTAGTCTAAAAAAAAAAAAAACAAAAACTATCATTTTTTATGCCCCTCCTCTAAGGATTGCTTCCAGTATTCAAAAATATTACACAATTTCAAAAGTGAAGCAAGATTTGAAGTAGATCTTTTGAGGAGTAATAAGATTAAAATGGCAAAACAAATCTAATTATGTAAGCAATTCTTCTCCTTCACAAACCTGAAAGAAAAGCAAATTGGTATTTGTGAAATTTTCTTTGTCTAATAAATAGTCTCACTTTACAATAACACCAATGACCCTGGTTTAATTAGGTGCAATTAATTTTATGCAAGCTGAATTTGACATCTTGCTAGAGGCATAACCAGCTGTACCCTGTCTTATGAATTTTTTTTTATCACCAATGAGAATTCAATTGCCTGAGCTATTGCAAAAGAGGGGGAGGCAGGAAGAAAAAGACCACAGGGCTGCATTTTATATTTAAAAATGGCTCTAGTAGACAGCTGAATGTTTAATTAAAAGAGTTTCTAGGAATTATTTTTCATTGGTGCATCATCTTTGACAAGCTATGATGACTTTATTACTGTAGTTTGCATTCTCTTTGGACAGTGGTCCTATACATGTGTCTAGACACACACAGTTCACGTGACAGTGCTCCATTGAGAGTGCACAAAAGCATTCATTGCTGCTAGAAAACATTCTAACTGACTGCAGGTGAGCCATGTTATCTAAGGTTTAACACCATCCTTTTACTCAATCCTGTTGTAAAATTTTCTGTCCTGCTTGGATTGTTCTCATTCAGATTATTGCACGCATTAAAAACCCATGGAAAGCCAGGCACAGTGGCATGTGCCTGTAGTCACAGCTACTCAGGAGGCTGAGATGGGAGGATCCCTTGAGCCCAGGAGCTTGAGGATAGCTTAGGCAACACAGCGAGAACCTGTCTCTAGAACAAAACAAAACAAAACAAACCATGAAAGAGATTTCTGATGAGAACAGAAACCATTAGTGCAATCAACAGATTACAAAGAGGAAAACAAGATCCAATGGCTATAATTTGTGAAGTGTTTTCTAAGTAGACAGAATATTTATGTATGGCATTAGAAAATCAGTGTCATTGAAAACACTATAAAAAGCTCAGATCCTGCCATATTTGTCCCCCATTCTTCCAGTCTCCCTGCTTCTGTCACCAGAGACAATCACTGTTCCAGGATTTGTATTTGTTCTTCCACCATCGATCATGAGGTGGTGTATCCACATGCTCTGTTAATCACCATGCTTTTTCACTTATCAACATGTTTCGGGTCTGTTCACTAGGCAGGCAGTGTAGCGTGGTGGGTAGGAGCGGGGTATTGGGAACCAGAGGGTCTGGCTTGGAATCTTGACTCTGCCGCTTACTAGCACTTACTAATGGCTTCACTTGTGGCTCAGTTTCCTCATCTGTAAAATAGGGTAATAATTGTGCCTACTTCATGGGGTTACTGTGAGGAAGACCAGCAAAGCACTCAGAAGAGTGCCTGGACGAGAGTCAGTGCTGCATTAGTAGGTGCTGCTACAGTATTTCGTTATCCTTTTTATTTACTCTTAGACACCATTGATTGTAAGACAAATAGTTATTTTATGTACCACTAAAAAAGAAAAACTACTGCCATTTAAACGGTGACACATGCCTTCTTAACACTTAGAGTTTTTATTTTAGTTATTGAAAGAGTAATTTTAGACTTGTTTGGACATACGCTTTTATCATATGTTTCTTGTGCACAAAAAGAGGAAGAAAAGGTGAAACATGTTGGCAAATGTAGTCCTAAACTTTCCAGCTCTCCACTTAACCACTTTACCTGAGAGCTGCCATGTCTCAGCTTTTGGGCCATCGGGAGATGGAGTGCATCACCTTCCAAGCCATCGTCCCCCCATCTGCAAGGTTTGATGCTGGAGCTTTGTTGTTCTTGTCAGAAGGCATGAGTGGACAACCAGTGCCCACCTCCTCCTTGGGGATTATTACCTGGTTTGTGGGCTGATAGAGTTAAGTACTGCAATCATGCCACCACCTACCTGAGGTACAGCAGCTGAGATACATCCCTATTTTAGGCTGGGAGCAGTGGCTCACGCCTGTAATCCCAGCACTTTAGGAGGCCAAGGCAGGTGGATCACCTGAGGTCAGGAGTTCAAGATCAGCACAGCCAACATGATGAAACCCCCATCTCTACTAAAAATACAAAAATTAGCCAGGAGTGGTGGCGGGCGCCTATAATCCCAGCTACTCAGGAGGCTGAGGCAGGAGAATCGCTTTAACCCTGGAGGCAGAGGTTGCAGTGAGCCGAGATCACCCCATTGCACTCCAGCCTGGGTGACAAGAGCGAAACTCTGTTTCAAAGAATAAAAAATAAAGACTGCAAAATGTAAATAACCATGCTTCATAGAATCAATGCAATCTTATTGATCCACTGCATTCTTTTTCACGACTGCGTAGAATTCAAACAGTCACAAACTAAATCATGAAAGCCAGTGTTTTTGAGATGAAGCTTACCATGGAACCAAGCCTAAATGGTGGCCCCAAAATGTTTCTAAACATGAACATAAAAAGTGGTAAAGCAGTGCTTTAATGGTCAAAAGAATAAAAGAATTTGCAATTAAGATTTTCGCCTACTTCAGGAATATGCCTCAGAAACACACACAGGCACTGACTCTCCGCTGTCATGTTTTTTACCCAGTCCGCATGAACATTTTCAAAGGTCTGGAAGGGGAAAAGTATTTCTTCTCTAACCTTCATTGCCTCAACAGCTGAAACTCATCAGCAGGTGGGGTAGATAGGTGTTTAAACTCTGTCTGAGCTGAGCAGAATAAATAGGCAGCCTGGCTTTAAAAATACAAACAGTTAAATTTATATCAATTACGTTAGAGTCTGTAATTTACTGCAGATCCAAGGAGGAGAATGAAATCAAGACTGGATTGAGGAGGGATGTCAACAGTTGAATCAGAGTCCATCCACAGAAATGTTCTCTTATAAGAAAATATGTTTCTTGCTGCCCACGGATCTCCCACCACCTCCAGCACCCTGCCAAAAACAAAAGTCCCTGCATAGACATGGCTGAGTCAGACACACAGCCATCCTCTTCCAGCCATCAAACACTGATCTGCTCACCTTTTCTCCAACACACAAATGCTAATCATCAACTCGGTCATGTTCTTTCCTTTTCTTTTTTAAATTCTTGCCAAGGCCGGGCGCAGTGACTCATGCCTGTAATCCCAGCACTTTGGGAGGCCAAGGCAGGTGGATCACATGAGGTCAGTAGTTCGGGACCAGCCTGGCCAACATGGTGAAACCCTGTCTCTACTAAAAATGCAAAAGATAGCTGGCTGGGTATGGTGGCGGGTGCTTGTAGTCCAAGCTACTCGGGAGGCTGAGGCAGGAGTATCGCTTGAACCCAGGAGGCGGAGGTTGCAGTGAGCCAAGATTGCACCCCTGCACTCCAGCCTGGGCAACAGAGTGAGACTCTGTCTCAAAAAAATAAAAATAGGCCGGGCGCGGTGGCTCACGCCTGTAATCCCAGCACTTTGGGAGGCCGAGGCGGGCGAATCACGAGGTCAGGAGATCGAGACCATCCCGGCTAAAACGGTGAAACCCCGTCTCTACTAAAAATACAAAAAATTAGCCGGGCGTAGTGGCGGGCGCCTGTAGTCCCAGCTACTTGGGAGGCTGAGGCAGGAGAATGGCATGAACCCGGGAGGCGGAGCTTGCAGTGAGCCGAGATCCCGCCACTGCACTCCAGCCTGGGCGACAGAGCGAGACTCCGTCTCAAAAAAAAAATAAAATAAAATAAAAAAATAAAAAAATAAAAAATAAAAAATAAATAAAAATAAATAAATTCCTGCCAAATGCCCATATGTAGCACCTCAGAGGTGCTCAAAAGAGGAAAATCCAAAGCCAACTGAAACTCTTTCACCAAAAAAAAAAAAGATGTATTTCCTGACTTTTTTTCTATGCATATATCTCCATATTTTTGTTTATAAAATTGGAATTATAGCATAGGTACTGTTTTTAGCCTTCTTTCTTTTACTTAACAGTCGGAAACTTTCATCCAATCTAATAATATTGGACTAAGCTTACTCATAAGATTCATCTAATGTAATAATATTGGACTAATCTTATTCATAAGATTAGTATTTCTACTAGCTGCAGAATAGCCCATCATATATTTCACCATAATATACTTTATCAATCTTTTATTATTAGGCATTTAAGTTGTTGCCAGCTTTTTGTTTTGGTTTTGTTTTTGTTTTGCTTTCTTTCTTTTTTTTTTCTTTCTTCTCTTTTTTTCTACCATTAATGAATTTGTTTCCTCCTTTTTAAAGTGCTCTGACATCTCAAGACGGACTTTCCTAAAGTATCAGTGTTGTGATATTGTGTAATTTAACCTCTCTGAGCCGTTTTCTCATATGTGAAACAGGGTTCACAGTGCCTGCTTCATGTGTATCTGAGGGTTAGACATAAAATAGTAAAATGCCTGGCACTTAGTAGATGCTCAAAAACAGTAACTTTTAATTTCAGAATACAGATTACTTGGAAATTACTTGGCCTTATTTAACATGGAAGTAGATAACATTTGCTGCCTACGAGAGATGGCTGTTTTATTCCTCGTATCAGAAGAGGCCTCGTTCTGGTCTTTCATTCATGCTAGAGAACATTTCAGTTGAAAATGCATTTTCCCAACATTAAGATCCTATAATTCCAAATTTAATTACATGAAAGTGGTCATTAGTGAAGGAAATGGACACTGATGTAGAATTAGAACCAACAGCCGTCTGAGGAATGCAAGTATTTATAGCTCTCTGGAGATTCGGGTTAGGATACAGGGGCGATGTTTCTCCAAAGAAAAGCTGGTGAGTGATAGTTTCCCTTTTCTATTAGTTGCCTAAGTCAGTGAGGAGATTCTGTGGCTATGTGGTGCCACAGAATGGCCGGTGTGCTTACCAGCCATCATGTGAACATGTACAGATGGAAGGGTCCAGAACTAGTCTTAGAAGAGCAAGCAGAAAAAAGAAAGTATGCATAAGATTAGGAGGAGAAAACCCAGAGAGGGTCATTCACACTCCAACTACCTTTGGAGCTGCCTTCATCAGCTTCTGCTGAGGAAGCCGAACACCTGAGTCCTGTAAGGTGGGGATCAGGACAGGATATAAAGAGACATAATGTCCTCCCCAGTCCTCTCTTTGGCATATAGTTGGAAACTACCCATAACTTCTCTGGGCACATAACTACTGGAGGGTCAGCTTTTCTATCTCTCTCCTGTATTTATTCCGCCCAACCTCAGTTCACCAAGACCTCCTTCCTTTTGCAGTTTTCTGCTCTTTCACTCTTCTGGTTAACACCTTATTAATGTCCAGGTAGCAAAAGTATTTTCCATATATAAGACAGGGAGATTCTACTAAGTGTTTCTTGAGGTCCCTTCCAATGCTCTGTGTATTCCACATTTCTATTTATACATTGTGACTTAATGATCCAAGCACTTGATATCTGTTAGAAGACCTAGTTTTTATTTGCATCACTTAATGTAGGGGTCGTGAACCATAAAATGCCCTCAGGAGCCAAAAAGAAACATAAGTGAGTGAAGTAGTGCAGATAAAAAGCAATAGAGAATACTGGGGACTGCAGCAAACTAGAAAGTGTGTGCCCTGGCTGACGGGGACAGCAGCTACTCAGCACCAGCCTATTGGTGCCATGAAATTTACAGAACTATTATTGCCTGATCATCAATGAATGAATGAATGAATGAATGTGTGCATGAACATGTAACTCTTTTTTCTCTACCTTATGTAGTTATAAAAATCATTTATAGTCATTGTGTGTGTGTGATGATTTTTGTTGGACCAGCATTATTTGCTAAAATATAGCATTGTATTTTCATAACAAATATTGTGAGGCAGAAACTTTTCCTTTTGTTTCTTTTTTTGTGTTTTTAAGTAGTAATAGGCATTTCTGTAACTCAAGGTAAATATCAAACTGGAACAGTCAGTAGGGAAAAGAAGGGAAAGGAGCAGAGTTTGCCGGATGGGAAAACTATTTTACAATTTACAAGGAGTAGCAGTACTTCATTTTAACCTAACTGAACACATTTTATAGCGACACCATCACACGTGCAGTACATCTAAAGCTTACCCAAACCTCAATTGTTCTCACATTGTTTCTTCATGACAGATTCTCAGAAAAATGAAATGTGTTTTTAGATACTTGAGTAGTTACAATCCATATTTTATGTTTCATCACTTTTGAAATTCTCATGAAACAGAAAAAGATATAGTATAAAAATATAGGCAATTATTCATTATATATAAAATCTTTGAATCATGCATCAAAGATCCTTTAAAATAAATGGAAATAATGTATTTTAATGACCCAGCCACAAACTAGTTGGGGATATTGAGTAATGAATGGCATAGCAGGACCAATGGCTCTCGAGCCACACTGGTTGTAGGCAGATAATGAGCAATGCATGTTCGAAGTCCCTGGCATATGGGACATTCCCTTTCATTCTGTTTCCTAAGGAAAGCCATACAATTGCCTTAAAATTATAAGCAAGTATAGGAGGCATATTTCCTTTAAAATTATATTGCCAGATACAGAAAGGATCTAATAAATTCAAACCTCATGTTAAGTGTAGTATAAGGGAAAGGCCACTGGATTCTAAAATCAGAAGTCCAGCCTGTAGCCTCTTGCTTCGTGACCCTGTACCAGTTACCTATTGCCACAATGATGATGCGTAATTTTTTTAAAAAGCCATCCACGTCAGTAGCATACGATGATGAAGTTTTGCTTCTCCTTAGGATCCTATAGGTCAGCTGGGTGGTTCTGTTCTGAGCTGGGCTTGGACAGGCTTATTCAGTCATCTCCGGTCAGCGAGGTGGCTGGGCTCTCACACGTGTCTAGGGCTTCAGTTGAGACAACTGCCGGTTGAGCTCTGTGCTACGAAGTTACACCGCCAGCAGGCTAGCCTGGACCTGTTCTGAGGGTGGTGGCAGGGCTCCCTGAGGGGGAAACTGGAATACCATCACTTCCTCTGCATTCTACTGGCAAAGACAAGTTCCAAGGCCAGCCCAGGGCTAGGGAAATAGACTCCACTTCTCAATGGGAGAAGCTGCAGGGTCACATTACAGAGGAGATGGGTATAAGGAGAGGAAGAATTGAGATCATTTTTATAAAGAGGTTGTCACAGGTCTGTGGCAAGTCATTTGACTTCTCTGAGTAACTATATCTTGCCTGTAATCCACAGGTGATTATACAGCCCCGGGAGAGAATGTAAGTGAACATACTTTAAAATTCAATGCAACAGTTCAAGTAAAGTGAACCAAAGTGCTGTGGACAGGGGGATAAAAATCTTACCAATGAATCTTGAACATTTATACGTAGATACTAGTGGTCTAAGCAGGTGCTGGGAGATTCCCATTCCTAAAATCAAGTAGAAAAGCAAGTAGAAAATCAAGAAAAAAGCAAGTAGTTCCAGGCTTCAGAGCTGGCCTCAGACCAGCCCAATCCCGGTCACTACAACCCAAAGCCAAGAACAAAGGCCCAATTCATAATGACCACTGCTCCTCTAGAAGTCACCAGCAAACTTTAGGGCCATGACATTGTTTCTCTCAGGGAATAAACTGCTCTTGTCCCTGTATTTTGAAAGAAATGTTACCTTTATATAAAATCATATTACCACTTGGCTGAGTTTTTGAGATATTCTATTCATACTTAAAAACTTTTCGTCTCTGCCATCCTCTCAACTCCTGTGCATATTTTAATAGTATCCCTGGTAACAGTAGTTGGAAGTCAGCACCAGTGTTTTCTAAATAACAGCCTTCCTCACTATAAATGCCAAGCAGACGTGGTTGCTGTGCAGCCTCCCGACCAAGTGCCCTCCTGCTCCTGGCCAGTAGGCACTGTCACACTGAGGCCACTCCTGCTCACACTGAGATGTCCAGAAGACATACTTAGTCTTTATCTCTCCATGTTTCCGGGCATTCTCCGTCAAGGACACTTTCTTTCCAGACCCCTGGTGCTCCCTGCCAGTAGCTCCGGGCAGCAGCGTTGTTTTTAATTGCCTTGTGGTGTGTAAGGGAGAAGAGCTTTCTGGGATAACCAAGACAGACCTTTCAGAAATGAAATCGACAGGCAAGGCTGACTTCCAGCAGCCTTTGTACAGTGCTCTGCTAAATGCCACTTGAAACATCAAGTAACCTTGAATTGGATACCTTGAAATTATATCTCTAATTAACAAGATGAGGATCGTGTTCTGTTTTCACCTCAGACTGTGCTTGAGAGATCTAGGTAAATTAGGCACCCTGCAGCCTGAATTTTGCAAGACTGGTTATGAGGGCAGCCAGATGCACTGCAGTGTGAGGGACAGAGGCCCGGGGAACTGTGGTTTTCAGATGTGAGCCTCAAGAACAGCCATGTCTCCCAGGGTGGGCAGGGTCCTGGAACAGGGGTTATCTGTTCTTCCACCCTGGGCACAGAGGCCTTCAGCAGCACCAGGTGGCCCCACTCATCCATTCAGGCTGCTTGGGAGCTGTGGTTGAGTTTCACCGAGAGCTGACTTCATCTTAAAACCCGCTTAAAGGCTAAAAGCAAACAAATCCTTCTTGAAACCTGAGCTCGTTTTAAGATGTCTTTACTAAAATCCCCTCTGAACCATTAGCTGTTATGTCATATAATTTCCTTTTCCTGAGAGTAACATTCTTGGTGATTACCACTATAAGGAATTATGTCTCACCCTATAAGAAGCTCTCTTCAGTTTCCTATGGGGATAATGTGGTACTAAGGCGATTTTCTGAATTTCTACCTGCGGCGTTTTTTGATTTTACGCAGACTACTAAATCTCCCCCAACTTTTTTTTTTCTTTCCTTTCCTGAGTTAGACTATATGGGATGTTTAAGTCTGGGTTAATCCTTCAAAAAGAAGTCAGCGTGGCCGCAGAACAACAGAATTTATGATCAGACTTTCTTCTGAGTGAAAATACATATATCTGGACATTGTAAACTTTATTTTGCTTTGTGTTTTGTATTGCGGGTTATTTTACATTTTTATAATCTGTGTATCCAGTAGCCAGACCCTTCTTCTCAAGACTTTATTCAATAAATAGAAAATGCTACATAATCCTAGATTCAAATTAGGGTTTGTCTTTAAAATGTGTCTGTTTTTAATTTGCTAACAGCTTTTTTCCCACCATCTTCCAATCCATAGAACTTGAGTATTATTATTAAAAGGGGGTTGATTTTATTTTTTTAGACCGACAGACATTAAAATTTCTAAACCTGCATGGAATCAAAGGGTAACCTGAACATATTAGATTTCTCCAGGAAAAAAATATATATGTGTGTCTGTGTCTGTGTGTGTGTGTGTGTGTGTGTGTGTGTGTGTGTGTGTGTTTATGTATGTATGTATATCCAATGGATAAAAGTAAAAAGGTGGCAAATCCCAGCTCAGTAGAAGAACAAACTGCCTAATAGACCATGTGTTGTCTCAGAGAGTTGATTCTACATCAGGGATTATTGTGACAGGACAAGCAGTATTAGAGTAAGTGACTTTAGAGAGTCATTTCACCTCTAAAATTCTGTTCCTTTTGTTTAGACTTTCAGTAAATAGAGAATGGAGAGCAACTCACATGTACAGGTCACTTGCCCTGCACTAAGCTCTGAATGAACTATTTTAATCCTTCCTGCATAACACTGGGTTTGCTACTATTCAACCCATTTTATCGATGAGGAAAACTGAGGGTCATAGAGCTTTTGTAATGTGCCTGGAGAAAGAAGTAAGGATTCAGAACCTAAGTTCAGCTCACTCCAAGCATCTTCAGATGATCAGAGTGGGGTGTGTTGCTTTCTAACCCCTAGTTCTGGGCCTGGCTCCCCCTTGCCTGTGCCATGAGGGTAGGGAGCAAATAGAGCTGGGCAGATTGAGGGAATGGCTGCATTTTCTTACAGGGGTTGTAAGCTGGGATTTTCAGTAATTACAGAATTTAACAATAGGTGGCAGTGCATACCCATAACAATTATGGTTCCCGTGTTAAATCAGATTTTCTTTTTCTGGGTTCTGTGTTGTTTTCAATAAAAGAATCACTTTAAATGAGTGATCTGATCAATTTCTACAAAGCATTCCTACCATTGGAATTGAAAAGTCAAATCTCAGGTAAGTTGTTCTTGGCATTTCTTCCTATGGCAGTAATAATGCCAGAGAAATTCAGCATCCTCTGCCCTAAACCTGGCTTAGGTCAGCTTCCTTGGGATCTTTTCTTGCGTAGGAACCTCCTTTTGCCTTTTCTTTCCCTAAGCTTACACAGAGACTGGGGCTACTAGAGATGCTAGGAAAACTACTTCTTTAAAAATGCTTTATCACCAAACAGTATTGAAATGTGTTCAACTTCAAAAGAAGGTTAGAACAAAAAGTTGGCTGTGCAGCCTGGCCTGCGAGTGGCAGCTACACGGCCAGGTTACCCTTTGTGACTGTGCTTCCAAAAACATCAGCCCTGGAGCTTCAGGATTCACCACACATATAATGGCTTCCCAAAGGTCTCTGTCCCTGAGGTTCTGTGTGCAGGAGGTGGTCTGCAGAACCTTGCTGTGTTCTAAGGCTGCACCTTACTGCCTGGGTTTGGGGCTTCCTTACATTTTTTTAAGTGTGAACCTGTGGTGTTTTCCTTCCTTAATGATATAAATGAGCTCCCTTGGTTGGCTTTTGGCAACTGCCTTAAAGATTTCCTTCAGATGACCCTATTCTGTCTATTTGGGAGAAAAGGAGTCTTTCTTCAGAGAGCTGTGGCCTTGGGATGCTGGCTCCAGTGAGAGAGTCTTTGATTGTCCCCCTGGGACGGGTTCTCTAGATGACACCACGCAGCCTTATTTGCCCGAGGACCCCATTCATCTTGATTGACAGGACTGTAAACTCAAAGACTCAACACATTTTTATTGTGCACCAACTATCTGTTTGGTATTGTGCTGGGTGCTCTAACATGGGGCCTTAAATTATTTTTCACTTACCATGAAACTGGCGAGGAAAAAACTCACAGAACATTGGAAAATCCTCTACTAAGAGTTATTTATATGTGGAGAGTAATATTGGTTGCTCATTTCTCCATGTGAAGAACACATAAGACTACTTTCTGTTAGCAAAATCAGACAGTTCTATTGGCTGAAGCCAAATAACAAACAGCTAAGTAGAACTAGTGTCCTGTTTGTTTCTGCCCAGACTGCAGAGTGGGATGAACTTGCAGATATGCTTTGTCAACGACAGTGGCAGTGATAAGGACAGTGATGCTGATGACAGTAAGACTGAAACCAGCTTGGACACCCCCTTGTCTCCCATGGTGAGTCCAAACAGCACCAGCTGAAGCTCGGTGTTGTGATTTCCGGGCCATTTAGCTTCTTTTCTGTTGTAAGGTGAATCAGGAACAAACATTTCAGAGATTAAAGAAGAAAAGTTTCTTGGAATTGCATGCTCCTAAAATTTGACAATGATTAAAAAGTCAAAGTTGTAATAAAATAGAGATATATAAGCTTTCTTAAAGTTAATAACTATTTTCATATTAAACCATTAGAGAAATCACCAGCCTGGGCAACATGGCAAAACCCTGTCTCTATAAAAAAATACAAACATTAGCTGATCATGGTGCCTATAGTCCCAGCTACTCAGGAGGCTGAGGCGGGAGGATCAGCTGAGCCCAGGAGTTCAAGGCTGCAGTGAGCTATGATGACACCTCTGCACTCCAGCCGGGGCAACATAGTGAGACCCTGTCTCTAACGAGAGAGAGTGTATTAGTTCATTTTCATGTTGCCGATAAAGACATATCCAAGACTGGGCAATTTACAAAAGAAAGAGGTTTAATGGACTTACAGTTCCACATGGCTAATGAGGCCTTGCAATCATGGCGGAAGGCAAGGAGGAGCAAGTCACGTCTTACATTTTTAAAACCATCATATCTGGTGAGACTCATTCACTATCACAAGAACAGTACAGGAAAGACCCACCCCCATAATTCAATTACCTCCCACTGGGTTCCTGCCACGACACATGGGAATTGTGGGAGTTACAATTCAGGATGAGATTTGGGTGGGTACACAGCCAAACCATATCAGAGAGAGAGAGAGAAATTAGATATGCTCTAAAAATTATAAAGAGAAAATAAGCTAAATCCAGTTCTTCCCTATTGGGCTTAGAAATATTAGCTCATGTCTTTCCTTCCCATTACAGAAGTTGGCTGAATAATCATGGGTGCCTGTTGCTGGAATTCTTTCCTCTCTGTGAGGTCTGTCTATAGCCTTTTTTACCAAAGACCAACAAAGAGGAAACTGTTGTCGTTGAGTGCAGTGCGACATCAGAACATCACTGGATACATGAGATCCTGTCCACGCAAAGAACCTACGTAGGGCCTTGGCTTCGAGTCAATATTTTGTTATGTCTGTTCACTTCAGGAAAGTTTTGAGGCCAAGAATCAAAGACATATTTCAAGGTTGTTGTAAATATATTTCCCATTATTAACTATACTGCTCTCTCTGTTTATGCTAAAATCTATTTTAAACTAGACCCTTTTTCTGTTACTTGAGATTTATCAACTCAAGTAGCAAGTCACATTGAGGGAGGGAACTCTGAGCTGCTCTGAGAGAAGGCTCAGAGGATGTTGTAGCCCATCTCTAAGTGGATGCTAGCTGGCATGCATGGAAGGCTCAGGCTGCTCTTTTTCCCTTTGCAGAGCAAACAGAGTTCTTCCTATTCTGATAGAGACACTACTGAAGAGGAGTCTGAATCCTTGGATGACATGGACTTCCTTACAAGGCAAAAGAAATTGCAAGCTGAAGCCAAAATGGCCCTTGCCATGGCCAAACCAATGGCCAAAATGCAAGTAGAAGTGGAGAAACAGAACAGGAAAAAGTCTCCCGTCGCTGATCTTGTAAGCAGCAAAGGCTGAAATGCAAGGAAGTGTTTGGGAGCCAGAAATGGTTGACACTGTCCCAGTCCTTTCCCAGAATTATGCAAACTTGTGTTTCTCTAAGGCGGTTTGTAAAAAGTCCTGTCATTGAGAAATGATTAAGTTTGTTTCTTTTTCCTTCCTACTGTAGGACTGAAAAATACAGAAGCAATAGATTTCACAAAAGTAAAGTTTGCTGTTGATTGATGTCTACTGTTTCTTAGCAACAATATTAGCTGCCACGGGAATATTTAAATTCCTTTGAAGCGATCTCAATCTAAGAACCTATTGGTCTTGGCAAACTTACTATTGCTATAATTGTCATTCTCATATTTCAATAAAGACAATATCACATAGTGAATAGGAGTCCTGGACTTTGGAGTTTAAGTCTAGCTCTGCCATTGACCTGCTATGAAGTTCTAAGCAAGTTACTTAAGTCTCAGTTTTCTCATCTATAAAATGGGGATGATAATGCCTGTGTCAGAGTATGATTGTGAGGATTCAGTGAGATAAAGTATTCAAAGCACATAGCACAGTGCTTGTAGCATGGTATAAATTATTAAATAGTAGCTGATACTAATTTTTTCCATGTCATTGATATTATTGATGTTCCTTGATAATTCATTTGTGGCTATAACATTGACTCACAACCCATATTAAAGACGAGTCAAAAAGCTTTTGATGCTGGTAGTGTTGTGTTTTGATGCCAGTTGCATATTAGGTAATGTAGTGTGGATGTAGGGCCCCACATTGGGAAAGACACAGACTGGGAAAGCTTTTAATCACTGAATTGCAGTGGGTGGGTGAGTGGGTCTTTTAAGAGAAAACTGGGTCTTAACGTTCAGTGTGTTTGTGGCTCTGTTCACTCCTCCATTTCTTCTCCTTTGTATCTTCAGCTGCCACACATGCCTCATATAAGTGAATGCTTGATGAAAAGAAGTTTAAAACCCACCGACCTGAGAGACATGACTATTGGGCAGCTACAAGTGATAGTCAATGATCTCCATTCCCAGATAGAAAGTAAGTGTAAGATATGCTTGAAAATAGGATATTCAATGTAAAACATTATGGGATAATGCTGCTTCCTTGGTCCAACTTTTTCATACAACATTTCATTGGGTTCCTGTGTGATTGCAAGGAAAATAAGAGAATCACAAGGCTCTTTTTTGTTGCTGTTGTTTTAGCTGTAAAATGTTCAGAAGCTTTAAGAATTTTTCAAGATTCACAATAGTTATAGGTCCCTTCTATTTATTTTAAATCCCCAGCTCCTAGCACAGTGCATGTACCTGACTTACAACACCTGTTTCTGGAACACAGTTCAGTAGTTACAAGTCATTTGCTATACAAGTATACTTTCTACTTTAGTTGTATACACATTCATCGTAGGTATCATCATCATCAATAAAATCAAATTAGACACATTTCCTAGGACTCCAGGTGGTGGAGTATGTGGAACCAATATGTGAAAATTACAGGGTGACAAAATACAGACTTTTCTTCCCAGAATAAAGAAAGACCTCTAACAGAAGTGGCCACAGGGAGTGGTGAGTGGTGCTCACTCAAGGTGATTGGTCATGCAGAGAATAGGCAGTTAGTTGCTTGTCCTGATGAAAGAGAGAACATTCTCACTTAGGCAGTGTGGTTAAGCCGATAAATTCACAATCTCTTCAGCTCCTGGGAGGAATGAGTCTGTATAATTATACGGTATTACAGATTAAAAGAAATTCAAGAGATATGCCAAACAAATGCATTCAAACCAACTATAAAAAGAAAAGAGCATTTATGAGCCAAACAGGGAAATGTGAATACTAACTGAATGTTTTAGTAAGGATTGATTTATTTTAGGTGTGATAAAGGTGTTGCAGTTATGTGAATTTAAAAAAGAAAAGCTGGCCGGGCGCGGTGGCTCATGCCTGTGATCCCAGCACTTTGGGAGGCCGAGGTGGGCAGATCACGAGGTCAGGAGATCGAGACCATCCTGGCTAACATGGTGAAACCCCATCTCTATTAAAAATACAAAAAATTAGCTGGGCATGGTGGTGGGCACCTGTAGTCCAGCTACTCGGGAGGCTGAGGCAGGAGAATGGCGTGAACCCGGGAGGCGGAGCTTGCAGTGAGCCGAGATCTCGCCACTGCACTCCAGCCTGGGTGACAGAGCGAGACACCATCTCAAAAAAAAAAAAAGAAAGAAAGAAAAGAAAAGCCTCTGTCTTTTAGAGATACCTACTGAAGCATTTACAGATAAAATAATGTGATAGCTGGAATTTGCTTTAAAATAATCCAGTAGAAGTCGGAGAGAGAAATGATTCAAGCTTGGCCATGAGTTGATAATTGTTGAAGCTAGTTGGATACATGGAAATTCATTAAACTGTTTTCTCTGCTTTTGTAGCAGTTTGAAAATTTTCCATAATAAAAAGCTTAAAACTTCATATTGGAAAAACAATTCTATGCATTAAGGGTTCAGATATGTAGACACTCTACTAAGTGACAGTATAAAAGGCTACACAAGAGCACACTGGAAAAAATGAAATTTTTCCACAAGATCCAAATAAAAAAAATTGGACATATTCAGTGCCAAGTTAACACATTGAATATTGTTTTAAAATTAAGAGAAAGGGTCAAACATTTTGATTAAGAAACCATAGATTCACAGGATTTTTTAAAAAAATTCTACAACTGCATTTTAATTTTAGTTGAAAATTAATTACTAGAGTTGCTATTCTTTCAAGGACTAAAAGCACTTTCTGATATTTTACCACTAAAACATCTTCCTTAGACTTTTAAACACTGAAATTGCCATCTAGTCCTTTTCAGGAATAGATGAAATTTTAGACCTCTTTGTGTGATTTTTTTTTTTGGGGGGCTCTCTTTTTAAAAATGGAAACTAGTTTGACCTAAAGGCAGATAAATGCATCATTTGAAGTCAGGATATCTAAAAGCATTTCCAAGGGGGACCTGTCTGATCACCCCCATTCTATCTTTTGTTTCCCTGCCCAGAGCTCTTGCTAAATGGGTACTCTCTTCCATGTGTCTGGGCCTAGCAGCTGTAATGCTTAGCTTCTCTGAGGGAAAAAGCAAGAGAGAGCCTTTGCTTGTTCATGTTTTTCAGTGGCAGGAGCCCAATTAACCCAGTGCACTGATTTCAGGAAGATTAGATATATTTCGGGCCCAGGTGCAGTGGCTCACACCTGTAATCCCAGCACTTTGGGAGGCCGAGGCGGGCAGATCACGAGGTCAGGAGATCAAGACCATCCTGGCTAACAAGGCAAAACCCTGTCTCTACTAAAAATACAAAAAATTAGCCAGGCTTGGTGGCACATGCCCGTAGTTCCAGCTACTCGGAAGGCTGAGGCAGTAGAATCACTCGAACCCGGGAGGTGGAGGTTGCAATGAGCCGAGATCGTGCCACTGCACTCCAGCCTGGGCGGCAGAGTGAGATTCCGTTTCAAAAAAAGAAAAAGGAAGGAAGGAAGGGAGGGAGGGAGGAAGGGAGCGAGGGAGGGAGGGAAGAAAGATTTCTGTCTCTATAGATTTCATTCCTGGTATAAGTCTTAAGTAATATTTTCCTTGGCACCCTGTTGTTTAGAAATTTCAGGGGTTATTTCTTCAGGTCTTGCACATCTAACTATATTACAAATCTGACTTTCCAATATCTTCAGATAATACTTTCTCCTAAAACAATCTGCACATAGGGCTTCTCCTTTCCTAGGGCCATGTGAAGGCATTGAGCATCCCTGACATACCTTCCTTTTCAGCTGGGCATCTAATGTAGTAGTCAGGCTCCGAGGGGCCCCTCCTGACTGTCAGCGTGGCAGGAGCACCCTGAAGCTGAAGGGTGGAAAACTTAATGTGCTCCAGGCTTTGCTGTTCACATTTTTTCTTCAAAACAAAACCTGCTTTTTCTAACAAGCTGTTCTCCTAACAGCTAACAATTTCTTTTCCCACCTTAATATGAAGGTAATTGGAAATAGTTCGTACTTTACTCCTTTTCTTCCCACACCTCTATAATTATGCAAACTAGACACGTTTCTGCAACATACGATGTCTAACCTTTTACAAAAATATCTTTCCTATTATGGGTAGCTGTTTGTGTGTATACTGGTTGGTAACTAGTTTACATTCTGACTTGGAGGCAGTTTTATCTGTTTTTAAATGTTCTGTTATTTGCCACAGGCTTGAATGAAGAGTTGGTCCAGCTGCTTCTCATCCGAGATGAGCTGCACACAGAGCAGGATGCCATGCTGGTGGACATTGAAGACTTGACCAGGTCAGTGTGGCTTCACTCTTGCCAAAGAAGAAAAGCCCAGGGTGGTCTGAAATCTAAGAATTAGGCAAAAACTAGCTCAAGAGAACTTCTTCCTCTACTTCCATAAATAACTCACCTAGCCTTTTCTGGTGCCAGCTGTTCAGATGGAGGGGAAGCAGAATTCCATTGTCCTTACCAAATGCATGCTTTTTAGCAACCATCCCCCCCTTGTGATGAATTGTCAGTGCATTACTTCTCACATCTCCGCCTAAATCAGGTCTAGTTCTGGTTTTGGAGGACTTTACCTTGAAGGACTGTCCCCTGGGAAGCTGGGCATAAGCCATGTCATGCTGGCATGTTTCCAGCACAAGCAGCCATGTGATGAGTTCTCCAAAGCACAAGCTCTTGTATGATCCAGTTCTTGATCGCCTCTGCCATGCCCAGAAGGCAGGGACACTGGCATCTCTCTACAGCCACAGTGCCACCAGATTGTTCTCACCATGGGGAAACTCCAGGACTTGAGTTTTTAGCTGGGCTTTGCTCCAACTGCCTCTTTGTAAAGAGGTAAAAAGAATGCTTCCCTCCCTAGGGGACAAGGAAACTAGGCTAATGCTGGTCAAAATTTTGCACTTCTTTGTAGATTTCCTTGCAGGAAAGCATGTCACTGTAAGTATATAAAGTACCTGGAATACTGTAAACATTCCTATGAGCACATATTTACTATGGCATCTTTTCTGAGACAGTCCATATGGAATCTTTAAACCAACAGACAGTAATTGCTATTAATCCCAGAAACAGTATTTAGAGAGTAGAAGGCTCTCCAAAGAAGGAACACCTCTTGGCACAATGATGTAAGGAGTTAACCACATGGTCTACAACAATCCCAGAGAAGCTCGAAAACATATGTAGTGATAATAATGCTCCCAGCACCTACCATAGACCTCATCTCAATGTGTAATGCTGGGTAAAATAATTGTCTAATGCTGCAATGATATAAAAAATAGTTTTGGTAGCAAAATAAATGCTGGAAAAATATGTTTAAGCTTTCTTTTTTAAGACTTACGGGCAGCACTGTTTTGTATGTTTTACATATTATATTGCCTTATCCCTAGCCAAAAACAAAACAAAACAGTAAGCCTTCTCATACTCTTTGAACATATTTGCCTGCATCTGAAATATCACAATAACACTCAAATAATATTATTGCCATCTAAAGATGTATTCAGGCACTACACCACCAGCAATTATAAAACATCCCTTTTTTGTTAGTTTAAGAAGTTTGCATGCAGGTGTTAAGATTATGGGAAATCGGTGGTGAAATATACAATCAGGGCCTACATTTTTTTAAAAAAATATATAAATTCTTGTAAACTATGATTTACCTGTGACAGCAGAGATCTTTTCTCTGTCTCTCAGAATAGTATTGTCATTTCTTTTTTGGCAAGAAGAAGAGGCCCCTCCTCTTCTCTCTAAGTGTTAGGCTAATACTTAGGTTTGCAGTGTATGTTTTTATAACTTTCAGATGGTGTGACCATCGGAAACAGGGCAGGCAAAACCATGGAGTTAAAAGGAGAGGAGTCACTAATTTAAAGGTGTTGGAGGCATTCTTTGAATTGGAGCAGTCCTACCATGGGCCCCAGGGGCATGATGTCCTTGCCTAGCCTGCCTCTTGGTGGGAAGAAGCTTCTACATCTGCTCTTGGCTGCAGAAAAGTAACTTTCCTCATTGGAGGGACCTGAGGATACTTAAACATCCCTAAAGGCAGCAGCCCCAGAGTCCTGCAGCCAGATCTCAGAAGGCGGAGGGGGTGGCTGTGGGGACTGCTGGGACATGTGGTCCACCTCTTCCCTTTACCTGTACAACTCCTACTATTCCAGATGTCCATTCAAATCAGTAGTTCTCAATTTGGGTTGCACAACAGAACCATGTGGGGAGGCTTATAAAATAGTGATGCCTGGATCCTACCCCAGATATTCTTATTTAATTATCCTTGTGGGCTAGCGTGGGCATGAGAATTTTTTTAAAGCTCTGAGATAATTCTCACGCACAGCCAAATTTGAGAACCACAGGTTTGGATGATGCTTCTTTGGAGAAGCCCTCCCTGACCTCCAAACACTTGGCTCTTTAGCATTCATTCTCCCCTTATATGGACTGTCAGTGCATTAAACTTATTACACCTCCATGTAAATCAGGACTGTTCCCAAGGGAGTTGACCCTGGTGTGTCAGGGTCATTCCATGCTGGCATGTTTCCAGAACATGAACAGCCATGTCGTGGGTCTACAAAACAGCACCAGCAATTATGTGACCTGCTTTCGATCATAAGACTGTGTTAAGACCTTCTCCTCAGTGTTCCTAACAACATCGCATCTCTGTCATGTGGAGCCTAGTGGCACTGTGTTTTATTTGTCTGCTGTCTCTCCCAACGTGACTATGAATTCCCTGAAAACAGAGGTGATGTCATTTTCATTCTTTACTGTGTCCCCAGAGCCTAGCACAGGGCCTGCCAGGCACATTGTAAGCCCTCAATAGCAATTGTTGTTTTAAAAAAAAAAAAAAAAGAGTTTTGGTGGGGCTTCAGTGAAACAAATCCTAATAGGGACTCTTATATAACTTGCTGATAAGAACCTTTTAGTTTTATGGACTGAAACCCTTTCCCTCCTTTGTTTAAAATTTTAATGAAATTCACTATTTTATTTATGTCTCAAAAAATTACCCAGCTTTCAATATTTTCTGAAGTTGTGTGCCATCTGCTCTTCTTTCCTTCTCAGAAAACCTTTTGATGTATGTGCGTGCATGTGCATAGGAGTGTGTGTGCATGAGCATGTACATAGTAGTATATTTTAAAAATTACTGTGAGAACTGTAATTAGCTACAGTGGAATCAAGTTCACTGGGCATCAAAATATCTTGATCTGGATTTGCTTAAGTGAGGCATATGAGTTAGTCACGAAAATGTTTGATTCTTGTTACACATCAACAGGGCTATAAGATGGTCTGCTAAAGGGGACAGATTTTTTAAGGAATGGAGAGCTATCGATAAGGTACTTTTTCCTGAGTACCTTTATTGTTAGTTGAATAGTTCCATTTATTTATGGGCTGCTGAGTGTAGCAAGGACACTGTTGTCACTCCCCTGTTTCTGAAAGTATTTGTAGTTTGTCTTCCCTGATATGACACATTCTGCATAAAACCAGTGAGTTCAACTTGACATCACTGACTACCCAAGTCCAGGCAGCACACACAAACTATTCCTAAACGTTTGATTATAGCTGGAAACCACAGCCCTAGATGTTTTTATCTTGCCAAATTTATCATTTCCTAAAATCGTCCTTTAAAACCATTGTCTTTTGCAGCCTTCAAACCCCATCATTCTCTGAGAAGTGACCATTCAAGTGATGTCAACAGCTTGGCCACACTCCTCCCCCTCTGCCCCACTGTCTACCTCTGCCCCACTGTCTAGCTGCTTCACTGGCCTATTTTTGGGTTCACAGGTCATAATAGAGCTTGTTTTTGGTTTTGGTTGTTTGTTTGTTTGTTTGTTCTTTGAGACAGAGTTTCACTCTTGTCACCCAGGCTGGAGTGCAATGGCATGATCTTGGCTCACTGGAACCTCCACCTCCCGGGTTCAAGCAATTTTCCTGCCTCAGCCTCCTGAATAGCTGGGATTACAGGCGCACACCACCATGCCCAGCTAATTTTTGTATTTTTAGTAAAGGCAGGGTTTTGCCATGTTGGCCAGGCTGGTCTCAAACTCCTGACCTCAGGTGATCCACCAGCCTCAGCCTCCCAGAGTGCTGGAATTACAGGCGTGAGCCACTGGACCTGGCCCATAATAGAGCTTTATAAATAAGAAGACTCACCCTATCCTCACTGCCAAGACCATGCCCTTAGGATTAATTGGGGGGAAAAACATGCAAACGTGGAATATCTTTACATCCACAAAGACCTGCCATTTGTTAGACATTGGCTTTTGCAGGAGTGAATTAGATTTTTGGCTCCAGGTTTCTGTCAGGAGTCTTAGTTAATATCTAGGTCTGTGTCTGCATGGGTCTTTAGATAAAGTAGTCACTCAGTTACTCTTATCATAATACCATGTTTCGACTTTTGGCTTCGTGCTTATTTCCATCTGTTATTTCCTTATTTGCTATTTATTCCTTTCTTGTCTCATATTCCCCATGAGAACAGAGACCTCACTGTCTTGCTCACCATCAAATACCCATGGAAGACACATATTTAATATTTGTTGATAAAAGTATCCCAGATGTTTATTTATTTTCATTTTCAAACAGAACTTTTCTTCTTAAAAGTAGTAATGTCTAAAAGTCTCAGATTCATCCAGTGGCTTACTAAATAAAAGGAATCATACACAATATGTAAAAATTAAAGAGTTCAAATCAGAGTTCAAAGAGTTTGAATAAGGTACTTTTTCTTGATTCTAATCTATTTCACTGTCAGTAACTCTGAACTTCAGTTTGCAGGATGCTGTAGCTATTGATTGAAAAGCAGTTTGGATCTCTCTACATGATGCTAAATAATTGTATTAATTGTTTTACAGACATGCTGAAAGTCAGCAGAAGCACATGGCAGAGAAAATGCCTGCAAAGTGAAAAGAAGCCATTCAACCAGAGAACAAGCTAGAATTTATTTTGCTTCTGTGGTTGTAAAAATGCTGTTGCTAAAGGTGGCGCAGAAACAAATATCAGTGTTAGTCATTGATAATGTCTGAAGCTTAATGTCCAGTGATTGGCCTTTGCTTCTTAATTTATTTTAATTTTTTACTTGTGCCACTTAATATCAGGCATTTTAATAAAATATTGTTACAAAAAATGTACAGTACTGACACCACCACAAATCATGGTTAATAAAAGAGAGTAGTTTTAACTTTATTTTTATTTGTTTAGAGATTTTAAGTTGGAACAGTATTTTCCCATTGACTACTTTTCATTCTTCACTGTAGTTTTAAAGAAGAACTGTAAATGACGGTGCTATACAAGTCAAAAAATACATGCCTGCCTCGTAGTGAAGTTGTAGCTCTCCGTAATATGTATATTTTACTCAGTTTTCAACATTTTGTGAATGTTGACTACCTGAAGTTCCTTTTTAGATGTGCTATTAACATTCTGTTGGATTCAGAGGGTTCCTTGAAAGTTTTATGTATAAATATGTAAAATAAAAATTAAAACTTTGTTTCATATCATATGTCTTTTTGCTCACTAACAAGGCTTATACTGGCTTAACCCTTCTGCAACTAAATTCCCCACCAGGAAACTTTTATCAGTGAAAAAACAAATTGCTCCAGAGGACACACAAGTGGCAAATTGCCCAGAAAATTATGAGCGTGAGTGCGTGTCTGTGAGTATGTGTGTGTGAGAGAGTGATCCGAAGAACACCAAAGGTCAGTAGCATCAGAGCCTGCACTTCTATTATTGCTTAAAGAGATTCATCTGGAATTTTAGCACTTTAGTATTTAATAGCTGCTGGTCTTGTTAGGGCACTATGATTGTATCAAACTCCATTTAGTAAATTCACCACGTGAACAAATGATGTTTACACTTACTCTTTCTCCAAGGCCAATTGTTGCTATTTTCAAATTTTTAGCCATTCTGTTGGTCTCATGAAAGAAGATTCCAAGTCTAAAGCAGATTACAGACTGTTTCTTAATAAGTGGAGAGTTTCAGAAAATAGATTTAATTAGCTAATGTTCATGTAGTGATTAGGGAACCATAAACTAAAGCAAAGATGAACAATTCAACATTCCAGAGCCACCCACAAACCACCTGGTTTCACTCCAAGGTCCATGATGTAATCTGAAGATAGAGAACTGTCTCCATTTTCCTTTCTCAAAAATACTCAGATAAGTATTCTAAAGTATTAAAAAGATTTGCTAGTGTTCCTAGACGGCCTTCTGTTTAGCAAAATAGGTAATCTTAAATTGTAACACTAGTTATTTTTTATGGGCCTCAAACAAGTTATTTCCATTCAGAATAGAAAAAGAACACAGATCGTAAATATATTTTGGTTTTTGTGAGTTGGCTGTTGAGGACAGCTTGCTGCTCACTACTGAGCTAAAGAGTGGGGCCCTAAATCCTCTCTGCCCAAAGGTCTCTAACTGAGCCCTGAATTCCCACACCAGCTGTCAGGGATCTCCTGGGGTGATCCCAGCCCTGTGAATCCAAGCACAGCTGCTGGACCATCGTCACTGCTTCTACTGGGTGAGAATGTTGGTCAGTGAGCCAGTGGCTCTTGTCTCTAGCTGCACAGTGGAACCACCTGGAGAGCTTCAGAAGCCACTGGTGCCTGGGTTCCACCCCCATGGACTGACTTAAATGGTCTGGGGTGTAGCCTGGGCATTGAGACATTTAAAGGTCTCCAGGAGATTTTAATGTTGAGAACCATTGCCTTCCACTTTCTTCTTTTCTTTAGCTTTATTAAACCATGTTTCTAAGTATCTAATTTTATTCTGATTAAAAAATATAATATTCCTATTAGTTTGCAATCTGTGGGGAGAGCACAGCTGGAAAGAGTGCTATGGAAAATGCCTGTGTCCAAGCAAGAGAAGGTAGTGTGGCCTTCTGAACTTCCTGTGGTGACTCTCACAACCTGGAGCCCTGGCGCTAAAACTCAGCCCACCACAAAAGACTTACATTTTAAAATCCTTGCCAGAACTGCCAGTTCCGGTAAAAATTTAGAAATGTGTTTTCTCTGTGTCTTAAGCCATGCAGTCTCTGGCTAGAAATGCATGTTGTGAAGAAATTCATGGCCTCTAAGCTCTTCTAATTGTTTGAAGCCCATAATCGTAACCGAATAGCTCCCAACTGGAGAAGAAAAGAGAGAAAATGAGATTATACCCACAAAGGGCCTCTCAGAATACCTCTGGGTCAAAGCCTAGCTAATAGTACAACTGTTCTTCCCACCATGCCCTGAGATACTCAGAGGAGAGTTATATTCAATTTCCTGGTGTTCCTTTCAGCCTTCTCTGCCCGTGGTAGAAATGTCACCAAGTGACTCTCTAAGGGGATTCTTTCAAGATTGAGTCTTTCCAGTATTTTTGCTTAGGCTTGTCAGCAAGGACTGGGATTATAACCAACAGGATTCTTACCTGCTCTAGATCATCCTTCCACATGTAAACTAGGACCTTTACTAGTTAATCAGGCTTAGAATGCTAGACTAACCTCAAAAATCAAGTTCCGCTTCTCTTCCCCATTTTTAGAGAGTGAGGTGTGGATGAAAGTGTGCAGGCTCTGGGGCCAGAAGGGACTGACCACAAATGCTTACTCCATCTTCCCACAGATTTGACCCTGAGCAAGTTCCTAAAGCTGTCTGTGTCTTATCTCATCACCTGTAAATACCATCTCCTCAGATTATTCTAAAGACTGAATAATGTTTATAAAGGCACCTGACACCCAGGAAACACTGAATAAATAAATGTTGAATAAAAAGTAAATTATCAGAGCTCAGGTGGTGGGAAAATTCTGAATTTACCAGTTTCTGAGATTTAAGGCATCCTTGTAGTTTTGTTCCCTGTTTATTAATTATTAATTTACAAAACAGTGATGCTTAAGTAAAAAGTTAATAATTGCAAGTCCCACTCCCTCCTCCAAATAAGTGCTAAAACTTGGAATGCATTCTAACACATCTCTCTATGCTTACACAGATACACATGCATGGGGTTTTATATTTCCATTTGTCTATACAAAGGTAGGATCTCTGTAGCTTACTTTATCCATAGACATCCTTCCAGGTCAGGACGTACAGATCAAAGTCATTCTTTTCTTTTCTTTTTTTTTTGAGACAGAGTCTCTCTCTCTCGCCTAGGCTGGAGTGCAGTGGCACAATCTCAGCTCAGTGCAACCTCCGCCTCCCAGGTTCAAGCGATTCTCCTGCCTCAGCCTCCCTAGTAGCTGGAATTACAGGTGTGTGCCACCACACCCGGCTAATTTTTGTATTTTTAGTAGAGACAGGGTTTTGCCATGTTGGCCAGGCTGGTCTTGAACTCCTGACCTTAGGTAATCTGCCCACCTCGGCTTCCCAAAGTGCTGAGATTACAGGCGTGAGCCACCGCGACCCGCCCAGTCATTCTTTTTAATAGCTTTGTAGTAATCCCCAGTGTTGGTGGAACATACCTTATTCAGCCATTCCCTTTAATGATGGACATTAAGAATCTTTTCAGATTTCTGCCACCAGAAACAGTGATCCAGTAATTATGCTTGTACTTAACATCTATTTATACCTTTTATTCTGTGATTACCTCACTTTTTCTTTAACCATTCCTTGGTACTGCTTAAATACTTCAGAGTACAGAGAGCTAATTAAGGTAGGTAGGAAGACCAGGAGGGGCCATTGCAGAGAAGTTTGATTCCTTGCAATGAAATCGGAGGACCACACCAACACATTTTCATCTTCAACTAGAGCCTCTCTCTCTCTCTCTCTCTCTCACACACACACACACACACACACACACACACACACTCTTTGAGCCTCCAAAAACTCCCCTCTGCCTCCGGAGTACAGATTTTTCTCTATTTCCTCTTTGAGGGTAGAGGCAAACTTCAGCCACCCTTGTAACTGTAGCCCCAAGCACAGAACCAAGCGGACAGTCCTCCCTTGAAGATTGGCCCAATGAGAAGCTCTAATCATTAGGACTCTGCCTTTTGACGCCTCTGTTAACTGGTGTCACTCTACTCTTCTGATGTATAATGCCTCTCCTCTTAGCTGAGGGATGAGCCCCTGGGACTGACTTTCCTTCAGATTTAATCTCACTGTTCTCAGGTTTAATCCCCCACGACTGGTCGATTTTTTTTTAAATCCCTCAGTTACCCACAAATCTAAGATCTGAAAAATTTCCTTCCACAGAATTTGTCATCTCTAATAAACAGCCCTTTTAGCCACCAATCTGCTAAAACTCATGCCTCTCCACCATGTTTATAGTTTTGAAATTGTTATTGGGAAATGGCTAGAGAGAGACATTCCCAGCCCCCTGCCCCTTGGCCTAGATGTGATCCCATGACACATTTTTACCAATGGAATGTCAGTGGATGTGAAGTGCCTTAATTCTAGCCAAGGCTTGAAAGAAAGGGTTTGCCCTCTCCATTCTCTTTCTCCTTGTACCAGCTACAATCACAAGAACCTAGAGGGATGCAGAGCCACCAGATGGAAAAAGTCTGGGTCCCTGACTCACTGCATGGAGAGAGTTACCTGCCATCCAGTAGGATTCACCTCAAACTGGAAAAAAAAAGATGATTAAAATAAACTATGATTACATTTGTGCCTTTATACTGCATTGAATCTGTTACAACAGCTAACATTACACTAACTAATGCAAGTCCTTAACAAGGACAGCCATAATCTTTTAAGAAAGAGCTGAAACACAGACCCAGTTAGACAAACCCTGTGTTCTTAACCACCATGCCACACTGCTTCTTTTCTATAGAAAATCATCTCTAGGTCAGAGATTGACCCTTTTATCAGTTAATGGACCTCTTCAGTTTAGTTTAAATCTTTTCCTCTGCTCTGTCTTTTCCTTTAGCCATTAGGACAGAAATCAGAAGTTGATCAAAATGAGATTTGTCATGAACAAACAATTCATGCCAGAAACAAGAATATGGAATTTATGATGATGCCAGAAACACAAATATTGTTAAGTGACAACAAGAACCTATTTGGTGTCTAGCTGGAAAAGTCTTAGTTTCTATGATCTTTAAGACCACACTTTGATTACTGCCACACCAGCTGAATTCTGATGCTTACAAAATACAATATACAATTACCATTTGCACTGGTCTTCATTTATTTTTTCTAAATAGGATGTGACACATTCATTATGAGATAGGTTGATGGGTAATGAGTTTTTCAGGATATTTTAATTGAGGCTTATAGTCAGTTGTCAGTATAAATTAACATTATATTAAATAATTCATGAATTAATGTTCTGGCTGTGCAAAATGAAAATGTCCTTTTAATTTCTGAGTGAGTATCCTAAAGCCATTTCATTTGGTAGCTTTGGAAAGAAATGATTCACCAAGACTAATTGGTCATAAGAAATTCTTTTTTGTAGCAAACTTCTTTTTGTACATTTCTCTGTTCTAGAACAATGTTCTGCCTATGGTTGTAACACAGTCCTTGTTTTAAAAACGACTGAATCCACTTCCCTGCACCACAGTACAAGAGTACAAGGTAGTAAAGTGATACTTATGGGGAAAGTGATTTTATTTTCACCCTCCAGACTAGGCATTCAAACTTTCTTGTTTATTATTTACTACCAAATTCTCTTTTCTTTTATATTCAATCAATACCTTATTTGCTTTTTTGGCTTTTCAGAAAATAGTGGTGTGTATTCTGACTGTGGTAAAGCATAGGCAAAGCTGGAAGTGAGTGCTTTAATTTTCTGCCTCATAAAGTTACTTCCTTCCAGATGTGTGTTAGTTCGCAGTAGAAATTACAGTCTGTAATGACGTGTCATCTCACCTTGTGCAGGAGTTTTTTAGGTCACATAACATCCCCATGTATTAGGGCATGTGAAAGTCAGCCAGGAATCCATACTTCACCTTGAGAGCAATTTCGAGGTGAGGGTTCAAGGTGAAAATGATGTTGACCTTTACAGGCACTGGGGAGAAAGGGCTTCACTATTTATCAGAAAGCATCCACTTCCTCCTTCCATCAAAGTGAAGGACTCTTGTCCCTGCTGCTCAAGAAGGCTGACTTGAGAATGTGTCATTGTCTCTGATGCAAATCAGATTGAGAATAGAACACCAGTCGGGTGCTCTAAGTAATTTTTTAAGGGAAGTAATGAATGCTTCAGGAAGAATAATTAGGTGTGGGGATGTTTGTATGGGAGTAATAAATCTATCTCCCTGCAGTTCTGGCTAAACTAAGAGTGGGAGTAAGACAGACATGGGGCTTTTTGGAGTTTGCAAACCAGTCTCACCACACTGCAAGTGAGAGCGCTGGGCCTTCAGGGCGACAGCATAAGAGCAGGAGAGGAAACCTGGCTGAACATGAGGACTGAGGAATGGGAGAGCTGCTCAGTGAGAGGCCAGGGGGACCTGGGACAGCATCTGCAGAACTTGGCAGCGCCACTGCAGCCCTTGCCACGGCCAACACCTCTAAATGCATTTTGGTGCCTTGAACCCATTAGCCAAAAAAGTGCCTGGTGGGTTTTGCTTCCATGAGAGTAAAAACTAGAGCCACTGACAGGCCCGTCTGTCACCAATCTTCAGTTTCCTGTGAGGACATTCTTCAGGCACTACAGTGGGACCCAGTGAAGCTCAGAGCCAGGCCCACCCCATGTGTGCTAAGGCTTACAGGGCATTTGTCAGCGGCAGCTTTGAAGGGGCTAAATACCTGAGGTTTAATGAATTAGGGGGCAATATGTGAATATATAAAAACTTTTTTTTTTTTTTAGATACAGTGTCTTGCTCTGTCGCCTAGGCTGGAATGCAGTGGCATGATCACAGCTCACTGCAGCTTTGAACTCCTGGGCTTAAGTGATTCTCTTGCCTCAGCCTCCCAGGTAGCCAGGACTATAGGCACATGCCACTATGCTTGGCTAAGTTTTTTTCTTAATTTTTTGTAGAGATGAGGTCTCACTTTGTAGCTGAGGCTGGTATCCAGGCTTAAAGCAATCCTCCTGCCTCAACCTCCCAAAGTGCTGGGATTATAGGCATGAGCTGCTGAGCCTGAACTACAAACTTCTTTTTAGGTTCCCTTACTTCCCAAGCTGATCTGGGGGGCTACCTTCCCACAAACACGTAAGCAAGAATAATGCAAAAAGTGTAAATAAATGAATGTGGTTTGGAGAGAAGGGGCACAGTCAACAATAAACAATAAAACACGAAAGTTTTGAATTATACTTTTTTGGCCACCTTTGAAATGTGTTGTTCATTTGCTCCTTACAAGAAAGAGTCCTAGCTAATTCATCTTGGTTTTGAATCTAAATTGTATTTCCGGTCTCCTCTGTCTCATTCTTATTTCCTTCTTATTTATTTATTTTTATTTTTAATTATTACAAGTACATAATAGTTGTATATCTTTATGAGATATATGTAATGATTTTATATGGCATTTAATATGTAATGATCAAACCAGGGTAATTGGGATATCCATCACTTCAAGCATTTATCATTTCTTTGTGTTAGAAGCATTCCAGCTCCACTCTTAATTATTTTAAAATAAACAATAGATTATTGTTAACTGTAGTCACCCTATTGTGCTACTGCATACTAGATCTTATTCATTCTAACTATATTTTTGTCTCCATTAGCCATCCTCACTTTGTCCCCCACTCCCCACTACCTTTCCCAGCCTCTTGTAACCTCATTCTACTCTATCTCCATGAATTCAACTTTTTAAATTTTTAGCTGCCACATATGAGTAAGAACATGCAAAATCTCTCATTTCTTTCAGTTCGGTCCCCTAATTTACATAGACAGACAGTGTGCCAATATTGTATTAATAATGCCCTCTCCAATCCACTGAAAAGTCAAAATGCCTACTTCCTTTTTTTAAAAGTACACACATGTGTGTCACTTCCTAAATTCTGCTCATTGTCAAGAATTCTTGGCTATAAAATCATCAAAGAGTTGTTGTCGAGATAGTTAACTGCTCCTGTAAAACATCCCAATTGCCTTGACTTCACATGATGCTTTTAGAGCATCAGTACTTGCTAGCTGGGGACAAATGCACTCACTCGTCCTTCTGAGAATTCTGAATTTTAAAGAAAGTAGGAAGTTCACATACAAATCACTCTCATTTCAGGTGCTTGCATGGATTTTCCTCTACTACCAATTAATTGGGCAAGCAGCATTTCTTTCACATCACACTAGAAAATGAAAGCCAAATCTTAAGTAGCCAAAGCTACTTAAAATTTCTGAAACAAGTGGTCATGGTCATTCTTTACTCAAAGTTACCCCAGGCTCCTTGGCTCAAGACAAAAGCATTTTCATGGGAATTCCTTTGGCGTCAGTTTCCAGGCCAGTCATGCAAGCCATCCATACATATGGACCTTACACGCCACTGCAAATGGAGCTGCTAGGTTTTCAGGAAGTCAGTGGCTTTACCTTCCAGGTTCTGAAGCCAAGAGCAGGAGGAGAGTGAATGTGAGCACTCCTTCCTCAAAGATGACTGAAAGAGAATGGAAGAAATATTTGAGAAAACTACTGTCAGAAGCAGCTGGGAAGAGGAAAAGAAATCACTGTGTACTAATATGGAAGCTGAAAAGTGTAGAGAGGGAAAGGGCTAGACAGACCCTGGTCATGCACATCTTTCCATGGGTCACAAATATAAATGCATATAGGGACCAGACTGATAATACAAACAAATAACTGAAGCAAGCTGGATGCAAGACTATAAGGAGTGATGAGGAGCAAATGCCCTGACTAAAAGGGATTCACTGCTAAGTAAATACTGACAACTTATCTGGCCTGGGCTGACCTGGCTTTTCTAAGATTTCAAAATATCTGGATTTATTATACAAAATACACTACTTCTATTAACCAATGTTTTATCTATATGACATTGGTCACCACTGAAAATCCTTTTAAGAAAGAGCCCCACAAAACTCATTATTATATTTACTGACAGACTGATATTTACCACATTACACAACGGCAACTTTATGAGCACCGAGGGAGATATTCCTTTCAGATGTCAATACCAATAATAGTCAAGTGTCTCTGATTATCATTGTAAATTATTTGACTGATCATGTCATTATCCTGCTTGCGCTGGCTTCCAGGAAGCAAGGAAGTAAATTTGCAGCTCACCTATGAAAAGTTGGATGAGAGCTTTGGATAATGTGACTCTTACTTTGCTGTACCAACTCTCTAAGTTGCCTCAAATTCTTTTGGGGAACCAGGAAAGGTATCATAAGTAAATAAATCCATCTATCTATTTGTAAATTTTTTCTTATTTATTTTTATTTATAAATGTATCTATACATTTATTTAGCCCTCTCTGTCTACCAACACCTGGAATCTTCTCCCAGGGAAGCATCCAGGGAACTGCCAAAGGCAATAATCTATTTGTTTTGGAAGATCAAGTGAATAAAAACCAAGTCCTGATTTCAATTATACGTCCCCAAACATCTTTTGTTTGTCTATATTTTCACTATCATATTGCAGTTAAGTTCTGCTCTCATGGTCAGTGTTAACTACAGTTTTTATGTTGCCAATGCGTGTTCTCATTCTTCTTGTTTTCTCGGGGATCTCTTCCTTAGCTCCCATGTGGTTACACTGGGACTGTCATCAGACTTGGCGACCTGTCCCCTTTATCACAGGTATGAACCAGGCAGTTAATCAGAACATGAATTCCACCACACTCCACTAATAATTGGTTCATTAATGGGCATGTAACCCCAGCAAGGCCAATCAGAAGCTTCTCTGGAATTGGTTTGTGGATACTGGGATTGCTAAAATGAGAAAATAAGAGCTTGGCAGTCATCTCTTTCCACTATAGGAGAGAGAGTTCGCAACAGAAGCCAAGGACCGCAGCAGAGCTGAGAGATGCTGCAGGAGAAGGAAAGAGCCCTGATGATACCCTGTGAGTTCTTGAATTTCCTCTGAAGCCAGTTTCTCCCTTGAATATTTTTGTTATAATAATCATCAATAATACTCCATTTTGCTTGAATTAGTTTACATAGACTTTCTGTCAGGACTGAAAGCATCCTGACTGTACTGTTGTCTCTAATCTTATAGTCCTATCCCATCATCTCAATCCATCCTCCACATAGCTGCCAAAGTGATCTTGTAATGTTTCTAGCAGACGTCTGATCTTGACGTGGCCCTGCCCAATTTCCTAAAAGCCTGTCTCCCACAGAATAAAATACAAATGCTTCGTATGATATTCAAGGCTTGTTGTGTTCTGTCTTCCCTCCCTGTACAACCTATCTTTAGGCACTCTCCTTTTCATTCTTTGAGCAGGAGAAATTTGAGCTCCTTGTTGATCCTAAGCTCTCCTTGGCCTCCAGGACTTTTCCTATGACATTCTTTGTTCCTAAGATGACCTCGTCTACTTTGAGCTCAAATGCCATCTCCTCTGGAAAGCCTTCCTTTGCTTTCTTAGACTTTTATTCCTCTCTGCTTCCACTGTGCCCTCCTTTCAGAAAGTGTGTAGTATTGTCATTGTTTTTGCCTTTCTACAACCAGACTATAAACCCCCTGAGGGCAGGGAAGGTCATTTATCTGTGTTTCTTCATGCCCAGCCCAGAAAATGGTACTTAATAGGACCTAAATAAACACTCACAAACATGTTGAAGTGGTGAATAAATAAGTGTTCAATACCATCTCATAGAGAAATTCTACTCCTAGCTTCTCACTACCCACGCAGTTCCTCACCAATCTGTTTCTCCACCAGTTCTTAGACCTTATGAAACAACTTAAAACTCCGTGTCTTTTCAAGATGGCAAGTGTCTTCAAAGCCCCCGCTTGAGATTCAATGTTCTCATAAGGTCTCTAACAGAGCCAATTCTGAAGTGTATTAAGCCTGCTAGATATCAGAACCTAATATGCTTTATAAACTGAGATGACAGGCTCAAGTGATAACTGTCCATTAATTATGGACAAAATTATAAGCATCTTTTTAAGAGGAAAGGGATTGAGTACAAGACAGATGACAGATGGCCTAGCAAGCTGAAAAAGGCCCATGTGATATGGGCTGACCATTCCTGGTTATCTGAATAGGTGGCAATATGTAGAACTTCTATCAGTATTTTCTGTGCTAAGAAATATGTGCTCCCACTGCCCTTTGGGAAGGGAGTTTAGGCTTTTTGGCTTTCCTGTTGTGTAATTCTGTGGTTTAACTTAGTGAACATCAGGGTAGACTCTTGGGCTTAGCCCTGAAATACAGTTAGGTTCCTTCTTGCTAACCTTATGGTGCAGAGATGCAGAGAGTAACTCTACGATGTTGGATGGCCAATGGCTGAGTCAAAGCTGGGGAACATGGGAAGTGGTAAAGTAGAAGTAGTAATAAGAATACCTTTCATTTATACTCTTTGAGGAACTAACCAGTATCCTGTTGGCCTGAAAAAGTTATTGAAACTTCCCAGAGGTGTTCAATTTGCCCCCAGGAAGTAATTTAGACCTTTTCACATTATTTCATTATCTTTTATGATCTCAGAAGTTTCCTAAGAATAAGGAAAAGCAAGCAGATGTGATTTTTATTTTACAGAAAGAGAAATGGATGCAGAGGGGTTAAGAAGGGCATTTCCCAAGGCTCGATAGTTGGGTCAGGATTAGAACGCCGCACTTATACTATTAGCCTAATGGTCTTTAAACTTTGCTGCTTGCAAAGCCCCCAGAAAAATGTTTAAAGACTGCCAGGCGCGATGACTCACACCTGTAATCTCAGTACTTTGAGAGGCCGAGGTGGGAGGATCACTTGAAGCCAAGAGTTCGAGGCTAGCCTGGCTAACATGGTGAAACCCCATCTCTATTAAATGTACAAAAATTAGTCCGGCGTGGCAGCATGTGCCTGTAGTCCCAGCTCCTTGGGTGGCTGAGGCAGGAGAATCGCTTGAACCTGGGAGGCAGAGGTTGCAGTGAGCTGAGATCATGCCACCACACTCCAGCCTGGGCAACAGAGTGAGACTCTGTCTCAAAAAAAAAAAGAAAAAAGAAAGAAAAATATTTAAAACCATATGCTGGGCCAGACACAGTGGCTTACTCCTGTAACTGCAACACTTTAGGAGGCTAACACAGGAGGATTGCTTGAGCCCAGGAGTTTGTGGCTGCAGGCAGCTATGATCATGCCACTGCACTGCAACGTGGGTGACACAGCTGGACCCTGTCTCAACAACAAAAAACAAAGCCATATACTACTCACATATTTCTAAGTTGACCTCAAAATGTTTATCGTACGTTTAAAGAACTGCAAATAATATCATTTCCAGATCACTCTCAATATGAAAATTTTTAAAGATATCTGATATATCCAATACAATGTATCTTTGAAATATAGTCAATGGAATATAAACACCAGAGCAATTTGACCATTATATCCAATTTTTAAAAAAAAGAATAAATGAGTTATTATTTAAATATTGGAAATTTTTTATCCTTTATTCTTGAATTCATATTTATTTCCATTCCACTTCCCCCTCAGAATTTAGTCCTAATGTAATTTTATTTCATTTTTAGAAATGTTTTATTGATCATTCTATCAAACTTTGTTGCACCAGAATATGAATATAAATATCAACCTAAATTTTTTAACATTTTCTGTGACCATAAAGTTATAAGAAATAAAATTATTCTATATTGAGTTATTATTATAATTTCTAATCATTACTTGATTAAAATAACAACGTTATAAACTTTGATAAAAATTACATAGAATAAATAGGAAAACTGTATTGAAAATGTGCCTTTTGTTGAAAAAGAAGCCTATTGTCTTTCCAATTCACTTATGTATCTGTTGATTAATATTATTTATTGACAGAATGAGACAGAGTTCTCCATCAATTCTATTTCTATTATTTGTTTTTATAGATGTAAACCTTGAGAAAACTTTAAAATAAGTAGATGGAAATGGGAAAAATCTTGCTACGGCAATGTCAATCAATTCTTTGAGTTTCCTTTGAATTATATACCAAAATCACATTGTGATCTATTATCAAAAATTATTGGGTTTGTTTGTTGTTTTTCTTTTGCAACAGGGGCTCGGTCTGTCACCTAGGCTGGAGTGCAGTGGCAGGATCTTATTAGCCAGTCATTATAGCCATTTACTGACCCAAGCCTGTACCTATACCACCAAGGGTTTCTTCTGTTTCTTTTTACCACCTGAGAGAATGCATCTCAGTAAGACTAGAAAAAAAAATTCATTAGTTCTTTAAGTGAGAGGAGAGCAAGTGTAGAAAGTTAAGAGGGGAAAGAAGCCGACAGGACAACTCTCTCAGTGGACATTCAGACAGATCAACTTTGGGAAATTGTTCATGTGGAAGTTCTGGATCTGGAAATTGATTCCCCCAAAGCTATCCATGCCCACACATCCATGGAAAGTCTTTGTAAACTCTTTTGAGATAAGCATACTGCAGTGTAAAGACCATTCCTGTAGCTCATTCTTCCATGACCTTTAGATGTATCCTTCAAACTTGTACCTCATCATTGCACCATGTACATCAATCACAAAAAATGTTTTGGGCATTTTTCCAAGTATTGGAGACACAGCAAAGAATAAAAGAAACAAAAGTGCTGCCCTCCACACTAGTGGAGAAGACAGATAATAAAGAGTTGGAATTTGATTCCATTTTACACTGAGCAAACTAAGAATGTGACAGAGAGAAATAGAAAGCTCAGGCTGTTGCTGCTCCTGGAACACATGATCTTGTAGCCCACCAGGGCAATGTACTATGGCCTTTGTCGTAAGTTTCCCCAGGACCGAGCAGAGTGACAGGCACATAATAGGCTCTCAAAACATATTTGTCTAATTAGTTTAGTGTCATTTATAAAATCATAACTTTTTAGGCCCAGAAGGGAACTTAGTAATCACTTGATCCCATTTCTCTTTTACTTAGAGAAAAAAAAAATGAAGCCTGGAAAGATGAAGTGGCTTGCCAAGGTCACCAATCTAGTCAGCATTAGATCCTGTTTGTAGCAAGTAAACAATCTCTAGATACCTTGAATCCAGACAAATTCTGCACCCATGATACTTTATCATAGTCCCAGTTGATAGCTGCCACTGAGAAAATGTCCCTGGCCCATGCCCATGTAACCTCCCAACAAAGCTTTAGTGTCTATATAAAAAGTGAAATAAGAAAATACTTCTTTTTTTCCACTATTCATGAATTCCTTGGAATTCACAGGAAATGTACATTATAACAGGAACAACTGGTCAGGAGGGTCATTTTGAGTGGCTGCCTCTACAACCCAAAATGTGGTTTCTTGACTTCACATGCACAGTATGAATGGGATTTTTAATGAATGGGAGTCTTCCACAGTTTCACTATGAATTTGAGATCTGTTATAGAGCCCAGAGGTCAAATTTCCCATGAAGGGTTAGTGGAATGACAGTCAAGAAGATTCCTTGGGCAGAGAAATAACAGTTCAAGAGGAAACGCCGTTGCTTCTGCTCTGAAATCTCTGGGGTAAGTCCTTGGAGTGGCTGTTGCCCCTGCCAGAGGGAAGTTCCTGGTGGTCAAATGAAGAGTTCCAAGTAAAAGAAAGAAAGAATTGTTTAATTACACTGGCACAAATGGAAACCAAGCCTCTGAGAGGAGAATTTGTTTTGTTTTGATTTCTGAGTCTGTCCCCAGTGGTTTCACTTTTCATTTCTGTGGCATTTGGATGAGGTGACGTGCCGTGAGAAGTTTCTGCTCATGGCCTTCGAATAAGAAACCCTGGAAATCACACTCAGGGGTAGGGGCCAAGGAACCCAAAAGAAAAGATCCTTTCACAGCAATCCTTCAACCTCTGATGACGACTTCCTTGTATTTAGCTCCATCCCTGAGCTCTTCTGCATTCTAAGCCGGCATTTCCCACCTGCTTCTGGAAGACATTTCAAATCTATTCCCATGATTGTTTCCCCTAAAACTGCTCTTTCTCCTGTTTCCTCTTGTTCAGCAAACAGCCCTACCATCTACCCAGGTATCCAAGTCTGAAACTCGGGACTTATTGTTGACTCCTTGTCTTGTACCACCTCAAATATGATCATCACCAGGTCCTGCCATTGCTGCCTGCTAAGTAAATCCACACCCTTCTCCTCCTCAGAAGTTCTAGGGCCAATGCCCTAGTGAAGTAATCAGTTCTCATAAGAACTGCTATAAAAACCTTCTACCCAGAGTCTGAGCCTCCACTTAGGTCAACTCCAGTCCGTCCTCCACATTGTTCCTCATGGTCTTTCAAAAAGGAAAACCCAATTACCAACCTTTCCACTCCTTAAAGCCCTTCCATGGCTCTGGCAACAGAGACAGCTATGAAATAGGATAAAGCAAAGAGGAAGCCTATAAATCTGGACTCCTGAGTAGGAATTCCAGCCCTGCTACTCATCCTGGGCAAGTCACAATGAAGGCCTGTCTGAGCCTTCACGTCTTTTCAAACAACACGAAGAAGTGTGGGGAACAGCTTTTGTAAAAAAGTTAATATATCTTGCAGACCATTCTATATTAGTATACTCAGATATGCCTCCTTTTTAATGGCCGCATTGCATTCCATTTTACAGATAAAATGTATTGAACTAATTCTTTATGGATAACCATTTCTGCTATATTAAAAACATCTTAGAAGTGAAATTCCTGAAACAAAGAATATACACAGTTTTCATTTGATAGCTATTGCAAAGTTATCTCCCACTGAGGTTCTACCAATTTACATCACTACCAGATCTTCACCAATATTTGCATGAGAATCAGCCACACACATTTATTTGTTTTTATTTTTATTTTTTTGAGACAGGGTCTCACTCTGTCACCCAGGCAGAGTGCAGTGGCATGATCACAGCTCACTGCAGGCTCAACCTCCTGATTTCAAGCAGTCCTCCTGCCTCAGCCTCCTGAGAACCTTGGGGTGCGTGGCCCCACACCCAGCTAATTTTTTATTTTTTGTAGAGATGAGGTCTCATTATGTTGTCCAGGCTGGTCTTGAACTCCTGGACACAAACAAGGAGTGTGTTCCACCTCAGCCTCCCAGGGTGCTAGGATTACAGGTGTGAGCCACCATGTCCAGCCTAGCCACACACATTTAAATCTCAGCTTTGACATGAGGTATGTGACCTCACACAAGTTGCTGAACCACTCTGAGCCTCGGTTTCCCTGTCTTTTGCAGTACCCACAAGGTTTTTATAAGGGTCAGCCTCCAATAATGAATGCAATAGATATTTTATAATTTATCAAGTGTAAGTGGCAGCATCTTATTTGTTACCAACCCCATCCCTGTACTGAGATTTTATATATAAACTTTTCTTCTATCTCTTTAGCTTACTATTGTAATAGTGTGAGCCCCTTGAGGAAGTTAGATTTAAATAGTACACCTCTTAACCTCTGTAGCAAACTGTGTGCTCAACAAATGTTAGCATATGGTGTCCCAGAGCATACGTCTTTTTAAAAATATATATAGTTTTCAGGTGAGTCCTGGCTATTGATGGTCTTAGAAATTTAAAGCATTCTAAGCCCTTATGCGGGACATAAAAGACTGAATAAATCATTGTAGATGACCAATATCTATAATCAGAAATAGTTAATTATTGTTCTGACAGAAGTTGATTTTGGAGTGCCATAATATACCAAAGGAAAATTTTCAAAACAATATTTCTTAGAGCCATTTATTAGAATGTGAATGCTTTATGACAACTTTATTGATGTATAATTTATATACCCTAAAGTTCACCCCTTTTTAGTGTAAAATTTAGCAATTTGGGATAAACTTAGAGTTGTGCAAGCATCACCACAATCCAATTTGAGAATGTTCCTATCAACCAGTAAGATCCCCCATATGCCCATTAGCAATCAATCCACCTCTTGTGTCTCCTCCACAGGTTTACAGCCTGGGTTAGCCAGAGATGTGTGGATAGCCTAGGCCTTCTCTGGTCTCTCCCTACATCTGCTCAGAAGGCAGCTGGGGTGTGTGGACAACTTTGGGGTCAAGCCCCTTTGGGGTTGTCTCATTTCCAGCATATCCCTACTAAATTTCTAGCTTATCTGCCATTCTGATGCTTTCCCCAACCAGGACTGCAACCTCAGGTTAATGAATCACTGGCCTTCCCTATTCACTTGTCCCTAAGGTCACTGTGTCACCAGACAACATGGCTGGGAGTAGGTTTCTCACCCTCTGCCAAACCTGGAGTCAGTTTCTTCCAGCAATCAAACTTCAGGTCTGTTCAGTCTGCCTCATGCTGCCAGAACCTTTGTACTGACTGAGCTGGGGTGGGGAGAGAAACAGCCCTGGATGAGAAGCCATAGACTCCCACTATTTTTGCAGAAATAGAGCGATTTTTCATGGAAAAAAAAATGCTTCTCAGTTTGTTGTTTGCCTTTGGTCATTTTCTAGATTTCTGAAATGGCTGTTGTTGACAATGTCATCTAGTTTTATCACTGTTTCCAAGGAAGATGATTTGCTGACTTGCTCATTCTACCCTATTGGAAGTCTGGAAGTCTGGGTTTGATGAGAAACAGTTCTCCTTTGTTCAGCTTCTCAGTGTTCCAGCAGCTTTGATCCTTGGACTTCAGGGGACATTTTCCTATAAGTGATGATGCCTCCAGAGGAAAAGCCAGGGCCCAATGCCACCTTGCCAGAACTGTCAATCAGGAAGTAGCCAGACATCTCTCAGCATACACAGTTGGACTTGGTTCTTCAGAGGCAACTTCATGGGCAAGATAAGCCCAACTGGACAAGAGAAACAGCAATGAAAAATATGTATTAAGTATCCACAGGGTAAATAAAACTTCCTCCTGTGGATTAAAAGCTGAGACCTAAGCCCTTCCTCAGCCCAAGAAAATCTAAAGTTGAAGACTTTCAGACAAATGACAGCCTCACATAGGAATGTGTACAATTAGACTTCTGAGACAAATCTGTGGGGCTGAAACTACTGTTTTGAGACTGATATTTTATTCTAAGGAATGTAGCAAATTTAGGCTGGGTGCGGTGGCTCAAGCTTGTAATCCCAGCACTTTGGGAGGCCGAGGTGGTTGGATCACCTGTGGTCAGGAGTTTGAGACCAGCCTGGCCAACGTGGTGAAACTCTGTCTCTACTAAATTAGCTGGGCATGGTGGCAGGCGCCTGTAATCCCAGCTACCCGGGAGGCTAAGGCAGGAGCATCACTTGAACCTGGGAAGCAGAGGTTGCAGTGAGTCGAGATAGTGCCATTGCACTCCAGCCTGGGTGATAGAGCGAGACTTTGTCTCAAAACAAAACAAAACAAAACAAAAAGGAATGGTAGTAAATTTAGTATTTAATGCTCCTCTTAAACCCAGAGAGAAAATTCATTTTATTAAAATATCAAGAAGGCAATATAGCAGAATAGCTTGATGTGCAGCATCTGGAGCCAAATTCTCGCAGATCGAATTCTTTCCCCACCAACCCTTACCCCTTTTACATGCTGTATGACCTTGGGCAATTTTCATAAGCTCCTTTACCTCACCTGCCCTACTTATACAATGAGGAAGAGGATTACAATACCTGTCTCAGAAAATTGGTACATGTGAAAGGCCTTATAATCATACCTAACCTATACTATGAGCTCAGTAGATGTCAGTTTTTATTAATATTTTTAAACATCATTGTTTTGGGGTTCCCTATTGGCCAGGAACTTTTCTTACTAGCACTAGGGTAGAGCAAGGGAGTGAAAGCAGCAGATTGAGAGTAGTGTTTCTTCTTCCAGATGTAGAATTGTGCCCTATAAAATAATCACAGATCTACTCAGAATGACTCAGTGGCCACTATGCTTCCCAAATACATGTCCGGGAACTCCTCAGGCCCATCCTACCTCCACCTCCTGAGCTATCGTGCCCCCACTGTGCTGGACCGCAGGCCTACTGACAAAGCACCACTCTCCCCCAGCTGGGCATCCAAGAATCAGAGGGCCCTTCACCTGGATTCTTCTAGTGCTTCCCTTCACCTCTTGTAGCCAGGTTCTTGTAAGCCTGTACTGCCCAGGCCAGCCTACTAGCTCAACTGACTCCAGGCAATGGCCAACATTCCCTAAAGTGACACTTTGGAGCCCCATAAACTTGCCAAGACTGCTTGGATTTGCCTTTCTGGTCATCTGAACCAACCGACCACCAGTTTGATAAAGACAAACTCAGTGAATATCATATTCTAGGTATAGGTCAAAATTACAATTATTCCAGAATTTGACTTCAGTTCTTGCTAGGGCTGCATAAGGCTCTACAGAGTATTTTAAATGATTCTCAATATCTTAAAAAGAAAGATGGGCCAACCCCATTTGGAGAACTCAGTATACATTCCCACTGTCATGCTATATAACACAAACTCAGATATACACCATATGGGGTTAAATGATAAAATCAAGGTTAAGACAAACAAACCAAAAGAAAAGAAAAGAAAGCACTAAGAACGCATAGTTGTTTAAAGTGCCAGTGAACACAGATTATCTAAGTTCAAGTAGCCATGTGAGCTTGAATAAGCTAATTAACCTCACTGTGCCTGCTCCTTCATCTGGAAAATAGGGATAATGATAGTATTTGCCTCATGGGGTTGTTTTAAGAAATAAAAGATATAATGTGTGTAGCACACTTAGAACGATGCCTCACACATTATATTGATGCTTATAAAAGTTGACTAGTCTTCTACTCATTCTTATTATATTATTTACTAGTCAGATGAATCTACATTTCCTAACTGCTGGTCCATGGAACTCAAAGAGACCACAAAAACTTAGCACTAAATGGACTCTTAAGATACAAACTCCAATTATTCTTAATTAATAAGGTAAATTATATGGTAAGTCAGTGTTTTCAATGCAATTTGTGTTTTCAGTGAAAAAAAGAGGAAAGAAGTGTACAAATATTTTGCTCCATTTGTTTAAAATGTTAATAAGAATTTAGTCTGTGCTTTCATAATTTTAATGGTCAGTAGAGGAGAATTTTCATATTTTACCGATGTACACTAAGCCGGCACTGGGAAACACTGCTAGGGGAATAAACACTAGGAAAGAGTCTATTACGCTCTTTTATTCCCATGTAAATTTATAGGTTTAGTAGATTAGTGACTGTCCCAGGACACAGTCAGTATCAATAACAGCATTAAAATAATTAGAAAAAAGTTATTTACAACCGCACATTACATATATTTGTAGCACATATAACAAAGGTATTTTATTCACAATGTCTTAAAACCTTAGTTATCAATTAGAAACTGATTAACAATTCAATTTACAAATGACAAAACAAAGTTAATAGACAAAGATGCTTAATCTCACTAACAATAAACACAATGTAAACTAGCATATATTCTTCTAACACATTGGGATAATTGTTGATACCCAGGATTAGTAACAGTTGGTGGCCGTGTGAACTGATGCAGTCAACAGCAAGAATGCTACAAGACCTGTCTTCCTCTCAGGTTCAAAGCTACCTGAAAAAGGGTGTGCCTCAAAGTTCCATCTGGTCCATGGGCTCATATCCCCTGGGTCATGGGCTCATATGCCCATCCGGTCCATGGACTCATATCCCCTAGGTCAGATCCCCATCCCTAAACCAACCACTGTGGTTGCAGAATGCAGTCCCCTCGTTGGTTTATGCTGAGTCAGAGTTGGAGCTGCACCCAAAGAAGAAAAAATTGGGGAGTCTTCAGCATTTAAAGCCACAGAATTGGATCAAATCATCCAGGGAGAGAATTTAGAGAACAGAAGAGCCCCAGAACCAAGTCCTGAAAAACTATAATGTGGCTACAGATTCTGGGTGTATCTTTCCACACTTTCTGTATGCATTCACATTTATATTTATGTACATATGTTTTGTTTTGTTTGTTAATATACAAGAGATTTGCTCATGTGTATCTATAACATGTTTGTTTGTTTCACTTCCCAGTGTATCCCGGAGAAATTTCTTTGTCTGGTATTTCCAAGTTTGGAGCCTCCCTGGTTCATTTCTCAGAAGAATTAACTCTTGACTGAAGCCCGGAAGGAAGCAGAGATGGTCAGCTCTTTCAACACATGTGCTTTAGACCCTCACCTTCCTGGGTAACTGGTACCATCATTTCTTAAGAACTTGATAGGGCTTTCTCTCTTTATGTTTTATCGTTCATTACCTTTTTCAGGATTTGCTTTCATATTTTGATCTCTTTGGAGCTGTATCTGTGCTATTGCTTCAGTGAAATTTGAGGAGGGTAGGTGTGTAAATCATACAATCATGTGTTTAAGTATACATGCATATAAATATATAAATCATACCTATATATTTTTTTATATAATACTATTTTTTAAATTAATAAATGTATGTTCTAGAAGTTGGGCAAGAACTTTCTAAAATGTCTACATTTTCTTATTTTTAAAAGCTTTTGAACAAGCATTATTTTTACAAGGAAATATATATTTAAAAATTAATAAACAGATTTTTAAATTTTAAAATAAAATCCATGCTCACTGAAGAAATTATTGAAAATTCAAGAAGCAAAACAAATACATTAAAAAACACTTTCACAAAAATGTTGGCAAATCATATATCTAATAAGAAACTTGCATCTAAAATATATGTCAATCTGATATAATTGAAAGGATCAGAATTCAGTTTTGAAGAGTTTATTCAAGCAAAAAGCTGGGAATGGCCATGCAGAAGTCACAGACTCCAGAGAAATGGGGTTAATGTTCCCAACTTAAAAGTTAACTTCTTGCTTATATAGGCATGAAACAAAGAAATTTAACAAGATTATAGCATTTTCTATACAAAGCTGGTTTGTGAGTTACAACAATTTAATTAGTTATAGTCTGTTTTCTTTCTGCATGGTTTGTTTTGATCTTCTTTCCAATTTAAAAGAGTATATTTAACATTCCATCTTAATACAATGTGATAGCTATGAAGTCTTTGTGTGAGAAAGAGGGAAGTTAATTTATAATGAAGATCAACAGTGAAGAGAGAAGAGGCCTTCCCTGGCACCTTTCAGTTACTTACAATACTTTACAAAACAATGCAGGTAAGGAAGAAGGCTAATCTATAATCAGAGAAACAAAGTTTATAGCTTCCTAAGATATAGCTGCCAAGGTTATAGCTGCCTGTCATGTGACTCAGGCTTCATAATCACATTCCTTTCAGGCTTAAAATAATTTAGAGTTCCAATAGCTTAGATTTTGGATTACTTATTTTCACATATATAAAGAACTATTACTACTCAATAACAAAAAGACAACCCAATTTAAAAAATGGGTAAAAGATCTGAATAGATATTTCTTCAAATAAGATATAGCCAATAAGCAAATGAAAAGACACTTAACATCATTAGTCACTAAGGAAATGTAAATAAAGCCCTGTAAATACAAGCTAACCCTTGTGTATTAATAAACAAAATAAAACATATGCACATAAATATCAGTACAATGAGACACTCCTCCAGACTCACTAGGATGGCTATGCTCAAAGGTCAGATAATAACAAGTGTTGGTGAGAATGCAGAGAAGTGGGAACCCTCGTACACTGATGATGAGAATGTGAAATGGTGCAGCCACTTTGGAAAACAGCCTAGCAGTTCCTCAGACAGTTACCATAAGACCCAGTAATTTTATTTTAGGTATATATCCAAGAGAAATAAAAACATATGTCCATACAACAACATGAATACATGAATGTTTATAACAGCATTATTCAAAATAACCAAAAGGTAGAAACACCCAAATGTCCATAAAGTGATAAATTAATAAATAAAATGTGGTATATCTGTTTAATAGAATGTTATTTGGCAATAAGATGACATGATTTGGCCACAACTTCATGGATATAATACAAAAAGCATAGACAACAAAAGAAAAAACTATGAATTGGTCTTCATCAAAATTAAGAACTTTAGTGCATCAAAGGAAGTGAAAAGACAATTTACAGAATGGGAGAAAATATTTGCAAATAATAGATCCGATAAGAGATTTCTATCCAGAATATACAAGGAACTCCTAAAACTCATTTCTCCAAATGACCAATAAGCACATTAAAAGATGCTCAACATCATTAGTCATAAAGTAAAAGCAAATCAAAACCACAATAAGATACTACTTCACATCTACTAGGATGGCTATAATTTTTTTAAATACAGAAAGTAACAAATATTGACAGGAATGTGAAGAAACTAGAACCCTTGTACTTTGCTGGTGGGAATATAAAAGTGTGGTCACTGTAGACAACAGTTTGGTGGTGATGGTTTTTATATTTTATTGTATCTATTGTAGAGATGAGGTTTTACTGTATTGCCCAGGCTGGTTTTTCAAGAGAGTAAATATAGACCTACCATATGACTCAGCGATTCCACTCCTAGGGAACTGAAAATAACTCAGTAAAATAGCAGAGACTCAGATATTTGTATACTGATGTTCATAGCAGCATTATTCATAATAGCCAAAAGGTGGAACCAACCCAAATATCCATCAACAGATAATAAACTGCCAAAATGTGGTATATACATACAATGGACTATACATTCAGCTATATGGTACATACATACAATGGACTATTATTCAGCTATAAAGAGGAATGAAATGTTGACATATGCTACAACATGGAGGGACCTTGAAAACACTATGCTTAGTTAAATAAACCAAACACAGAAAAACAAATACTATATGAATCAACTTATATGGCTGGAGGGTAGGGGAAGAGAGACTTATAAAATGGCTACAGAGTTTTTGGGGAGGACAAGAAAAAAGTTTTGAGTATAGATAGCAGTAACAGTCATAAAACATTGTGAATGTATTTAATGCTACTGAATTGTACACTTACAAATGGTTAAAAATGATAAACATTAGGTTATTTATATTTTACTACAATAAAAAAGAAGTGAAGTGCTGATGCATGCAACAACATGGATGAACCTTGAAAACACAAGAAGTGAAAGAGGCCAGATACAAAAGGCCACATATTATATCATCTCATTTATAAGAAATTCCAGAATAGGCAAATCTATAAAGACAAAAAACAGATTAGTGGTTGCTTACGGCTTGGAGAAGAAGGACTGAGGGTTGACACCTAAGGCATATGCAGTTTTTTATGGGGTGATGAAAATGTTCTAAAATTGATTGTGATGATGGTTGAATAGCTGTGTACTTACACTAAAGACATTTAATTTTACAATTGACATGGGTCAATGGTACAGTATGTGAATTATGTCTCAAAAAGTTGTTATAAATACAAAAAAAGAAATCATTCAAAATTAAGAAAATTAGACCAAAAATAGAAGGAGGAGGAAGGGGAAGAGGATCTAAAGGGAGAGGAGAGACAGAAGGCAAAGGAGAAAGAATAGAAATTTTTTGAGTCAGCAAACACAAAATTGTAATTTGCTTGTGAAATAATTGTCTATATAAAGTGGACTCTTCAGACAAATGTTGCTGAATTCAAGGTTAGCACACCAAAATCAATAGCAGTCTGTAGCAGGCTGAATAATGTCTCCAAAAAGATACTAGGTCCTAATCCTTGGAACCAAATTAATGTTACCTTGTTTAGATAACATGACTTTGCAGACATGATTAAGTTAAGGAAGTTTAGAAGCAGCCTAAGATATAAGAGGAGAATGTCCCATTAATGCTAAGGGATATGAGTGAAGCAGTAGAGTATGTCTTCCCTTTCAGAGGCTACAGAGAATCCACATATGATTAAGACCACAGGATCTGTCCATTAGGAGACTGTATTAGTCTGCTTGAACTTCCATAACAAAATGCCATTGGCTGGGTGGCTTAAACAACAGAAATTTATTTTCCCACCACTCTGGAAGCTGAAAATCTAAAATCAGGGTGCCAGCATGGTCAAGTTCTAGTGAGGGCCCTCTTCCCAGCTTCACAGGAAGACAGCCATCTTTTTGCTGTGTCCACACATGGTGGAGGGAGTAAGCTGTCTAGTTTCTCTTCTTATATGGGCACTAATATCATCATGAGTGCCTCCTCCTCATGACCTCACGTAAATTTAATTGTTTCCTAGCCCCATCTTTAAATGTCATCACATTTGAGATTAGGCCTTCAATATATGAATTTGGGAGAGGGGAGAAATTCAGTCCACAGCAGAGATTGTTAATGACCGTTGAGACAGAAACTTCAGAAGAGTAGGAGGAGCAGAAACAGACGGTAATGATAGGGAATGGGTGGCAGTAGCCACCTATATTTTTAGCACTTTGTGCCTGGAATATAGTAAAACCTTAATAGATATTAGTTAAATGACTGACCGCTTAGTAGGATTCTCTGAACTTTCACCTGCACCCTTCCTAACTTGGTTGTTACACCTTATCTTGAGTTTCTTCCGCATTCTGCATCCTGCTTCCAAAATCCCTCTGGACTAACTTTGTTTTAAATTTCATAGTTGTTCTAAAGGAAGCACTTGAGGATCATGCCCCCAGTGGAGAGCAGCCAGCCCTGGTCTCTGAAGCTGGGTGTCACATGAGGAAGACCAAGTCTGAAGAATACTATACTAAAAATCTATAGATCATAAATGTGATCATGGATCACAGATCTCAAGTTCCAGAATGCTTTGGAAGGATATTTCAGGGATACGAACTCAAAATATTTTCAGGAGCTGGGGAAATAAAGTAACTGAGTGGACCCAGCTGCATGTAAAGCAATGAGGAGTGTTGATGACTGTGTTAAACTGGGTGTTCCCCAGGTCTAAATGGGGCAGTGAAATGCTGATGCATGCAACTACTCAGTTCCAGCTAACTGTTGCCACAAAGGATCACTGTCCCAGGTTTTCTTATTTCCCAAGAGAAGACATAATCTCAAATTATTATGGAAAACTGCCCAATTGTTAGTGTTACCAATTAGTTCAAATTAGTTGTGGGAGTTCAACAGAGGACACTTGCCCTGAGACAGTTGAGCCAAATAAGACTCGCAAGTTGCTTGTGGTGGTTCCTGCCTTAGATTTTACAAGAAGTTAATTGAAGATAAGTAAAGTTCTACTGCTACAAAATAAGTAGTAAAATGAGGAACCTCATTAACCCGTAGGACACAATTAGGGGTGAGAATAAAAATAAGCTTCCCATAAAGTTTCACTAAATTCATGCAAGGCATAACCAAAATTAGAATTGTCGAGGTTATTCAGAGATGTAAGACACATCCCTAAGTGCTGAAGAAGGTCACACAGGCTATTGACAACACAGCCTTTCATGGCCCCATCAGAACAAACCTTGATGAGGAATGGACAAGAGAATGACAGTATCACCAGTCAACTCAGATCCAGGCTCTCACTGGGAGTGGGAAGGTGAGGGGTGGGGTGTGATGGGTAAGGGGAGTCAGGAAAAAGAGAATGGGTTCTGTTTCCTTGGCCTCGCAAAGCTTCAGTTTCCTCATTTATACAGCAAGGGGGCTGGGCCTGAGATGCTCTCTCAAGTCCCTTCCATGCTGCAGCTTGCACTCAAGCATGGTCTGGTTTTGTTTCTGTTCCCCTACTGTGACACAGTGCTGTTTTCTAACCAGCAGGAGCATGCAACACCTCTTGGACTCGATGAAAGCTGTCGCCACAGGTTTCAACCAGTCAGTACTCTGAAAGAGCATCTTGGGGGAAAAAAAGCGTGTCAGACATTCATCTTCATAACCAGAAAGTGAAGTCTCGCAAAGGAAAAAGACAAGACTAAAGGGAATAAACCATCGTTGTGTGGGCTTTTTCTTCCACTCAGCATCTCTTCCCTTATTAAAATGAGAGGGATAACTTAAGAAAAAAATTCGTGCTCTGGAGGATTAAATTGCACTCATTTATTCATTCATTCTACAAATATTTCTCGAATGCCTACACACTCCAGCCCCGTTCTAGGCTTGGGGGCCACCACAGTAGAAAGACTGGCATGCTGACATTCTTCCAGGACAAGACAGACATCAAATAGCTAAGCAGAAAGACCAAATTCAGACTATAAAGATTTTTTTAGGCTGGATGAGGTGGCTCACGCCTATAATCCCAGCACTTTGGGAGGCCAAGGTGGGTCGATCACCTCAGGTCAGGAGTTCAAGACCACCCTGGCCAACATGGTGAAAACCCGTCCCTACTAAAAAAAATACAAAACTTAGCCTGGCATGTTGGTGGGCTCCTATAATCCTAGCTACTCAGGAGGCTGAGGCAGGAGAATCTCTTGAACCCAGGAGGCGGAGGTTGCAGTGAGCCGAGATCATGCCATTGCACTCTAGGCTGGGCAACAAAAGCAAGACTCCATCTCAAAAAAAAAATAGGTTTCTATAAAATAAGCTATGAAGGAAAGTCACAGGGTGCTGTGATAAGAAATAACCTGAGGAGGTCTGCAGATAGCCTCCATGAAAACGATATTTAAGCTGGAAAGTGGAGAAGGAGCAAGCAGGTCATAGAACTGCTCAGGGAAGGGCTGGAAATAGGAAGTGCAAAGTCTTGAGTCACAGAGAGCTTGGCAAGTTCTAGAAAGGGTCAGAAGGCCTGTTGGCTAGAGCCTGCTGACAAGGGAACGAGTGGACTGGCCTGAGATGGCTGAAGAGGCAGCCAGGACTCGCGTGGCCATCGTAAGGAGTTTGGATTGTATTCCATGGGCAATGAAATTCCAAGAGCTGCTGAAAGGGGTTTAAGAAGGGGACAGCCAGGTGCAGTGGCTACGCCTATAATCCTAACACCTAGGGAGACCTAGGCAGAAGGTTCACTGGAGGCCAGCCTGGGCAATGTAGCAAGACCACTTCTTTACAAAAGATTTAAAAATTAGCCAGGTTTGGTGCTGCATGCCTATAGTCCCAGCTACTCAGACGGCTGCAGTGGGAGGATCATTTGAGCCCAAGAAGTCAAGGCTTCAGTGAGCTATGATCATGCCACTGCACTTCAGCCTGAGCAGCAGAGCAAAACCCTGTCTCAGAAAAAAAAAAAAAAGTTTTTGTTTTTAAAAAGGAACTCCTGGCTTCTTAATGGTGTCATCAGGATTTCAACCCAGACAATCTGGCTCTGTGCTCTGTGTCCCATGCATACCTCCTCAAGTTATTCTTTATCACAGACAGTATCAGATTTTTCCAAAGATCCCCTGGCTTCTGTGTGGAGATTAGATTGCAGGGAGGCAGGAAGACTCCTTCCTGAGTAGGAAGCAGACACAGTTGTCCAGGCCAGAGATGATGGATATGGAGAGAAGCAAATGGGCTCAGGAGCCATCTGAGAGACCATACTGATGGATTGGATGTACATGGTACAGGAAGAGCAGAAATCAAGGATGACCCTTAGATTTTTGACCTGAGACGCAGACATTTGTAGGTACCATTTACTGAGATGAAGAAGGCTGGAGAAGGAGTGGATTCAAAGAAGAAAAAATGGTTACTCCAGGAAGTAAATGACTGGGCTTGGGAACCACTGCCCTAGAGGAAGCTCCTGCACACAATGTCCCATGTCACAGTGCTGGCCATGTCACTGCTCTGCCCAAAACACATCCATCACTTTTCAATGCCACTGAGACAAAATACTGAGCATGGAGTTTAAAGTGCTTTAAACTGGGCCCTTCTCGAGTCTCCAGCCTCCTCTCCTTCTACTTCCTACACACATTCTACCCTCTTTCTATTATTATCATTAATCTTATGTCATTCCACATTATTTGCATTTCCTTGAATATGCCTTTCTCTCCTTACAACTTTTAGCCTTTCAACACATTGTCCTTCCCTAGAACATCCTTCCCTTCTCATCCATTTGCTGAATTCAATTCAACTCCACTCAAAGCTGATACTCCTTCTTAGAGGCCTTTCTGGATTCCTCCAGGCCGAGTTGGGTGTGTTTTCTAACAGAGGTAGCATGATGCTAATTTACAGCACAGAGTCAGATTGTCTGGGTTCAAACCCTGACCACATGACTAAGCCTCCAGGAGTTCCTCAAGATTAGAGACAATAGCTGAATCAACTTTGTACCACCCCAAAGGGCCCAGGACTGTGTTTGGCACATAGTAAGTACTCAGAGTTGAGAATGAATGAATATGTGCCTGAAAGTTGCTTGGTGATGATTCTGTACAGAGGCATAAAAGATTTTCTTCACTGTTCATGCTAGGCTTAGAATCCCCAAACCAAGTTCTCAAATCCTCCCCTAAACTGAAAGTATCCTCCCTGGAGATATACATCAGACATTGCTGAATATCTCAAATGAGAAGCAATTACACTTATTTCCCTCCAGTGCTTTCCCTTCTTTAGAAGAATTTCCCTCTTATGAGCCTGGCATCTACCTTGTCTTGCCTTCCTGGATGCCTCATCCATGCACAAGCTGAGCTCCCTGAGGTGTTAATAGCTGGGCCGGCCGGCTCCCTGGGTCCTTCAGCTCTGTCTCCAGTTCCCAGTAACAATGGCATCAGCCTGCGATCTCGGAGCCATAATGACTTCTAACCCACATGTATGTTCTCCAGGTTTCTTCCTTATTCAGCCATCTAAAAGGTCTCACTTTAGTCTGGAGATTCATGCCGCATACTAGGAGGCAGAGGGGAAAGAAAAATTTGCAGTCCAAAGACCTGAGTTCAAACTAGCCAGCAGATCTTGAGCAATTGCTCTGAATCAAATCTCCAAAATGGGCATAAGAAAGGTTCCTGCCCTGCAGGGGCATTCTGTGTATGGGAAGGTATGTTAAAACGACTTTGAAAACTAAACATTTTCATGTCAAAAGATGAAATTTGGCATCCTGAGAAGGTATTTAGTGATGCTCCCATTCATTCTCTCAATATTGTAAGTACTTTATCAACTAGATAAAGTTGATTAAAATCAATTGTCTGGCATGGCGTGTGTGTGCTCTGTGCCATGGCACACAGTAGAGAAGAGCAGGGCTGGATTCATACTCAGGTCTTTGGGTCTAAGTCCACCTGTTTTTCCATTCTGCTGGACAGCTGGTTTCCAGGTCAGCAGGAAGCAAGCATTCCTGCTCAGGAGGGCAGGCCATAGTGTATGGTGACTTCCTCTGCATATTCCTCTACTCTTGGTCTCCCAAACCCTAGTTTCCCCCCTTTTCTTCAGGGCTTTGGTGCTCCTCAAGACCACAAATCCATCTGTTAAGATGGGGGCGGTCTTTTCTTCTTCCTGAAGGCTTTGGCCCCTGGGCCGAGGCAAGCCCGTATTCATTGCTTCATAACAGTTATTTATACCTCTTCATGGGATTCTCATCCATGCACCACCCATTCAAAATTTCCTGATTAGAGACCAGCCAGTAGCAGTGGTTCACACGTGTAATCCCAGCACTTTGAAGGCCAAGGCAGGAAGACCACTTCGGGTCAGGAGTTTGAGATAAGCCTAAGCAGCATAGCAAGACCCTGTCTCTACAAAAATAAAAATAAAAATTAGCCAGGCATGGTGGTGTGTGCCTGGCATGGTGGTGTAGTCCCAGCTACTCAGGAAACTGAAGCAGGAAAATCTCCTGAGCCCAGGGGTTGGAGGTTCCATTGAACTATGATCATATCACCGAACTCCAGCCTGGGCAACAGGGTGAGACCCCGTTTCTAAAAAACCGACCAACAATAACAACAACATTTTCTGAGTACCTATTATGTGCCAGGTGCTGTCTCAGGTACTTTGGTCACACCAGAATTGAGCCAGGTACAAGTACAGTCCCTAACCTTGAGAACTACCAGCTGGTCTGTGGTGAAGTCAGGATTTGAACCCAGGCAGGTTGTGAGTTTTACATCAAAAGGGTTCTTCGAGTTCATTGAGTCCAATCCTCTCATTTTATAGATGAAAATGCTGCTTCAGTATTGTAAATATTTACAGTATTCTAAGGACTTTGAAACTATGAGATACGTACAAAGGAAGAAAGAGAGGCAAAGAACTTTTAAGTAGCTTGCCTAGGATTGCATAGCCAGGCATAAATGGCAGGGCTGAGATTCAAACCCTGACGGCCCAGCTTCAGTGTCCACACTGTTGACCACTAACCTGTCTGTCTTACTAAATGGGGAGTAGAATGTGGGCCCACTGGAAGCTGCCAGGCCTCGGGTCCACTGCAAGGCACCAGCCCTTCTCCCACATACCTGTCAGGATACCCTCTTCACCACCCAGCATGCCACACAAGGCCTGATCTTGAGGCAGAGAGCAGAAATGGGGTCAGTGGCAGCCCAGGCAACAAACTAGAGAGGAGTTTGTTCTCTGCTGTTTTCTCCCAGCCTTCAGTCAGCCTGGGAGAGTGATTTCCCAGCATCTCCCAAGTCATACAGAAAAGCCCTTGGAGACACAATGGGGGCCAAGCAAATAGCCCCCACCCTCCAGCTGAGCCCTCGCCACTCCTCTCTCGCCAAGTCCTGCAGCCCCTTTTGGCCTTTGCCTGACTTTGAGGGAACAAATCACCAATCTCCAATTAGGACTGACATTTGAGTGGAGAAACTTCAACAGATGGGTTGAGACAGATCTGCGGATTAGATACAGGGCCCTCATGAAATGTCGAGTCAAAAGTCCCCTCTGGGGTCTATCAGGCAAAGCACTCCAACTGGCCCTGAGCAAGGCAGGCCTGTGGAATCTGGACAGAGGCCTCAAGCCTGCCATCTCTGAGCCTGGGCTGCACACACACCACTCCTTGCCTTGCAGCACATTTTTGCAGCTACTTCCTGCTGTCAAAGAACAGACAGACTCATCTCCTTTGTGCTGATGTTTCTGGGTCCCAGCCATGTCAGCATCAGCCTACTTCATGCCCCTGCAATACAAGGAACCTGGTCTGAAAAGCCTTCTAACTCTGCTACTGCTTTCAGGGACCCACAGCCACTTTAAAACCATCACTCATCCCATATTTATTAAGCATACAATATGTGCCAGGCATTGTGCTCAGTGCCAGAGATCAAGTGGTAAATATGGCAAATATGGTCCCCTGCTTTACAGAATTGATGGTCCAATGGGGACACAGGCAATCACAACAAAGACTAATGATTATAGGGCTAGGAAACCTAGCTTAGTCTGGGGGGCCAGGAAAGACTTTCTGGAGGAAATCTGAGATTTAAAACATGAATGGAGTTTAAACAAGCAGAATGAAGAAGAGGAAGGAGAACTGGGCGAAAGAGGATTTGAGTCAGAGAGAGGAACACATGCAGAGGTCTTGGTTTGTGAAGAAATCCTCAGCTTTTAATTAGGGAATGCTGTGAAGAATGTGAGTGATAGGATGGCTATGGAATGTGGAGAAAGGAGGCTGGCAGGACAAGGATGGGCAAGGTCACCAAGGGCTTGTAAACCAAGTTAGAAGTTGTACTTATGAGGACAGCAGAAGCCAGTGTTGGGTTTTATGTAAGCAAAAGTGTGTCTGACTCAGCATTCCATGGTCATGATTCGAGTATAAAAATGAACTGGCCCAGCCAGGCGAAGTGGCTCACGCCTGTAATCCCAGCGCTTTGGAAGACCGAGGCAGGCAGATCACCTGAGCTCAGGAGTTTGAGACCACCCTGGGCAACACTAAAACACAAAAGAGTTAGCCAGGTGTGGTGGCACGTACCTGTAGTCCCAGCTACTAGGGATGCTGAAGCACGAGAATCACTTGAGCCCTGGGGCTGGAGGTTGTAGTGAGCCAAGATTGCACCACTGCACTCCAGCTTGGGCTACGGTGAGACTGATTCAAAAAAAAAAAAAAAAAAAAATGAGCTGGCCCTTGGGCTTGCCGTCACCTCCTCAGATAGGCCTCCGCTGAGCACTCTAGCTTGCCTGGGGAGGAGGGACAGAGCTTTGATGTGAATGGAAGCTGGAAATTGTGATTGTCCCAGGCGTGACTGGTAAGTTATGGGATCCAACTGGGCTATGTTTTAAAGACTTCAACATGGCTCCGTCGATCACATGTCTTGCAAAAAACCAAGCCTTCCATTTCATAGCCAACCAACAGAAGCTCCATCTGGCCCACTTGCTATAGTGAACACCAGAGGGAACCAAAGCCAGACCTTTGAGGAAGAAGTGTGAGGAGGGAGGTGGATGTTTCCCATAAAAGAGTAAACATGAACTTTCACTTTCTCTTGGACTCCAGGGAGGTATCAACAGCAACACTAAAACATTGAAACAGCATTACTTCCGCAAACAACTCACCCTGACAGAGTCTCATTCCTCAAAAAGAATGGTTTTAAAAGAATGGTGTGAACTCCACAAGGTTCAGCAGTAATAGTGAGGGAAACACAATAGGGGAAGGCCTGTGAGCTCATCCTGTGTGGGGAGGGGCCGGCAGGAAGTCCAGGCCCTGCCCTCAGTGACAGCAGGACTCCAACACTCATTCTGGAAGCCAAAATAAAGAAGGGGCGCTGACATGGGGTTGGTTGGGAGAAAGCTGCTTACCTCACAAAGAGGGAAACTAAAACTACCACAAATGTGAACTATGGCTCTGTGAGTGGAGCCAAGGGGAGCGGGATTTCCTCTTGCTGTTCAGGAACAAGGGTTTCATGAGGCAGGTCTCTGGGCCAGACAGAGCCCTCTGTTTCTGCCTGCACATGGCTTCATCCTCAGAGGGTCTTCAGGAAGAAATGAGGCTCGAGTGTTCAAAAGTTCCCATTAGTCTTTACCTTTGAAAGGCCATTTTGAAAAGACTGATGAAAACTTGACACGTGTAAATATTAACCATGTATTGAATTATACACACAGGAATGATGAGCACATCTCATCATCAAGAAACAAGCAGTTATTTTACAAACCACGTACACAATAAAAATCCTTCCATGGAAGCATGTCTCCCCATCTCTGAATACCACAACTCAAGTGTCTAGGTTTGAGGTTTACTCAGGCACTGGACTTTGAGAAGACAGCATTTATTTTTATTTTTGTTTATTTTCTAAAGACAGGGTCTCACTGTTGCTCAGGCTGGAGTGCAGTGGCACAATAATAGTTCAATGCAGCATCAGATTCCTGGGCTCAAGCAATCCTCCTACCTCAGCCTCCTGAGTAGCTGGGACTAGAGGCACACACCACCACACCTGGCTAATTTTTAAAAGTTTTTTGTAGAGTCAGGGTCTTGCTATGTTTTCCAGGCTGCCCTTGAACTCCCGGGCTCAAGTGATCCTCCTGCTGCAGCTTCTCAAAGTGTTAGGATTACAGGGGTGAGCCACTGTGCCCAGTCAGGAGAATAGTATTGATTGATGCATATGAGACTAGCATGCACTAGCATGGACCAGCCTTGACTAAGTCTGGCTCCTGAAAATGAGTTCATAAACCGAGAGTCTCTTTTGGTAATCAATGAAAATGATAAATGGGCTGAGAAATTGACCATTAACTAGGAAAGCTACAGTAATTGGATTCTTTTTTCATCTGGAGAAACGGGTTGAAGAAGAAAAGCCCACAGAGGCTGATGGGGCTTTTGGGAGGAGATCACTTGTTAAGTGTCATTAAATATATAAAAAGTTATGTGAAAAATGGTGAGCAAGATCTTTTTAAATCCACAGAGGAAAAATGAGAAAATGTACTTAACTAGCCACTCAGTCACCTAACCTAGTGGTCCCAACCTTTTTGGCACCAGGGATTGGTTTGATGGAAGACAATTTTTCCACAGGGGTGGCAGGCAGGGATGGTTTTGGGATGAAACTGTTCCACCGAAGATCATCAGGCATGAGTTAGATTCTCTTAAGGAGTGCACAGCCTAGATCCCTCACATATGCATTTTACAGTAGAGTTCACACTCCTGTGATCTGCTGATCTGACAGGAGGCAGAGCTCAGGCGGTAATTCTTACTGGCACTGCTCACCACCTCCTGTGCAGCCCAGTTCCTAACAGGCCATGGACTGGTACCAGCCCACAGCCCAAAGGTGGGGGCCCCTGCACTGAGGACCCCTGCCTTAACCCGTTTTGCACACTCTCTTCCCTCAACTACTATCCTCTGTGTCAAAAGCTATTTGGAGAATCGTGAAGCTTGCTTGTGCTTCAAAACTATGTAAAACTCATTCTAGGACTTTCTCTGCAGTTGTCATTTTTCAAAATGGCTGCCATGAAGCAATTGGCCAGTTTAACAGAATAAAGATCACTAGTAAAATACAGGAGTTCATATGAGTGGACACATTATCTTAGCTATCACATCTGTCCTTGATAGTCCCCTAGCCACCATGGCCAAGGTCACCAGCACCCTGTAAAAATGCTGATAACCAGGCATCAAAGATTTTGAGAACTTTCTAGGCTTCTCTCACATCACACTTGATTTGAGCCCCCTCCCTCTCCAATTCTGCTTCCTAAAACGCCATTCTTTTCCCCCAAACCTAGAGTTTTCCCACAGTCTCTGGGTGGATTACTCAGTTGTCCTGAGATGCAGGTTTTGTTTTTTGTTTCAGCCCTAGTTCATTTGCTGTCTCATCTTTGGTTTTATATTTTATAGCCTATGGGCAAATCCTACCCAGTGTTACTGATCAGCTCCAACACCACAACTCAGCTCCCTAAAGAAGGCTCCTCTTCTCTGGGAGGAGAAAATCAGCTTTTTGGCCATTTGTTGTGTTGTTTTATGGCCCCAAATATGTGAATCAAATAAAAGTTGGTACCCATAGTTTTTAATATTGGTATGGTTTTCATGCAGTAGCTTTACTTTAAGGGGCATCTATCCTAGACGGCCAAATGCTAACAAAAGATCAGGAAGACCTAGCCAACATCTCCCAAATGCCACTCTTTGCAACAAGTAGTGTTAGCATATTACATAAACCATGATTTCATGGTCAAGAAAGTGGCACAAATGCTATGTTTAAGTTTATCATACCTAAACAGTGCTGGCACATAATAGGTATACAATAAGTATTGTTGATTGAATGCATGAACTAAATACACATCTACAGGACTTCTCAGAAGCTTTACTGTTTTGGTGTGCACTATAAATCTCTAAGAGATTTTTCTCAAAACCTGCCCAAGGGATCCCACTCTTATTTTTCAGTGAATGCCAGGTATCATCTCATGGAACACTGTTATGTAGAGGAAATTAGTGTAAGAAATGCTGACCTAGTTCCTTCTCCTCCAAAGTGATATATTCACTATACTCTAGCCAGTTATATCTTTTGACCCAAAGCTACTTAAAATTATTATTTTTTTAAGATGGAGTCCTGCTCTGTCACCCAGGCTGGAGTGCAGTGGCGCGATCACAGCTCACTGCAACCTTCGCCTCCCAGGTTCAAGCAATTCTCCTGCCTCAGCCTCCTGAGTAGCTGGGATTACAGGTACATGCCACCACACCTGGCTAATTTTTTTTTATTTTTAGTAGAGACAGGGTTTCACCATGTTGGACAGGCTGGTCTCGAACTCCTGACATCAAGTGATCTACCTGCCTCGGCCTTCCAAAGTGCTGGGATTACAGGCATGAGCCACCACACCTGGCTAAAATATTTTTAACTATTTATTATAATCAAGCATATTTTCATCCAAATCATGAAAAAGAGCTTCCCACCTATGCATACACCTTTCCATGGAATTCTCCAAAAGATCTCAATAGAAGAGGATTATTGGCCCTTTAGAGAAGTCATATGCACTGAAGACCTTGACTGATTGGTTGAGTCTCCCAAAATAGAAGCTTTTTGGTCATTTGTTGTCTTGTTTTCTGGCCCAAAATACCTGAATCAAATAAAATTTGGCATGCATAGTGTATTAGTCTGTTATCATGCTGCTAATAAAGACATACCTGAGACTGGGTAATTTATAAAGAAAAAGAGGTTTAATGGACTCACAGTTCCACATGGCTGGGGAGGCCTCACGATCATGGCAGGAGGTGAAGGAGGAGCAAGTCACATCTTACATGGCAGCAGGCAAGAGGGCATGTGCAGGGGAACTCCCTTTTATAAAACCATCAGATCTCACAAGACTTATTCACTATCATGGGAACTGCATGGGAAAAACCAGCCCCCATGATTTAATTACCTCCCACCAGGTCCCTCCCATGACACATGAGAATTACGGGAGCTACAATTCAAGACGAGATTTGGATGGGGACATGGCGAAACCATATCATCCCACCCCTGATTTCAAAACCAATCATGCCTTCCCAACAGTCCTCCAAAGTTTTAACTCATTTCAGCATTAATTCAAAAATCCACAGTCCAAAGTCTCATCTGAGACAAGGCAAGTCTCTTCTGCCTATGAGCCTGTAAAATCAAAAGCAAGTTAGTTACTTCCCAGATACAATGGGGGGTACAGACATTGGGTAAATACACACATTCCAAATGGGAGAAATTGGCTAAAATGAAGGGGCTAGAGGCCCCATGCAAATCTGAAATCCAGCAGGGCAGCCAAATCTTAGAGCTCTGAAATGATCTCTGTTGACTCCATGTCTCACATCCAGGTCAAACTGATGCAAGAGGTGGACTCCCATGGTTGTGGGCAGCTTTGCTCCTGTGGCTTTGCAGGTTACAGCCTCCCTTCTGGCTGCTTTCACAAGCTGGCATTGTCTGCAGCTTTTCCACATGCATGATGCAAGCTGTCAGTAGATATACCATTCTGGGGTCTGGAGAATGGTGGCCCTCTTCTCACAGCTCCACTAGGCAGTGCTCACACCCCACATTTTCCTTCTGCACTGTCCTACCAGGGGTTCTGCATGAGGGCCCTGCCCCTGCAGCAAACTTCTGCCTGGACATCCAGGCATTTCCATACATCCTCTGAAATCTAAGCAGAGGTTCCTAAACCTCAAATCTTGACTTCTATGCACCCACAGACTCAACACCATGTGGAAGCTGCCAAGGCTTGAGGCTTACACCCTATGAAACCATGGCCCAAGCTGTATCTTGGCCCCTTTTGGCCACAGCTTGAGCAACTGGTATTCAGGGCACCAAGTCCCTAGGCTGCACAGAGCAGAAGGGCCCTGGACCAAGCCCACAAAACCATTTTTTCCTCCTAGGCCTCCAGGCCTGTGATGGGAGGGGCTGCCACAGGAAGATCTCTGACATATCCTGGAGACATTTTCCCCATTGTCTTGGCAATTAACACTTGACTCCTTGTTACTTATGCAAACTTCTGCAGCCAACTTGAATTTCTCCTCAGAAAATGGGTTTTTCTTTTCTATCACATTGTCAGGCTGCAAATTTTCCAAACTTTTATGCTCTGCTTCCTTTTTAAACATATGTTCCAATTCCAAACCATATCTTTGTGAATACATAAGACTGAATGCTTTTAACAGCACCCAAGTCACCTCTTGAACACTTTGCTGCTTAGAAATTTCTTCCAGCAGATGCCCCAAATCACGTCTCTCAAATTCAAAGTTCCACAAATCTCTAGGGCAGGGGCAAAATGCTGCCAGTCTCTTTGCTAAAACATTGCAAGAGTCATCTTTATTCTAGTTCCCAGCAAGTTTCTCATCTGCATCTGAGACCACCTCAGCCTGGACTTTATTGTCCATATCACTATCAGCATTTTGGTCAAAGCCATTCAACAAGTCTCTAGGAAGTTCCAAACGTTTCCACATCTTCCTGTCTTCTGAGCCCTCCAAACCCTTCCAACCTCTGCCTGTTCCATAGTCGCTTCCACATTTTCAGGTATCTTTACAGCAGTGCCCCACTACCCAATACCAATTTACTGTATTAATCCATTCTCATGCTACTAATAAAGACATATCTGAGACTGGGTAATTTATAAAGAAAAAGAGGTTTTAGTAGACTCACAGTTCCACATGGCTGGGGAGGCCTCACAATTATGGCGGAAGAGGAAGGAGGAGTTAAGGGACTTCTTATATGGCAGCAGGCAAGAGGGCATATGAAGGGGAACTCTCCTTTATAAAACCATCAGATTTCATGAGTTTTATGCACTGTCACAAGAACGGCATGGGAAAAACCTGCCCCCATGGTTCAATTACCTCCCACCAGCTCCACGTGGGAATTGGGGGAGCTACAATTCAAGATGAGATTTGAGTGGGGACACAGCCAAACCATATCACATAGTTTTTAATAACAGTATGGTTTTCATGCAGTAGCTTTACTTTAAGGGGCATCTATTCTAGAGGCTTTAGTACAAGATAACATTTAACATAGCTGTGCCTCAGTGTCCCATGCATCTGTGAGACATCCGCCTCCTCCTGCCTTCTGTGAATGCCAAGAAAACGCATCCACTGATAGATATTAAAAAAAACCTGAAGCTTTCCATGCATCCTGTGCCCCATGTGTATTCACAATTATTTATAATAATATTACATCTACTCAGAAATAACTTATCAAAAGCAGAAAGGAAATTTTATTTTGAAATGCCCTCACAATGTCCAGAAGAGACATTCTGTGGTTTATGCCTTGAAATTTGCAATCTTCTTCATTGTAAGTAACTTCTATACCATCACTCAGAGCCAATTTACATTTTTTTTTTTTTGAGACAGAGTCTCCCTCTGTTGCCCAGGCTAAAGTGCAGTGGTGTGATCTCAGCTCACTGCAACCTCAGCCTCCCAGATTCAAGCAATTATCCTGCCTCAGCCTCCTGAGTAGCTGGGATCACAGGCATGCACCACCACGCTTGGCTAATGTTTTTGGTATTTTTAGGAGAGACAGGATTTCACCATGTTGGTCAGGCTGGTCTTGAACTCCTGACCTTGTAATCTGCGTGCCTCAGACTCCCAAAGTGCTGGGATTACAGGCGTGAGCCACTGTGCCCGGCACCAATTTACTTTCATATCACACATAATTCTCACAATTTTATGAACTTGCGTAAAAGTATAAAAACAAGTTTAAAATTCTAACAGTTAAAAAAAAAAAAACTAGCAGCCTGGGGCTCTTCAGTATGATGGACAAATGTCCCTATTGTAATGATCTACTTAACTCCTTGTCCTGGTACTTCCTTTGTTTTTATAGCTGTGGTCACTATCACTTTACACCTGTAAGTCTAACCAGTCTCTCAAAACTGGAAGCAATCTACCTTGGCAAGGACTGGCAGAAAGGAATGGCTCAATGGCCAGCATCATGCTGGTTTTACAGAGTCTTGCCCTGACAGTAGCACCCCAGTTGTTCACCATCTGAGTTCTGCCACATTCTGCAGATATAGCCCTGCATTGTACCAATCTGGTCCACTTGAAGTCAATTTTGGGCCAGTCTACCTTAAGGACAGTCTAATTCAAAAGCTAATATATTTTTTCTTTTACATATGATGACTACATTTTTCAGAACTAAAAATTAGTACATAAAGTCTAAGGACAAATCATTTTCTGACCTATGAGTCACATTCAGTGGTATGCTTAACAAATTATTTTATTGAAGCAAAATTCATGTAAAAAATAGATTTAGCTACACATGTATATATAATCAGCTATGTAATTTTTAATCATTATGTTGGAATTTTCTTTAAAAATCTGTGCACATGTACCCTAAAACTTAAAGTATAATAAAAAAAGTCTGTGTTATGTGACCACCTTTATTCCATTACCTATAAGCATTCATATTTGCTTATTGAATTAACTTTATTTCTCTATGCTATGGAAATATTTTTGTATATGAAAACTTGTTCACTTCTGTAGAACTGTTGGCAATCTTTAGAGAAAAGATCTAACACAATTGGAAAGATTATTTCTACTATCAGTGACCCTCAATTAGGACTAAATTGACATGCATTTTTACATCTTTTTGTTTTATTTTTCCATATTAATTATCAAACTTGTATCAACAGCTACCTAATATAACACTGGATTGATTTCTAATTTTTCTCTCAGTAATGATTTGGCAAAGTCTAAATCACAGATTGGGGAAATAAAGACTTTTCATTGTTGTTATTTTCTTGATATTATTACAATTTCAGTTATTTGCTCTGTAGTTCCAAAGATAACGTTTTTAAATTCCTGGTTTAGTGGTGGGTTATTTTTCTCTTTTTATTATTGTTAATGTCTGATGTTATTGCCTTTTAAGAAAAACGGTATTTAATATTTCTACTTTTGACATTTATTGAGGGGTTTTGTTACCTAATAAACAGTTTATAGAACACACACACACACACACACACACACACACACACACACACGAACTTGCTTGGGCATTTTGGATTTTATAGCACTAGAAAAAAATGAAGGCTATTTTCTCTCTGAAAAAATTGAAAATAATCCATTTATATGCTTATAGGCATATATGTCCCCTTCTCGGGGGAGAAACAACTGTGACTTCTTAGCCAAATCAAACAGGCTAGTTCAGCTCAGAGGCCTTTTATAGTCTGGGGATCTGAGCCACATTTGCCTCATCTGTAAAAACAAAGCACAGAGCAAGGGCTACTGTCAGTTTCAAACAAAATCATGTTCATGCAAGCGCTCTGAGAGAGACTATAAAGCTAAAAGCATATTATTACCAATGGGATAGGGATTCAAGCTAAGCACCATGGTGTAAATGTGGTCAGGACATGAGGGATAAAGATTCCCAGGAAGCCTCTGAAGGCCAGGCCTGCCTAGTCCTTAAAGCTAAAGAAAGGCACCCCTGGTGGGATGCAAGAGAGACTCAACCTATCATTTTCTGCTTCTGGTCTTAGAACTCTGCTCACCCGACCACCCGTGAGGAGAGAAAGTAAAGTGAAATAGATGGTAATAGAGGAAAGCAAATGTACTCATTTGTATGAGCCTGGCTACATTCATTCTGATCCTTTCCTAAGACAATCACTTTACCTACAAGTGTGGGTGATCTGTCAGCTCTGGAAACAATCCACCTTGGGAAGAATAGGGCAGGATAAAGAGCTTTTATATTGCTCCTATAAAAACTCAACTTTTATACATGTAGCGTTACTCAATCTATAGTTATATAGTATATATAACACAATAGATTATTATACAATTATATCAATTGATCACACTATATTTTGCTTTCTCACATACCTGTCTCCCATACCAGACCATGAGCATCTTAAAGGCAAGGCCCAGGTCTTACTTATATTTTTATTCCCACCTCTGACTGATGGCCATAGTAGACATTCAATACACGCTTATTAATTTGAACTCTGTGTGACAGATCCTGGTTCAAACACTGAGGATAAAAAGATGAATGAGACAATGGCCTGGCCTTCAAGGAGCTCACAATTATCCACTTCCAGTTATCCCAGACTCACTACCTAAGTCTAGAAAGTATTCATGCCTCCTTCTTCTTTTCCTTGTTCTTTTCTGCCCATGGAGTTTCCCCATGGGTTTCATGCCCTTCACTCTTTCATTGCCACTCTCGATTTCAGTAGAATGTTCTTGTAATTGTCCTTATCTGCCACGCTTGTCTTTAATCTGCATTGTTTAAAAAACATTTTCTTTGGCATGGTGAGTGACTAAAGTTTAAAAGTTTGGCATGAAGGTGTCATCAGATATCTCATTTGTTTCCATCTCATGGTGTGAGAGTTTCACTTCCATCCAATATAAACACAAGGGCTGGGTCTGACTAGCATTTAACTCATCAGCTGAGTTGTGTAACAGACCCTTTGTTTTAAGCAATAGAAGAGGCAAGGGGCACCATTATTGTGTTGTGCTTAGGGTATCAGTTGACCTTAATCCAGTCCTGGTCCTTTCACTGCTTGTTAGTAACACTAGTGAAAGGCTTGTTGCAGGAACATAACAAATCTGATCTTTAAAAACAGACATCTTGGTTATCTTGTGCAATCTGGCCTCAGTCTACCTGCTCAGTTTCTTCTTCTTTCAAGTATCCATCCTGTGGTTCATCCCAGTTGACACTCTCTTTCTCCCAAGATCACTCCTCTAAACCGTACACTCTAAACCGTATCACCAGCCTGTTCACTTACCTAGAGTCTACAACTTAGGAAGACAGCTTCAGTTCCTCCTCCTCCACAGGGCCTGTTTGGAGAATGTCTAGAACTCATAGCATATTGCATCAAGTAACAGACATGGAATACATTGTTCAGTGGCCCATGAATTCTCCTGGATTACTCTTAAATGTTTATTTTATTTTACTTTTATTTTTTAAATAGAGACAGGATCTCACTATGTTGCCCAGGCTGGTCTCAGACTCCTGGCCTCAAGCAATTCCCCAACTTTGGCCTCCCAAAGTGGAGGGATTACTGGTGTGAGACACTGCACCCAGCCTGTTCTTAAATGTCAATATATATCATTATATTTTAACCCCCAGTTAGAAGGCCAGTTCCTGGAGGTCTACATCTGTGTTTTTTAGTACAGGGCAACATGAACAGTAGGTGTACAATAAATGTTTGTAAAAACTGTTCTCGAGATTTCCATTATTCATAGAACTCCCACCTGTCCTCATTTTCCTCTTCCCCAAATCACAAATCATTATCATTAGGCTTTAATCCAAATTCAGGCAGATGCGAGAGTCTTCTCTCGGTCTCTCTCACTTAGGGGCAAGTCTACTAGGTGGAGGACATCCCCAGGAAAATTTGAATAAAGATATTTGTGGGAAGTTTGAACTTGGCACTTTCCCTTGCGTGTCCTCCTGAACAGCAGTGGGGAGTTTCTCTTCCTTATTAATGTAAGGTTCTTTCCTGTCATTCAACAAATTAAGGATGGTGGTCCTGAAGGAGGAACCAATAAGAATCTAAACAAGGGCCAAAATTGACAAATGGGATATAATTACATTAAAGAGCTTCTGCACAGCAAAAGAAGCTACCATCAGAGTGAACAGGCAACCTAAAGAATGGGAGAAAATTTTTGCAATCTGCTCATTTCACAAAGGGCTGATATCCAGAATCTACAAAGAACTCATACAAATTTACAAGAAAAAAACAAAGAACCCCATCAAAAAGTGGGCGAAGGATATGAACAGACACTTCTCAAAAGAAGACATTTATGCAGCCAACAGACACATGAAAAAATGCTCATCATCACTGGCCATCAGAGAAATGCAAATCAAAACCACAATGAGATACCATCTCACACCAGTTAGAATGGCGATCATTAAAAAGTCAGGAAACAACAGGTGCTGGAGAGGATGTGGAGAAATAGGAACACTTTTACACTGTTGGTGGGACTGTAAACTAGTTCAACCATTGTGGAAGACAGTGTGGTGATTCCTCAAGGATCTAGAACTAGAAATACCATTTGACCCAGCCATCCCAGTATATACCCAAAGGATTAGACCCAGTATATACCCAAAGGATTATAAATCATGCTGCTATAAAGACACATGTACACGTATGTTTATTGCGGCACTATTCACAATAGCAAAGACTTGGAACCAACCCAAATGTCCATCAATGATAGACTGGATTAAGAAAATGTGGCACATATACACCATGGAATACTAGGCAGCCATGAAAAAGGATGAGTTCATGTCCTTTGTAAGGACATGGATGAAGCTGGAAACCATCATTCTGAGCAAACTATTGCAAGGACAGAAAACCAAACACCACATGTTCTCACTCATAGATGAGAATTGAACAATGAGAACACCTGGACACAGGAAGGGGAACATCACACACTAGGGCCTGCAGTGGGGTGGGGGGAGGGGGAAGGCATAGCATTAGGAGATATACCTAATGTAAATGATAAGTTAATGGGTGCAGCACACCAACATGGCACATGTATACATATATAAAAAACCTGCACATTGTGCACATGTACCCTAGAACTTAAAGTATATAAAAAAAAAAGAATCTAAACAAGGAAGTCTCAATATCTCAAGAATCTACATTCGGCTGAACTGAGTCTCCATAGCCATAGCAAGGACGGTTGACCTGAGCAAAGTAAGTAAGGAAATGAGTTTGCAGAAGTGCAGAATGATAACAACAATGAACCTCAGCTGCCACTGTGTGCATACCATGAGCCACCAAGCACATCACATTATAGTCATGCCTTCATCTAATCCTTGCAACACTCCCATGCCAGCAGGATTATCATTATCCCCGTTTAACAGATGAGCAAGCGGGGGCTCAAACTGCTTAGTGACACCAAAGCCTGACTTCAGAGCTTGTTAACCCCACCACTACAGCACACTGAGTGGGACTTTTCTAACCACTATTGAAGCTCAACCCAAGAAATGAAAATGTATTCACCATGACCAGAGTATTCTTTATAATCATGAGTTGATTTTGAAGCTAACTTTCCTAAAAATGGCTCCAAATACATTTTAAAGTAATTCCCAAGTATCTAGGCTTATTATGTCCAAGTAAGCTCTGAGGATTACAGAATAAAATAATTATATGACACAGCAACACCAACTTCCTGCTTTGGCCAATCCTGCAAGCCTCATCAACCACAGGCAGAAAAATTAATTGACTCAATTGGGCAGAACAGAGCAGAGCAGTGCTCCAGGTGAGTCGTTGTGACCCAGCCAGTGATCCAACCTTGACTTCTGAGCTCTAATTGCCTTTACTGTAGACATGATGAGCAGGACTGAAGATAGGAAGATAGCATCTCATTATGAGTCATTCACCTGCTGGAAGCGGGTGACTGACAACTTGAGGTTTTTGGCTCAGTATTCTAGAGCAATGTTTTAAAAACATTAGTTATCTGTTAGATCAATTTACTGAGTAGTAACCAACATGACAGAAAGAAAAAGGAAATAGGGAAAGAAAAAGAAGAGGGGTAGAGCAAGGGAAGGGAAGGGAAGAGAACAGAAGGGAAGGGAAGGGAAGGGAAGGGAAGGGAAGGGAAGGAAGGAGGGAGGAAGGAAGCAAGGAGAGAGAGAAGGAGGGAGGAAGGAGGAAGAAGAAAAGAGAAAGAGACAAAATAAAGTGCATTCATACAGTATGAGTAAGTACTGTTTTGTGAAACAACTTCCAGTTGAAATAATTATTTAATATACATGTTTACTGAAATACAATTTCAACATGTATTTCTTACTGTGGTTGCAGTCTAAAAACATTTGAGTAGCACCGGCCTTGATCTTCAAAGTAAAAAATTATTTAAAACACAGACTATCAAATTTCCACAATTGTTGGGCTAAGTTGGAAACACTTCCAAAGTTTTCCTTTCTACCAACCTAACAGCTCACTGTACAAGTTTGAGAAGAGACTTTCAGGTTTTTTCACTGTGTCTGAAGGTTCTCTCCCAAACTTTGATCCTCAATTTAAGGAGACAGAGAAAACACGAGTGATCACTTCTGAAATGCTTTTTCTTAACCACCTAAGAAGGCTTCAAATTTTAAATTTCTGCTCACTTTAGGGTCGTGCACTGAGTTTTGGGTGCAGACCCCCGGTGAACCCATACTGAGCAAGTGGCCCCACTCTGTGCTCCCATTGCAACTTGACCATACAAAGATGTCACAATCTCATCACTTGTCTCTCGCCAAATTGTAAGTCCCTCATGTCTGGAACTATGTATCCCTGTGTTCCCACAATTCAGTGCCTTACATGTAGTTTTGGGCACTTTCTAAGTGTTTGGTGAATTAAAAAATGAGCAAATCTGCTATCTTTTAAGATCCACTAGGTGATGTACCACATTTAAATTTGCTAAGTTATTTCATTAACCAGAGGGTTAACGAGATTTGCTTGCATAGTGCATGTCTGGCTTTGAAATTAGAATTCCTCCTCTTGCAATTACCAGGATTAAGTGAAGGCCTTCAAGTTACAGTGAAGGATCTGGGAGATGTGTGTTCCCATCCCACAATTTACAGCCTCCAGTGAGAGTTGCCCATGGGACAATTATTTGCATTAGAACACAAAGAACAGCTGGGAGAGGAAGAAGAATTATATCTGGGACAGACTCCTGAGCAAAGGAGAAAGGGGTCAAGCCCAGTTTCTCAGAGAGAACCTCCCCAGGGGGATCAGGAACATACCCAGAAGCCAGAGAAGATGCTGGGATGCCATACTGGAAACCAGTTGAAACTTGGTGAGGAGAGACATTTCTAGGGGGCACCTGCTTGATGCCTCTCAGCTGCACCCCAACTTTTCTCCAAGTGGAATTATACCAATCCTTGAGAGAGAGGGTGATTAAAAATTGAGACTATATACCATCCTTTCTGTGCTAATTCAGGAGATGTAACACTGGAGGGGAGGGCCTATCTCCTCTCAGTCCGCTAAATGTGAACTTCCCCAGCAATAATGTCCTCACCGAGATAGCTTTAAGATTAATCCTTAGAACAGAGGAGACCATGGCAGTAGCAGCTCCTGTTCAGACCCTGCAGAGATGGAGTCTGGAGCCTACAGCAGCCACAGAAATACTTGAAAAGGGATCAAGAAGAGCGATGGAGACTCTCAGAGACTTTGAGGAAAGGAGAATCCTGAGATGAATTCTGGTCCAGACTGTTGCTATAGGGGCAGAAACGAAGTGATCCCTTTCCTCCCCATCACAAAGGCTCGCAGCCAACACCACATAACAACAACAACAACAAAACCAGGTTAACAAGAAAGGCATAACCAATGTATTACATGCACATGTGTGCATAGGAGTCATACAAAATATGAACTCAAAGAGGGGCTGGATGGTTGAGGCTTAAATTCCCTCTTCATAGGAGAGAGGAAAATGGGGCAATGAATAGACCCAATGCTCGGATAATAGCTAGTAAATAATTCTCTTTGGGAAGGTGAGGGGAAGAACTGCACAGGAACAAAGGTTATTTTATTATGCAGAAAAAGACCCCCAGGTTATCTCTCAGAGCTGCCCTTAGGAGAATAGAAGAAAAGTCTGTCTGGGTGTGGTGATAATTCCAGGTTCTTCTCTTCTCTGGTGGTTAATCTCTCCTGGTTATTTGATGAGATTCCTGGGGAAGGTGTTTAAGACAATTGCAATTTTTTTTTTTTCTTTTGAGAGAGTCTTGCTCTGTCTCACAGGCTGGAGTGCAGTGGTGCAATCTCGGCTCACTGCAAGCTCCACCTCCTGGGTTCAAAGCAATTCTCCTGCCTCAGCCTCCTGAGTAGCTGGGATTACAGGCACGTGCCACCATACCCAGCTAATTTTGGTATTTTTAGTAGAGATGGGATTTCATCATGTTGGCCAGGCTGGTCTTGAACTCCTGACCTCAGGTGATCCACCTGCCTTGGCCTCCCAAAATGCTAGGATGACATGTGTGAGCCACTGCCCCTGGCCAATTCTTTCTGAAGTTTTTCTCAGTCAGATAAGAATTCCACAGAGAGCCCTTTCCCTGCACTTCAGGGGAAAGAAAAAGGCAAGGCTAGAGGGACCTTGGTTCTGAGGCAGCTTCTAAGGCCCCTCAGCGTGTCTAAGCACCAGTCTTTGAGGTATCACTTTCTGAGCCCCATCATTGGGAAGCCGTGGAAAATTGAAGTTAGCTTCACTCCTGTCACCATTATTAGTGAACCCACTGTCTGACCTTTCCCAACTGATGTGGCATGGCAAAAAATAGGCACCTCCCTCCCAGCACTGTGGAAAATCCTTCAGCATAAATCAGCCTTTTTCCAGATAATTCAGATATCTGCCAGTCCAACTCTGGGAAGCTCATTTATGTCCAGGAAATGTGTTCGTGAGTCAGGCCCTATAAGCATAATTTCATTATTAGAAAATGTTACTATTCTATGAGGAACTATAGATTGGGACTCTACCTCTTGGCCTATTTTAATTTTAGGATATGGGGTTCCATTGTGTAATGCACACTTCTGTATGAAGCCACAGAAATCCCTTCTGAAATTTTCAGTTGGGTAATACTCTTGTTTCTATTCTGTTATCACATTAATTAGCTGAAAACTTGTATCAAAACTTCTAGGAATTTTTAAAGCATTGTATAACTGTTGAAAGAGACTTACACAAAGCAATACTGCCATTGACTCATGGTTTCCAATAAGAGGGATAAAAACCAAGACTCCTTATTTCTTAAGAATAATCTATCCATTGAAATGTCATCTACTTGTTCTATTAAAGACCTTTGCTGCTGCATGATGTATTAGCTCTTGGGAAGTAGAGTCTGTCCTTATGTTAAAAGAAAGAGAAAACATTAGGACCTTATGTTTTTAAGATTTTAATTTCTATGCTGCAGGTTAGAATGGAAAATTACCAAAAACAGCCGTAATACCTGCCATTTGTTCTGTATTTACCATGAGCCAAGTGCCTTATATGCAATATCGTATTTAATCCTCAAAATCATCCTAGCAGCAAAGCTGACACTCTGCTACTACACAATAGCAGATTGTTAAACTACAGAAGTATTTCTTTACTGGTTGGTATATACTCACTGCCCTGAACCCACTGAGTAACAGCCCCCTCCCACTCATGCATACACACTCTACCATTACCTTTCCACTTCCAGGACTGTTCCATGATTCAGGACTGAAGTGTTAATGCCAACGACTGTTGCGATTGGTCAGTGACCATCCTGTACTTGTGGCTAAATATCTCTAATGTCACCCTTGCCTATGGAGTAGATATGGTTATCTTCATCTGGAGATGAGGAACCAGAAGCTTTAAGGAGTATGACAGACTCTATTTTCCAAAATTGGCTAAAAATAATTTCCAATCATTCATGCTCTTCAAGAAACTTGTCACTTCCCTATCAAGAGTTGGAGTCTATCTCTCATCCCTAGAAACTGTGTGGGCCTGTGTGGCTGTCTCAATGAATCGGATGTGGCAGATGTATGACTTCTGGAGCTGGGTTATCAAAGGCAATAACAGTTTCCACTTGACTCTCTCTCCAGACACCTGCTGGTGGATTACAAACACCATGTAGAAGAAGTCCAAGCCTCAAGAAGAGGTCACGTGCAAGTGCTCTGGCCAAAAGCCTCAGCTGAGGTCCCAAACATGTGAGTGAATGAGCCTTTAGATTATCTCATCTTCCAGCTGTTGAGTTGGTACTCAACCTTAACTTCCAGCTAAGGCCCCAGACATTTTGGAAAAGTGACAAATTGCCCTGCTATGCCTTGTCTAAATTTTTGACCCCAAAATTTATGAGTATACAATACAGGGGGAATTCTTTATATGGCAATACATAATCATAACAGAAAAGCTAAACAATTTGCCCAAGGTAATATAGCTTGTACTTGGTGAAGCCAGGATTTCAACCTAAAATTACCTGACTTTGAAAGCAAGCATTCTTAACTACCAGGTGACATTGCTCCTGTGAGTAAAACTCCAAGAGGCAACATGGTAGGGTAAAGATGCTAGCTGGACCATCTTTCAGCTGGACATATGAGGTTGATGAATGGGCCAGGGCTGGCATCATTCTCCATGGTGTTCACCCAGGCTCCTCTTATTTCAAGGCTCTACCATGCGTGGTTTCTATTCCTAACATAATCTCCTGGCCCAAGATGGCTGTTCCAACTCTAGGCATCATATCTCCATTCCAGTCATAAGGAAGATGGATAGAATAGAAGAGCAGGCACCCCTCTTTTCTAGAAAACATTCTGAAAGGTACAGACTCTATTTCTGCTTACATCCCACTATTCAGAAATTAGTCACATGGCACATCTAGCTGTAAGTGATGTTGGGTGATCATGTATCCAGCTAAAAACTAGGGGCATGTTTCAGTAGATTCTAGAGTATAAAAAAAGAGCTCTAATATTGGAATAATTGGCAATCTCTGCCATAGAAAAGAAAGGAGATTGGGTAGGAAATGAATGTTTCCAGTTGGGAGCCATGATAATCCCTCACTTTCTTTACTTCCTCCAATACTTTAAAAAATGTTTATCATCTATTATTAAATATCTTCTAGAGGATTTAAACTGATTCAACTGTAAGAGTTTTTGGATACCCTGAGACAACACAAATCTCCTAACTGTGTTGTAAGGGTAGATTTGCCCTGAAAACAATCTGAGCTCAAACTACTATGGCCCATCATACTCCAGAAAACTGGAAATGCTAGGCAGATCAAGAACCCAACAAGAAAAAATTGTGTCCTGTTTAGACATCATACCACAGAAAGCCATACAGAAAACCTCATTGAGAAATAAAGGTTATGATGAACTTTGCAAGAATCCATTTCCAGTGAGCAAGATGCATTTCTTTCCTCTTAAGTGTATCTAGAGTATTTCAGATGATGCCTGCTCAGATGGCTACACTAATGAGCTGATTTCACTGATTACTCCCTGAAATTGGAATGTCTACTCTTTTCACTTCCAAGAATCTTCCCAACATGAAAAACATTTGGATGGGTGGGGGTGGAAATCACAGCATCCCTTAGAGCAAACACACCATTTAAAGTTCTTATCACAAGACTCTGAGTTGGATATTTTCCTGTGCTTGATGACTTAGTCATAAAAATTCTTTAAAGGAAATTAAAATGCAATAACCAATGGTAGTGAGTTTAAAGGGAGGAAAATTATAGCATCCCACAACACAGATCTGGCCTTATATCATTTTGATGTTTGAGCTGAAAATTTGATACCGTGTAAGCAAATAAAATGGAAAATCAAATAAGGCTTAACAATAGGGAGATATGGCTATATATGAAACGATCTGTTAGCACAAAAAAATGCTGAATCTGCTCTCTGAATTCAAGTCTATTTGATCTTAGAGATGTTTCCAACTCGTTTCTACAAGAAAAGGGGTTACAGCTTGCATAGAATGTTCCACCTAGGCCTTTGGGATGAGGTTGGGAAAGGATATGTAACAAGAAGACCTGATCCTATGAATTTCTCCCTGGCATTTGATCCAGAAATTAACCTGGGCAAGAGCTCTGAGACCTGTACTGTATGACGAAAAAGGGGTGGGCAACTGGGTGAGAGAAGAGGGGACATCTGTGTGCAGAAAAATTTTGCTATGAATATTTCCCTCAGCCACATGTACAGCCCACTTAAGTAAAATAAAAGTAGCTTGAGTTTGCATAGTATTTTGTGATGTGCAAATAGGGCTCACAAACATAACCTTTAGCCCTCTATAAGGCTCTTGGCAGCTTGTAGGGAGGCATGATTGACTAAATAATTCTGATAAAGAAAACTAAGATTCAGAGCAGTTGCAATTTGCCAGCTGGTGAGCAGTGACCAAGCCAGGTCTTATGCTGCTAAATAGATTATTCTCTCCACTACACCACTGCTATGGTTTGAATGTCTCCTCCAAAACTCATGTTGAAACTTAATCCCCAATGTACTATGACAGTACTGAGAGGTAGGGCTTTTAAGAGGTGACTGGATAATGAGGGCTCTGCCCTCAGGAATGAATAAATCCATTTATTGATTAATTAATGGGTTAATGGATTAATGGGTTATCATGGGAGGGAAACGGGTGTCTTTATAAAAGAGGAAGAGAGACTTGAGTAAGCACTTTTGCAAATTAACATGCTCAGCCCCCTTGCCATGTGATATCCTGCGCTGCCTTGGGACACTGCAGAATCCCCACCAGCAAGAAGGTTATAAACAACAGAAAACAGACTAAGACAATCACCTCTCTCTCTCTCAATGTATCTATCATTATCTCTCAATCTCTACTTTCCCAGGAGTCCAGACTGCAGAAGCACATACAACATAAGTTCAGTGGTTTTAAAATATGTCCACAAATTCTTCAATACCCATCCCTTTAAATGTGAAGCCCAATTCCTCGTCCTGTCAGCATGGACCAGATTTAGTGACTCACTTCTAACAAATAAAATATGGTAGAAATGATTAGGTCATGAGTGGCATTGTGGCATTGTGGCCTCGTCCCTGCTCTCTCTTGGATCACTCACTCTGGGGGAAGCCTATAGGCTTTGCTCACAATGTGATTACTTAAGATACCTCAGGAGCCAAGCATTGTATTTGAAAACGGTCTAGCAAAGAAGATAATTAACAGATGAAAAGTAGGAGGTTGAATTTAAAAAGAGGTTACATACTTAATGGTTCCAACTCTATGACATTCTGGCAACGGCAAAACTATGGATACAGTATAAAGATCAGTGGTTGCCAGGTGTTATGGGAGAAGGAGGTAGAGCACAGAGGATTTTTAAGGCAGTGAAACTATTCTGTGTGATACAGTAATGGTAGATACATGTCAAAATGCATTGTACCCACAGAATGTTCAACATGAAGAGTGAACCCTAACGTGAACTATGAACTTTGAGTGATAATAATGACTCTTCAAAGAAGAAATGACTCTATTACCTATGGCCCCATTTTACTCTGTAACATCTCAGAAAATGGAGAGAACCCCCAGATGATGAAAATGAAATATTAATGTGCTTCTTAAGCACGTTAATACTTAGCACTGGGAGACCTGCCCATTGCTAAGTATCTGCTTTAGCAAGAGGACCTGACGTTTCCATTCAACTATATTCTCTAATCCCAGACCCTGGAAGCCTGTGGAACCACTCATCTGGCCCCAGGTAGGGGTTTCAGAGACCAGCTGGGTGCTAGGATGAGGTGGGGCTGGTTTGTGTGCTGTAAGTCCAGAGCCCAGGGCACTCAGACAGACAAAGGTCGCATCAACAGTCAGACCTGCTGCAATGGAAATGAAGGGCCAGGCGTAGGGAGCCATGAAGAGGGAGGCAAATCAGACAATGGGGCCAGGAGCATGGAGACCCTCTGAGATGGAAAACATAAAAGCTGAGACCTTTTTATAAAACATCACTCTCAAATGAGGAGAGAACTGCTAAGGTGTGGCCCTTAAACTGTGCCTTTCTTTCTCATAGGGCTATTGTAAGCACTCGGTGAACTCATACATTTATAAACACTTAATACTCTGCTTAGCACATAGTAAATGCTTAACAAAGATTAGTTATTGTTGTTACTGTTGTTTCTAAACCTAAACAGAAGCTGCAACAGCTCCAAGAAAAGAAGTGCCGGAGGAACCCACACACCCCTCAGTGACAAATATGCATCTTGACAGCATGCTAGCAGTTCTCAAAAAGCATTCTGCTGAACTGATGCCTTCTGCTTTAGGAGATGGGCCATTTCAGCCAAGGCACCAGAATCCCACCAGCTACAGTCCTGCCTCACCCCAGGCTTGGAAAGCCATGGGGGCTGTCCAGGGTTGAGGGCTGCCCAGGTTGGGGCTTCCAGTTCTGTTGCAGTGTGCACTATGGGAACACTCCACACTCATACAGTCAGCCTCAACCTTGGCCCTTAGCATGTGGTAGGCAAGGAAACACTGTTTGCTTCTTGCAGGAGGAGACGTGACCTGAGAAAATCAAGTTGCCATTATCTCAGGCACAGGCAACCCTGAAGACTATATCAATTCCCCCAGTTTATTGAAGGAGATGTTCCTAGGGTTATCTTTAGAATTCCCACTCCAAATGCTTTAGCAAGAAGAGAATTTTATTGATTAGCAATGAGATGAAACTACTTCTCTTAGTCATCACAGTCATAGAAGAAGGAGCCTTGGCTTGTCAGTAGGACAGAGAAAATACATGTTGTTAAAAAAAAAAAAAGACGTAGATAGCGCTCCCAGGGAACTTTCACTTCCTCCCTGGTGAAGCAGCTCTCCTTATCTCCATCTGTGTTTCTTGTGGCCAAGAATGGAAGATTCAGAAGTCTGGGGCTCCTTATACAGTTCACTATAGAGACCTATTCTCCACAAATATTCCAGCATCTGTGCTGTATTCTCAGTTAAGTTGACTTTTAGATTTGGATGCATCTGGTAATGTCAGTCATTCATTCAGAAACGTGTATCAAGGACCTCTCATGTGTCAGGTGCTGTGCTAGGACCTGGGAGTGAAAAGATGGATAAGATATATTATCTGCTCTCCAGGAAATCTGTCTGCCTGGTGAGGTCACAGACATGAGGAAAAAATAATGTAGTAAGTTCTGCCAGTATAGGACAGGTATGTTATTATAGGACTCCACGGAATATACAGGGTCTATGTCCATAATTCATCACCTGATGAATGTCTTAGAGTTTACCCCTGTCTGGGAGAGCTGTGTTTTAACAAAAATGCTAAAAGACAGAAAGACTTTCAAGATGAAAAGGAATTGATCTGTAGGGTAGAAACTTCTTACCAGTAATAAATATTTGGGGGCAGGGATTTTCCTGTTGCATTTCAATCATCTGAATCCACTCCTATTAGAAATCAGTCCTAGGACCCATGTTTGTAATTCAAATGCCCCCACCCTCAGGCTGAGTATCTTATTAAAAAAATCACTCAATAGTAACAGGTTTCTCCATGGGAAGTAGAAGACTTGTTTGCTGTTGAGAAAAGTAGGATTTTTACCACATCTTTATGCTTAGGACACGATTTCTCCTAAGGTCCAAACCCCTTTTCAGGGGAAGAAGACGCCGGGAGTCTCTTGCTAATGCATCATTATTTATCTGGTAAAGGGGTGCTAAGTTGGGTTCTGGCCAGGGAGAGGAGACCATCCTGAGTCTGTCCAGCAGCATCAGCTAAAATTAGGCATTATCTCAGCTGGCAGCATCTCTCTCCTTTGTAGAAAGCTATTATGGGAAGTAAAGTGATCTAGTTCTTGCCTTTTTACAACCAGTTTCTGGCTACGAATGATGTCACTGGATGATCTCAACTGCAAAGAAAAGGTGAAGTGCCCTGCATGCTTCTGGCATCCTGGAAAGAGCCCCAGCTTTTAACTCTGCCCTGCCCACTGCCACTGACCATGGCCAAAGTTAGGACCAGTCCATCGTGGAGCCCCATTCCTGCCAGAAGAAGACACTTATTTTAAAACAAACAAAACTGGAGGAATAACCCCCTGAAGTTGAATATTTAAAGAATATCCAAACGACAAACACTGTGGGAAGCAGTCCAAGCAAGAAACCCAGGACAAATAAAGGACATATATAGATCCTCACCCTGCCCTCAAAGTGTTAACAACATACCTGCAAATACATCTCCATAGAGCAAGACTATCTAAGAGTCACCTCTATCCAGGGCTTTATGAGCAACTGATATACTAAATGCTGTAAAAGGGAAGAGGAAGAGGAGGAGAGCAATTCTGTGGTCTGGGGTGGTCAAAGAATGCTTTACAGAGGACATGGGGCTTGAGTTGGGTCTTGGATCTCAGAAAAAGGTAAGACAGTCCCAGAACCAACAATTGTAACTCAAATGACATTTTGGGCATCTGAGTCAGGAATCTGAATTGTTCATGTAAGCAGTATGGCACATTAATTGCTGAAGCTTAGGTTGGTTCACTTATTAATTTCTATTAAGCTAGAAATTGACCTTAACTGGAAAAGACTTGTTTTTATGAAATGACTAAATCAATTTAAATGGAAATAAACCAACGTATTCTTCCAATATGACTGATTCAAACTAAAACAAAGGCATTTATTCAATCAACAAACACTGAGTATCTGCTAGTGCCAGTCAATGTTCTAGGCACTGGAGGCACAAAGGAGAATAAGACACACAAGTTCCTGCCTGTGGAGCTTACAGTTTGGTAAGGGAAAGACAGACAATAAAAAGATTAAATAACAAGGATGTATCAGGAACAGATAGGATGAAAATAAAACCAAGTTGTGTATTAGAACTATTAATTCAGATTGGGTGATCAGGGATGGATTCTCTGGGAAAATGACATTTAACAAGAAACATAAATGACAAAAAAAGGAGTTAGAAAGGTCAAGATGGGATGGTGGGATCATTCCAGGCAAAAGGAACAAATGCAAAGGGACTAAGGTAGATATAAGCTTAATGTGCTCAAGAAGTAGAAAGAAGCTAAAGGGTGGAAAGTGATGGACAAGGGAGAGGGTGGCACAAAATTAGTTAGATAAGCTAGGCAAGGCCATGTCACGGGCCTTGGAGATGCAGTTTTGATCTTAAAGGGGTCATAGGAAGTATGGTTGGAGAACAGGAGACAGAATTTAAGCATTGCAATAGTTAATGTTATGCAACAACTTGACTAGCTAAGGAATGCCCAAATCATTAGTAAAACATTATTTCTGGGGTGTCTCTGAGGGTGTGTCTGGAAGAGATTAGTATTTGAATCTGTAAACTGAATAAATAAGATCCACTCTCATCAATGTGGGTTGGCATTATCCAATCCATTGCGGGCCTGAATAGAACAAAAGGCAGAGGAAGGGTGAATTTTCTTCTGTTTGAGCTGGGACATCATCTTCTCCTGCCCTCAGACATTGGGACTCCTGGTTCTTGGGCCAGGACTTCCACCATAGGCTCCCCACCCATCTCCTATTGGTTCCATTTCTTTGACATCCCCTGATTAATACAAATATGGATCTCCTCTGGTTCCCTCTGGGCTCTTCAGCAAGTCACTCACCAGTCTAAAACTGGATCTTCTTGTCTCCACGAGAAAAGAAGAAGTTAGCTTTCATCAGTCACTCTGTGTGTGGAATGTTATATAATGTTGTGCAAGACATTAGGTTGGTGCAAACTTAATTGTGGTTTTTTATTTGCACCAACCCGATACATAAAAAATTTTAAAGACATTATTATTATTAACCAGATGCCAACTGCATTTATAAAATTTTATTTTCTTAGTCATCTCAATTTTGTAAATTAGTTTCAAACCAACAAAGCAAACTCCATTTTGTGCTTAGGAGAGGTGTACACACTAGGCTAGCAAGCCCTGTGGGAGTCTATTTATAAAAGAATAAGAGAGTCAAGGTTGTGTTCTGAATGCCCATTTTATATGCATGGCTTGAGTTAAGTTCTTTATGCATAATTCATATGGTCATTTACAGGCTTTTACATGACTCTTCCTTTAAGAGTTAACTAACAAAGAGGACATTATCAGCCATGGCACCAGGATATTATGCAAATCTTTCTATCTCTGAGCCAACAGAAAAGGGGATGGGTTGATTAATTAAAAAGATGAAGGAGGAAATGGGGGGTTCACACCCCTCTTGATGTTACTCATCATTTATTAATGTATTTAACTGAAAATAATTTTGAAGGATAAATGTGACTGTGTATTACCTCTGGTTGTGAAGGCACTGCTTAACCCTGTGCATAACCATTTGAGTAGATGGAAAATGTTTGATTTCATTCATTTCACAAGAAGCCCCACAATATGCCATCTGTAACCTGGAGAAGCAGGCAAGCTGGGGTGTAATTCAGTTTGAGTCCAAAGGCCTTTGAACTGGAGTGGGGGAGTAGGTGTCGGAGGGCAGGGGGTGCTAGTTTAAGTCCCTGAGTCTAAAAGCTTAAGAACCAGGAGCTGCTCCAATGTCTGAGGGGAGAAAAAGATGAATATATCAGCTCAAAAGTGAGAGGGAGTCCACCCTTGCTCCCCCATTTTGCTGTATCCCAGTGGACCCTCACTGGACTGGATGATGGCTGCCCACATTGGGGAGGGCAATCTTCCTCACTCAATCTGCTGATTCAGTGCTAATCCTTCCCAGAAACAGCCTCACAAACTCACCTAGAAATAATGTTTCACCAGCTATCTAGGCATCCCTTAGCCCAGCTTGACACATAAAATCAATCATCACACAATATAAGTAAAAATATTTGTCTGTATTTACCTTCATACATCGTGAGAGGGGCTACACAAATGTATGAACAGAAGGAGGCAGGAATTATTGGGGGCCATCTTGAAGACAGGTTACCACTGCCCTGTCACTATTAAACCATATATTAGCCCTGGACCAACTATACGGATTTTTGCTTTTGAAAAACATAAACACCTATCATGTTTATGCTAACATACTTGGAGTCTTTTTCTTACATCTGCCTAATCTATCTCCTAATGAAACCACTAATTTGCCACACAAAATTAGAAAAGCCAGCTGGAATCAGCTCACAAAGGGCCCTCAATGCTAAATTAAAAGCTTGGGCAAACCACTGAAGATTTTTGAATACTATTTTCAGTAGATTAATCAATCAGGCAACGGAATGGATCACAGTGAGGAGAGCCTGAAGTCAAGAAGATAATTCCAGGGGCCGTTACCTGAACTAAAATGGTGGCCATGAGAGTTAGAAGAAGTGCTAGATGTGAGAGACACTGAGGAAGAAGAGTCCCCAGGACATGAAGAGTGACCAGAGGTGTGAGGCAAGGGAGTTGGAGGAGTCAGGATGACCTCCATCATCCTGGGGTGTCTGGGGGATATGAGGTACTGTTAGATCATCTCAACAAGACACATGCATATTTTAACAACTCTGGAGCAAATAATAGAATTCTCTAAAGGGGTAGGCTGTAATGGGAATGTCAGGCAATGGAGAACAGGCAGTGAGAGAACTTCATCTGAGGCCAAGCCAAACCTAGATGGGTCCTTCAAAACCCTACCTCAGCTGGGCGTGGTAGCTCACGCCTGTAATCCCAGCACTTTGGGAGGACGAGGTGGATGGATCACCTGAGGTCAGGAGTTCAAGACCAGCCTGGCCAACATGGTGAAATCCTGTCTCTACTAAAATCACACAAAAAAATTAGCCAGGTGTGGTATGCGCGCCTGTAATCCCAGCTACGCGGGAGGCTAAGGCAGGAGAATCACTTGAACCTGGGAGGCGGAGGTCGCAGTGAGCCAAGATTGCGCCACTGCACCCCAGCCTGGGTGACAGAGTAAGACTCTGTCTCAAAATAAATAAATAAATAAAAATAAAACCATATCTCATTAGACTGCTGTTTTAACAATAGGGCCAGCATTTGTCACCCAAATCAGTGATCAATGAAATCACCTCATAAGGCACCATCCTCATGCTGGCTTCCTCCCTCCTCAGCTCTTCCACAACATGTCCTACTGTCACCTGATTGACAGCTTCCCCTCTGTCTCTTCCTTTAGTCTGTACCTCTTCGGGTATAAGGACTAGGTCCTCTGCATCTCTGAGTCACCACAGTAAGCCTAGTGCCTGCGGTAGCATGCATTTAATAAACACTTGCTTACTGCCTTCAGAGTCTGCAGCACATGTTTAAAAACATTCCCTAATCCTCTGAAGGTGACTTAATCTTGTTATCATTCTTCCTTACTCTGTGCCCAGCTCAGTGTTAAGCACTGGGGATAACAAGACAACCCTGGAGCCTGTCCTCAAGAAGCTTTTGACTTTATTCCCTAAACCTGAGAACATAAGATACATTCCCCCATATTCCTAATACTTACTCTTTGGTATGTTCTAATTCTAAATGATGGTGTCATTGCATTCTAATTCCACATTACAGAAGATTTGTGGATTGCCCTGATTCAGCTGTGGGGTAGACAGCACCTTGCTTCTGTTCCAAAATAACCTCTATTATTTTTGATTATTCAAATAATATATACTTATTGATAAATTTTATAAAACGAATTTCATGTCAAAATTTGATATGTTTTCTTAGGTAATTTTTTCTGTACATACGTGAATATATCTGTAATTATAACATTAAGAAGCATCTTCTGTTTTCTCATAGAAACAATGTTATAATTGGGATTGTCTTCTGATTTGGATTTCAGCATTTTATACATTGCAGAGGCCACAAATGATGTACCATAAAATACTGCCACAACTACAAATTTCTATAATCTTTAAAAATTATAAAATGAATAGTAGGTCCTTTAACATGAGTAATGATCATAATTCCTACTGCAGATGTTATCCAAAATTATAGTGAGGACACAGAGGCTTCCAAGCCACCGAGTGCTGCTGTTAATTTTTTTCATGAGGTGAGCATTCTTGGAACTAAAGAATTCCCTTCCCAGACTACCAGGGAGAGAAATCTCCAGGATCACTAGAACAATGCCTTTTCAGTGCCTGATTGCATTCCCAGCAAAGTTGGTGCTCATAGCCCCAGTCTCCATGTCTGGCCAGTTATGGAACTGATATGAATGGGGTCTTAGAGACCAGTTAAACCATAATTCCTCATATTCCATAGTTCAAATGGTAAGCCTCTCTGGGTTTCTAGTATCTCATATATCATTAATCCTATATTCCTTCTTCTACTATGACCTCCTCTACTATGACCTCCTTCTACTATGACCCTTGTTTCCTAAGAAAACTTCCTACAATTTCCTTTGGAGTTCTCACTTTATGTAAGAAAATGGCCAAACCTTTTATTTATGATAAGATCATAGGTTATTTGGAACAACATCCCACTAGAAATGACTTTTTTGAAAAGCTAAATCTACATTTAAGACTCTTAAAAACATCCAAAAGCTGAGAAGACAGCAAGGAACGCCAAAACTGAAGAGAAAATGAGAACCTAGTGAGTTAAATAAGCAGAAAAGCGACTGAGCGCATTTGCCTTATTCTGAAAAGTTTAAACTTCAGTATTGATGTCCTTGTGGGGCAAAAGGAATATTTATCAATCCCAAGACCTGCACAAGATGAAGGATCTAACAGGAGACACACAAATATGCCCATAGTAAGCTAGAACCTCAGAGGACTACAGCCTCAGGATAAGGCTGACCTGGCTCATTCTGGGAACTACAATTCTTAAATTTGATATAATGTGGTCCTTGACTATTAGTGGAAAAAGATCCCAAGCACAGAAAATTCTCTCTGGAGAGTCATCCTAAGCCTTCAATTGTAAACTCTAATTTTTTCCAAATATAATGGTAAGCACACAATCATAGTTAACAACTTGAGAGCAATATGCACCAGAATAAATAAAAATCACATGCAAGACTTCATATATTGAAATTGTCAGACAAAGACCATATGTTTATGATGTTTAAAGTTACAAAGACAAGCTTGAAAATATCTGCAGGGACAAGAAAACCATAAAAAGCAAAATAACACATTTCAAAAAGAACCAAATAGAACTCCTGTGAAAGAAAAATGCAATCCACAAAGAAAAATTTAGTGAATAAATGTAGGTTCATTCAGCCTCCAGATGGCATCCAGCTTTCTCTTCAGCTATCCAGACATAGCCAAAGAGAAAACTGGTGAACTGGAATATAAGCCAGAAAAAGTATCCACAGTGTAGCAAATAGAGACATAAAAATGAGAATCACAGAAGAGAAGAAAAGAAACATAGAGGATAGACCGAAAAGTCTACTACACGTGTAATTGGTATCAGAAGAAGCTAGATATAATGGGGCAGAGATTATAGTTGAAGAGATAATGGCTGAGAATATTCTAGAATTCAAGAAAGCTATCAATCCACAGATTCAAGAATCACTACAACTCTTAAGCAATATAACTAAAATGTCAGACACATCATAATGAGTGACATGGGTTGGCTCTGTCCCCACCCAAATCTCATTTTGAATTGTAGCTCCCATAATCCCCAGTGGGAAGTAATTGAATCATGGGGGCGGGTCTTTCCCATGTTGTTCTCATGTTAGTGAATAAGTTTCATAAGATCTGATGGTTTTATAAAGGGGAGTTCCCCTGCACACATTCTCTTGCCTCCCACCATGTAAGACAAGACTTTGCTCCTACTTCACCTTCCACCATGATTGTGAGGCCATACCAGTCATGAAGAACTGTGAGTCAATTAAACCTCTTTCCTTAATAAATTACCCAGCCTCAGGTATGTGTTTATTAGCAGCGATTACAGAAAACTGGAGGCAAAGATAACACCTCGAAAAGCATCCAGAGGTGTAAAAAAGACAGATTAACTTCAAAAGAGTATCTGTTAAACTGGCATATAATTTCTCAACAGCAATACTGGAAACAAGAAGACAATGGAATGATATTTCCACTATGCTAAAAGATTACTGACACCTAGAATTTTATACTCATCAAATATACCCCACAAGAGAGTAAAATAAAGACATTTCAAACTAACAAAACAGCAGTGTTGCCACCATCACCCCCATGTGAAAGGAAATTCTGAAAGGCTCCCCTCACAGTAGAAGAATGATTGCAAAAAGAGGTCTGAGCTGCAAGAAGGAAAAAAGAGCAAAGAAAGTAGGAAGTATGTGTATAAAGCTAAATGAACACTGACAGTATAAAACAACAATGATAATAATGTCTTTGTGCTTTTAAAATATATAGAATTAAAATATATGATAAAAATAACATATATACCAGGAAAACAGTATCCTAATTTTTTTATTGCTCTTGAGGAGGGTAACGCTAGGTTTTAATATATTAAGGATACAGGTTTTCATATCAAAAGTAATGTATAACTTCCAAATGAGTAGACGGGAAAAGTGGAATTTTTAAAAACCCTCAATAAATGTAAAGGAAGGACATAATTGCCCCAAAAGTCAGGATAGTGGTTAATTCCAGAGGGAAGGGGATGTGATAAAGAGAGAACACACACAGAGTGCTTCTGGGGTGTCAACGATACACTATTTCTTTAACAGGGCAGCAGTTACATGGCTATATGCTTTATAATTATTTGTTATGCTGTACATTTAGGTCTTAACGTACTTTTTTCTATGTGTGTTATATTTTATAATAAAAAGAATAGAAAATGAGAAACTAATCTTCCCCATACCTTCAACCTCCAAACAAAATAGTCACTCAATCCCCTTTTCTTGCTGGAGCTCTGACTCTCACCCACATCTCTCCTCCCCTTTCAGGGCCTCAGTGCTGCTTCAAGAGTATAACTCTTCTATTTTCCACTGAAGTCTATGCTGCCTTGCTAAGGCACCCACTGTCCTTTTTGATTTCTACCCCCCACACCCCTGCCCCTTTATTGAAGACATTGGCACCTGACTCCCAGCTTTCTCTCTGACTCCGATCCATCTCACACTATCATCACTTCAACACCTACATGGCCAAATCAGCTGACAATCTGGCCTTAAAGTACTTATATCTCCCTTCCCCCAGCTTCAACACTCTGCTCCAATCTAACCACCTATTCTCATGATCCTATTTGGACCTTGAAACCCTTTTTAAAATATTTTCTTTTAAAGCACAAAAAAATACAGACTAGTTATAGGAGAAACAGTGTAAATATTAACTTTTTAAAAAAGAAAGGAACAATATTTCACATTGCATGTCTGTATTAGAACATCTCATGTACCCCATAAATGTATGTACCTACTATGTACCCACAAAAAAATTTAAAAAACTAAAAAACAGGAAAAACGGAAAAAAATAAACTCACCCATGATCCACCCTACAGAAATAATAGAACACGGCTGAGCAAGTATGACGCCAGGAGTTTGGGTGCCTGGGAGAAAGATCAGACCAGTCAATCACAACATGGGCCTGTCCTGTCAGCCAAACCATGTGCGTTGGCACCGTGTGAAAATGTCTCTTGCAGATGAATTAATAGACAACAGAGTGTTTTGCTAGGGAAGGCCTTGCAGAGCAGGGGAAAGAACTCCCAGAAGGCCTGGGTTTGGTTCTGGACCCCGACATAAATCATCACTTTGACCTTAGCAAGTTGTCTCCTCTCTCTGGTTATATTCCCTCCTCTGTCTGACAAAAGGGTAGACTAACATTTTATCATCCAGAAGACCCACTGTATAAATTCATGGCCCTTGTGGTATTGTTGTGCATTTTTAATTAGCACTACTATGATGAACAGCATTTCATCATTTCTACTTTCTGTGCTCCCTTGACACCTCCATTTCCATTTCCAAAGGATATGGAAACAGCTCGCTTCACTTCAGATGTCAGTACGTATTAACAGCAGGGCACAGGAGATGCACATCTGAACTGGCAGAGATTAAATAACTGAGGCAGATAAAAAAGCTTTTTATGTTAATGTTCTTACATATCATTTATTGACAATCCAATCCTGTTTAATGCTTTTGAATCTCATTTTGGGGTTCGTCAGGAGCATGCTGGGACATTATTCACAAGCCATTTTATCCAGATTTCTTGATAAGCAAATGAAACACCTTTGGAGGCTGGCAGGTCAGCACTGGCCATATCAGAAGAATTCAGACTCTGTGTGTCTCTGTGTTTGATGTGGGGAGGGCCGATGCTTCCCTGGGTACTTGGTTCGGACAGCTCCCAGGCTCCGTACATGAGGAGGGTATGAACACTGTCTTCCCCTTACTGAGGCCCTCCAGCCCACTCATTTTTTTTACTCATAGGTTGCATGAATGATTGGCAAAGCTGATGACGGTGACAGCTCTGTAACAAGCATGGGAGACAGACACACTCCGTGGTCTCTGGGCACATGCATTCAAAAGCAGACATCACACACCACATGGTGAATAAGTGAAAGACCTTCAGACAGAATATTAAAATCCCAAGCAAATATGAAGCAGCCTTTATATAGTACATCCAGTCCAGGGTCAAGTAAATTTGTGCATGAAGAGAGATAGGAGCTGTGGGAATATGAGGTGTGGGGCCTCTGGAATGTGTGCGCCTGCAATCAGAGAGCATCTGGCCCATATTAACCTACACTGCAATGGTTAATGTAGAAATCTATTAGAAAATGGATGAGGTATTATTATTGCATTTGATTTCAGATTTCTTCATAGTTAATGAAAGAGCATATAGCACAGATGTTAAGAACCCAAGCTCTGGAATTAAGCACAAATCTTACCTCTATGAACTACACTTTCCTCAAGCCTAATGGGGACAATAATAATACCCCCTACCTAAGATAAATGTGAAAATTAAATGATAAAACTGCAAATAAAATACTGAATATAGTGCCTAGCATATCCAGGAAACTTACTAGTTATAAGCTATTATCACTGTTTTTATATTTGGTTATAGATGAATTCCTTTTCAGCTAAAGATAAAGGTTTAGAGATTGAAGCTTCCTTGGATTCCCACCCATCCAACAAACATATTTATAAGATTACTTTCAACATTATTATTGTTCAACATTATTGTTGTTTATTATAAAGGTGAGTTTCTTAATTTTAAAAAATTCTACCTATTTTAATCTTTATTTTTATTTTCATTATTTTGTCCTGTGAGGTTACAAATTTTTTTTTATTCTATATACAGCACAATTAACCCTTGAACAATGTGTACATGGATCTTTCTCTCAGTCGAAAATCTGCATATAACTTTTGCATATAACTCCCCAAAAACTTAGCTACTAATAGCCTACTGTTGACTGGAAGCCTTACTGAAAACATAAAACAATCAATTAACATATATTTTGTATGTCATATGTATTATATATTCTTAACATAAGCTAGAGAAAAGAAAATCTTGGCCAGGTGTGGTGGCTCATGTCTATAATCCCAGGAAGGACTGTCTTGAGACCAGGAGTTCAAGACCGGCCTGAGCAACATAGCAAGACTCCATTTCTATAAAAAAAAAAAAAAAATTTAATTAGCTAAGTATGGTGGTGCGTGCCTGTAGTCTAGTCTTAGCTACTCTGGAGGCTGAGGTGGGAGGATCACTTGAGCCCAGGAGTTCAAGGTTACAATTAGCTATATTCACACCACTGTACTCCAGCCTGGGCAACAGAACAAGACCCATCTCCAAAAAAAAAAAGAAAAAAAATGTTATTGAGAAAATTATATGGAAGCCAAGCACAGTGGCTCACACCTGTAATCCCAGTACTTTAGAAGGCTGAGGTGGACGAATCTCTTGAACCCAGGAGTTCGAGACTAACCATGGGAAAACATTGTCTCTACAAAAAATAGAAAAATTAGCAGGCATAGTGACATGCATCTGTAGTCCCAGCTACTCAGGAGGCTGAGGTAGGAGAATCACCTGAGCCTGGGGAAGTTGAGGCTGCAGTGAGCCATGACTCCACCACTGCACTTCAGCCTGGGCTACAGACTGAGACCTTATCCCAAAAAAAAAAAAGGAAGAAAATCAAAATCATATGGAAGAAAAAATACATTTACAACACTGCACTCTATTGACACCACAGGTTTACATTGTCTGTATATGAGGTGAATGATCTGCCTAAAATGGCAGGCAACCGCAGCTGCAGACCTCAATCTGTGGTTCAGATCAAGCAATTCAATTTTTCTTTGCAACATCATGACTTTTCTCCACTTCTTGGGAGCACTTCCAGCATCACTAGTAGCACTTTATATGAGTCTCATGGTGTTATTCCAGGTTTACATTATTGCACTAAACAGGAAAAATACAGGAGAACTGGGAGAGATCACTTTCTACTGCAATCCACAATTTACTGGAGAAATGAACTGCTCACTTGGAGATGATTAGCATCACAGTGGCATTTTAAGCAGATACTTGCAACACTTGAGCTCACTGCAATAGTAACAAGAGGCGGCTACAAAATTGTTACAGTAGTACAGTATTACAGTATTGTTGCAGTTAATTTATGCAGTTATGATAGAATATTGCATCTTTACATTTGTTTACATTTCTCTCAACTGCAAATAGTGCCATGTACAGTCTGTGTTTGTGTGGGTGGTTTTCTTTTTTTTTTTTTTTCTTTTGAGACAGGGTCTTGCTCTGTCACCCAGGCTGGAATGCAGTGGCAGGATCATGGCTCACTGTAGACTAGAACTCCTGGGCTCAAGCCATCCTCCTACCTCCGCCTCCTGAGTAGCCAGGCATAGTCCCATTTTAACATTTTATAATAGATTTCTGAATATTTTATGGTAGTAAATGATAGACTAGTGTCTGTGTATATTTTATGCATTTGTGACATACCTTTTTCTTAATTTTAGAACTACTTCTAGGCTACACAGTTCATCTGCAAGTTTTTACAAATTGTTGCAAATCTCCAAAAAGTTTTCAAATATATTTATTTTTAAAATTCGCATATAGGTGGATGCTTACAGTTCAAACTGATGTTGTTCAAGGGTCAACTGTATTTAAAAGTTCTTGTAGAAATTTATATGTGGTCTTACTCATTTCCTTAGTTTATCATTTGTGAAGTAGGTAGCACATAATAATGTGTTTCTTCAGAATAGTTACTTGTCATGTGTCAAAATTATTTTTTAAAAGTATAAACTTATACATAAATATTAGTGTGGTTATTTTCAGTAAAGTCATTTTTTTCTTTCAATAATTCTGTGGATACAAAAATTTAAGGCCATAGGCAGTAAAACTCATAGTCGGAAAGGGCTATCAATCTTCAGGTAGCCTGAAGGATGTGGCATATTGTCAGTGCTTAATAATAATATATCTTATCATTAACATTGACCTTTTTCGTGGCCTCTGGAGTTTTATATGCCTTGTCTAGAAGTTGTACCAATTTGCGGAGATAGTTGTGCAAAGTACTTGAATGTGGAAGCCATAGATGCTCACAGCATCGTCACTGAGGACCTTACACAAATAGATCGGAGGTAGACCAATTCCGGGATTAGTTAATTCAGTCACAGATCATCAAGGGCCCAGTTTCTGCTTTCCATTCTGCTTTTCTCAGTGTGTCATCTTTATTCTCAGGCTGTTTGTCTTCCTAATAACTCCCCATCCAAACATGAGAATGTCCAGAAAGAGAGGGGGTAACTGGCTTAGGTGTTCTTTCTAAATTTGCTTCCATAAAAGAAAAGGATTTCACTTTCTTCTCTCCACATACACATAGCCCTTCTCAGTACCCTATCTCCCCAACAGAGTCATATCACAATTCTACTAGAGACATATTCAGTATTTACATTCTGATGACATCTTAGACATTAGTCAGAAATGAGTCAGAGGCGATACTAGTATTTATATTCCCTTTCCTGTACAGCTTTGTGGGGTTTTTTAAAGTTAATAATTACTAATTTTATTTTTAAACATACTTTCTATTGTGTCAATCACAAAGTCTCTGTGGATCATCTTAATTCCTCTTAAGGTGTTTAGAAGCGTCAGGTATTCATAAAATCAAAGCCCTGAAGAATTTTCTCTTGGAGACCTCTGACCTCTTGACCTCTGATCTGAACCGGCATTTGGGGGTCTTTCTTTTCTTCTTTTTCTTTTTCTTTTTTTTTTTTTTTTCAAGACAGGGTCCCACTCTGTTGCCCAGGCAGGAGTGCAGTGGCACAATCACAATTCACTGCAGCCTCGATATCCTGGGCTCAAGTGATCCTCCCACTTCAGCCTCCTGAGTAGCCGAGGCCACATGTGCATACCACTACGCCCCGCTAATTTTTTATTTTTTGTAGAGATGGGGCTACATCACCCAGGCTGGTTTTGAACTCCTGGGTTCAAGCCATCCTCTCACCTCAGACTCCCAAAGTGGTAAGATTACAGGTGTGAGCCACTGCACCTGGCCTAAGGTCTTTCTTTAACATCAGTCTAGATATGCTCTTTCCCTCACTCTTCTTTTAGCTCTTCTCTTTCTTGGTTGACTCCCCAGTTTTGTGGATGCACCCACCAATAGCCTTCCTAAGAAAGAATGAATCAGAGGTAAATTTACGATATTTTGCAAATGCCTATCCTCATTTGATTAATAACTTGGTAGGTCGAAAACTAAAGGTTGGAAATTATTCTGTTCCTATATTTTGGAGACATTTCTTCATTTTCTTTTAGTTTCCAGTTTTGCTGTTGGACAATCCAGAACTGTTCTGATTCATGATCCTTTTCTACATAAGTTGTTTTCTTTTCTCCCTAGACATTTGTAGGATCTTATCTATGTCCCCTGTGTTGTGGAATTTTGTGAGAATATGTATGAATCTATTTTCTTTTCTTTTCTTTTCTTTTCTTTTCTTTTTTTTTTTTTGAGTCAGAGTCTCGCTCTGTCACACAGGCTGGAGCGCAGTGGCGCCATCTTGGCTCACTGCAACCTCCACCTCCTGAGTTCAAGAGATTCTCCTGCCTCAGCCTCCCAAGTAGCTGAGACTACAGCCGCCCGCCACCACACCTGGCTAATTTTTGTATTTTTAGTAGAGATGGGGTTTCACCACCTTGGCCAAGATGGTCTCCATCTCTTGACCTCATGATCCACCTGCTTCGGCCTCCCAAAGTGCTAGGATTACAGGCATGAGCCACCGTGCCCGGCAGAGTCTATTTTCATCTATGTTGATGGCCACTCAGTAGACTCTTTCAATTTCCTTTAGTTCTGGGAAATTTTGTCAAATGATTTCATTGATTATTTCGTCTCCATTTTTTTTTTAGTTCCACATTATAAATCTTCTTTAAATTACCAATTTAATGAGCAAAAAATAAAAATGTTTAAAGTTTCAATTTTCGTTTCTCTTTGGTAATTAATGATGTTGAGTAGATTTCCATGTCTTTACTATTTTTATTTCCTATGTTAGTTATCAATTTGTACTCTATTACATTTTCTTCTTGTCTAGTAGGACTATACTTAAACCAACATTGCTACAAACAGCCTACTTTTAAGTAAAAATTCTTCAGCCATTATTAAAAGTAAAACAAGTAGAAACAAATAAAGAAAACAGTTTGTGTAATCCCACTACCCAACGATATCCAGCTACAGTAGATATTTTGGTGTTTTCTTCTATCCTTTTTTTCTATGCATATGATTTTGGATGGTGTTATCTGACAATGTTGTGATCATCTTATTGGTACAATTACATGCCTCACAATTCTATTTATCTATTTATTTATTTAATTAAATTTATTTATTTTGAGACGGAGTCTCCCTCTGTCACCCAGGCTGGAGTGCAGTGGGGTGATCTCGGCTCACTGCAACCTCCGCCTCCTGGGTTCAAGCGATTCTCCTGCCTCAGCCTCCCTAGTAGCTGGGATTACAGGAGCCTGCTACCATACCCAGCTAATTTTTTAAAATATTTTTAGTAGAGGCAGGGTTTCTCCATGTTGGCCAGGCTAGTCTCGAGCTTCTGACCTCAAGTGATTCACCCGCTTCGGCCTCCCAAAATCCTGGAATTACAGGTGTGAGCCACCGTGCCTGGCCTCTATCTTTGTTTTTAAACCTCTAAAGAAGGCATATTTTAATGTGCAAGTCACTCAATTCTTTTTATACATTTTTTACCAAAAAGCCCTCTCCTGTGAAATTTGAATTTTCAGTATGCCCACTTAGCAGTTGTTCTGAACTCATAGCAGGAAGAGGGGTGCACCACTGCAGACTGTGTCACCGGAACATTTAACAGTAGTTCTGTGAGCAAAGGGAGTAGATTTAAGATGAGAGTTGTAAAGTTCTGTGACTCCAGGCTCAGGAGTTCCCCACTTTGGCTGATGACCTCCTGACTGCTCTCTTTCCCTAATGAATTGTACCTACCCCATCTCTGTTTTCTCCATCTAAGGCAGGTCCTTGCCTTACCTTTCTTTCTGCACTGCCTATTCTAGATCCTAGTGGTCCAGATGCTCTCACTCCTTGACCTTCTCCCCCAACATATCTTCATGACTCACTCCCTCACCTCCTTTAGGTCTTTATTGCCCAGCCTTTCTCTCTCTCTCTCTCTCTCTCTCTCTCTCTCTCTCTCTCTCTCTCTCACACACACACACACACACACACACACACACACTAACTATACTCCCAATTCCCTATCCCTTGCTCCTTAGTTTCCTTTGTTCCCAAGCACACAATTTTATTGTATTCATGATGTATTCTGTTTATTATATATTCCTCATCTCACTTTATCTGTGAACAAAGTTTAGAGATCTTTGTTATGTTCACTGATGTATCCCCAGAATGACTAGGACAATGCCTTGTAGACAGTATGTGTTCAATAACTTTTTGTTGAATTAATAGATGATTACTCAGAAAGCACCCCAGATGCCTTCACCACCCCACCTTCCTCCCACTTTATCATTTCAACTTCCGAACTTGAATTTATCCATCATCATTTTCTCAGCCTCTGATGCTGTGGCTTCTGCTATTTTCAGGCTGTTGAGAGTTACCATAGAAAATTATAGACATCTGCCAAGTGGATGCACTGTAAAATCGTATTGCTAAACCTCACTTGTGCCTCAGTCATGCCTGACAAACCTTGTATTTATCTTATGTTACCTCCCCAGCAAACTCCATGCTGTGATGTTCTAAAACACCTTTCCTTTTTGGATTTGCATAGAGTGGGATTTTCAACTCACTCATAGCCAATGTTCAGACTCCAGCAATTGTTTTCATTTTTGCAATAGGTTCTTCACAGCTCGTCTTTTGTTCCTACTCTTGTTGTCTTCTGTTTTTCTCATCTACTTCTAATTTAGGCAATCTTGCTAAATTTCAGGTCTACTCATAAGCTGCCTTAAATTATTATTCTTTTTAAACAGAGAGGTTACACAATTTTATTTTTTAATGTCCTTAGGTGATGTTTAAAAGCCCTTTGTAAGCTTAATTTTAATGGCTGCATAATATTCCATTATGTGATAATGTACTTAACCTTCACTAATGTTGGACATATATTCTTCCATTTATTTCGTTATTACAAAAATCTTAGGACATAGCTGTTATTTTGCATTTCTGCAAATAACTTAGGGTAGACTATCAGATTTACTGGAGTTAAAAGGTATAAACATTTTAAGACTTAGTGAATGTTGCCAAATTTCTTTTCAGAAAAGTTGCACTGATTTATTCCTACTACTTACAGTGACCATTTCATTATACCTTCACCGGGACTAGGAATTCTCATTTTATAATTATTTTCTAGCTGGATAGACAAAGAATGGTATTTCATTTTAACTGCATCTCTTTGATCATTTGTGTATATGACTTTTTAAACATATTCATTAGCTATTTGTATTTTTCTTTTTGTGAATTCCTTCTTAATATTTTTTCTATCCATCTACTGAAATGTTCATTTTCATGATTATTTTGTCTATGTTCTTAATAAATGTCATGTAGTAATTACATATAATATTTACTAACAATAATTTTCCAGTTTAATAACTGCCTTTTGGTTGTTTTGCTTTTTTATTAATGTATATATACACTATTTTATTTTATTTTATTTATTTAATTATTTATTTATTTATTTATTTATTATTTATTTGAGACAGAGTCTTGCTTTGTCACCCAGGCTGGAGCGCCATGGCGTGATCTCAGCTCACTGCAACCTCTGCCTCCTGGATTCAAGTGATTCTCCTGCCTCAGCCTCCCGAGTAGCTAGGATTACAGGCATACACCACCACGCCCCACTAATTTTTTGTATTTTTAGTAGGGATGGGGTTTCACCATATTGCTCAGGCTTGTCTCGAACTCCTGACCTCGAGTGATCCGCCCACCTCAGCCTCCCAAAGTGCTGGGATTACAGGCATGAGCCACTGCGCCCGGCCTATTTTACTAATTTTTTTGAGACAGGATTTTGCTTTGCCATCCAGGCTGGAATGCAGTGAAGCAATCACTGCTCACTGCTTCTGGACCTCCAGAGCCCAACTGATCTTCCCACCTCAGCCTCCCAAGTAGCTCGGACTACAGGCACACACCACCACACCAGGTTAATTTTTTCTTTTTTTTATAGAAATGAGGACTTATTATATTGTCCAGGATGGCCTCAAACTCCTGAACCCAAGTGATCCTCTGCCCCAGCCTCCTTAAGTGTTGGGATTACAAGTGTGAGCCACTGTGCCTGGCCTACACACTGTATGAAAATCTTGTTAGAGCTATGTGTCTTTGCCTAGGGATATTTGTCTTTGCTTTTAATCCTAGACAGTCTTCCTTGATCCAAAAATTTGATCATGTATCTTGATTTTAATTTGTATTAGTTAAACTTTTGTAGAGGTTATTCTTCATATATTGCGTGTGTTAGGACATAAATTTTTCTCCAACCAATTACTCCAGTTTTGGAGATTTAACTGGACCAACAAATAACAGCCCTTCCCCCTCATGAGTTAGAAACCAATTAAGAGATAAACATATAATGTGGGTGGAATTTTTTTTTTTTTTTTGAGACAGAGTTTCATTCTTGTTGCCCAGGCTGGAGTGCAGTGGCATGGTCTCAGCTCACCACAAACTCCACCTCCCAGGTTCAAGCGATTCTCCTGCCTCAGCCTCCCAAGTAGTTGGGATTACAGGTGCCCACCACCACGCTCAGCTAATTTTTTTGTATTTTTAGTAGCACATTGGCCAGGCTGATCTCGAACTCCTGACCTCAGGTGATCCGCCCACCTTGGCCTCCCAAAGTGCTGGGATTACAGGCGTGAGCCACCACACCCGGCCGATGTTGTTTTCTTTATTCCTGATTAAAGCTGATTAGAATATGTAATTTTAGATAAGCAGCCAAAATAGTCTGCTAACATACCTTACCCTGGATTAAGCTGCCTTATTCACACAATTCCAGGCCACGCTCGACCCCTACTGAGTTCCCTAAGGGCAGGGGCAGAAACTGCCCCTTTAAGAGCCACTGAGCTGAGGCAGACCAGCTTGCAGCCTCTCTGCAAGCAGACAGACCCTGAAAGAGAGGAGGGGCCTGAGCCACACATTCTATTTCTTCTAAACTCATCAATCAGATATTTCCTTCTTCCTGACCCAAGAAAGAAAATGAGGATTGGGAGAGAACCCAGAAGTGTAACTGTAGTTGGAGTACATAGAAACACACATTTAGGAAAACAGTTTCTCTCCATTTCTTCCTCAACCCCATGCCCACCCCCAACCAATACCTAGCACCATTCATTGGAGAATCCTGCCCTTCCTTCCTGCCTTGTGATGCCACCTTTATCATCGTCATCATATATATCCTATGGGTTCTTTCTGGCCTATCTATTCTGTCCTGCCAAATTATTCTGGCAGGAGAGACAAACCGATAACATTATTGTTATCTTCTGTTGTGTTTTACTTTCTTGGAAGGCTAAATCCTCCCTACCACCCTTTATTTACCCTCAAAATGTATTAGTTACTATTGCCTATTTGTCCTCCAGATGCACTCTGGAATGATTTTTGTAATATTCCAAAAATAACACTATTGTGATTTTGATTGGAGTCATATTAAACTATAAATTAATTTGGTAGGAATTGACAATCTCATAATATTCGGTTCTCCCATCCAAGAACATGTTATGGCTCTATTTATTGAAGTAATTTTTTATATCTTGTGGTAAAGTCTTATTATATCTTCATACAAATCTCTCACGTTTCTTGTTAAGTTATTCCTAGGCATTTCATCTGTATGGAGATAACTATAACTAACTAGAAATAACAAGAAACATGCTATATTGAGAATGCAATATTTTTCATTATGTTTCCTCTCTGTTTATAGTATCTAGAAAATCTGGTAATTTTTCATATGTTTTTCTTTATATGTGTATATTGTCATTCTTTCATATATTGCCATTCTTTTCACTCTTTTATTAATGCCAATACTTTCTCATACAATTCCCTTGGGTTTTCTAGACCAGAGCTTTCCTATGAGTGTGCTGCACGCAGCCCTCAGGTGTGGCGAGCATGGGGATCCTGGTGCTCTGTGAGATACTGAGTGCACCAGTAGGAAGGAAGGTCTGGGGCAGTCACTTGTAGCTGGTCACCTGCAATCATGAACTCCTTGGAGGATCTGGCTCTGTTGCCCAGGCTGGTGTGTAGTGGCCTGATCACTGCTCTCTGCAGCCTCAACCTCCTAGGCTCATTCGATCCCCTGAAGGGAACCCTAAGCAGAGTATTCCTGACTATGTGCTGTCACCATTAGCAATGAGCACCGTTCCCTACACTGATTCGCGGCACTCCCAGCTTCCTAGCCACACCTCAAACACAGCCAAAGAGGTGCTCTGCAGCCTGGACAGCTCCTTCAGTTTGGCAGCAGAGTGCGTCTCTGTGCCATGTGGTCTTGGGCCTATGGAGTTGCTGGAGGACCCTGGGTTCCAGGTGCCCGCCGTACTTGGATCACAGCCTAAGGTGCAATTGGTTGTGGGAATGGGGCAGATGCTTCACCAGCTGGCAGCTTGGAATCATTGTCCTGACACTGAGCACATACTGTCACTTATTTTGTGGCTGATGGATTTTTTTAGTGACACTCCTCCAAAAACGCATGCCCTTTCTTCACACGACCGCTTCCTCACTACTTTGAAGTTCATGGTGTAAAAAAAGTTCTGTTTACACATGAACACATGGGGAGAACGACACAGAATGGGGCCTACTGAAGGGTGGAGGGTGGGCAGATGGAGAGGATCAGGAAAAATAACTAATGGGTACTAGGCTTAATACCTGGATGAAAATAATCTGTACAACAAACCCCCATGACATAAGTTTACTTATGTAACAAACCTGCACATGTACCCCTGAACCTAAAATGAGAGTTAAAAAAAAAGAATGTAAAGGGGAAAAAAATAGTTCTGTTTTTAAAAAAATCTATTTTCATTATCACAACAGATTTCAATATCACATTTTTCTAGAAAAGAATAAAAGAGCTGTTACATTCTCTTGGCAACTATTGTAAATTTGATAGAAAACAATAGAATATTTTGTCAGCTACTAATATGAACAAAGTTTCTCATTCATGTTGACTACCAAGAGATAATCATTAAAAAATTGACATCAAGAAATGTTTATAGCTTTTTTAGGCATACTATCTGATATGAAAGTTTTGTCCACAGAAATAAGCCTAAGTTTCTAGGTAACCAATTTGAGAATATTTCACTTGGAAGTTTTACATAAATTTGATATTTAATATCTTCCCCCATACTTTACATTTTATTTTTATTATCATAATTATACAAAGAAAATTGCTTCTGAATCCCCTATGGTTCATTCCAGTATATCTTACAGATATTATCATTTTTTTCACATTCTATAATGTGGAAAGGTCAGGAATCACTGTTTGAGAACAGCTAGCATATTATCTGCAGATAATGATAATCTTAAATACTCTTTGATAATAATTAGACTTTTAATTTCTGCTTAAACCATTGCATCAGTGATAACTTCTGCAAACACACACACAACAACAACAACAACAACAACAACAACAACAAACACCTGTGGGATTGAGCCTCTCTCCTCCTGTCTGCTGGAAGGCCATGTGCCATCAGCCATGCATTCCTCTCCCAAATCATTAACCTCTTCCTCTCTACCCCTCCTTCCCTTTAGCTTATTAACAGAATCAAATTTTCCATCTTAAAAAATCAAGGTATATTCTATCAGATTTGCATTCTCAGGCAAGTCTTACCATCAAACTTTGTCAAAAAGTTTATGCCAATTTTCTCCCTTTCCACTGCTCTTAATTACTTTTCAATTCAAGATAGTCTGACCATGCTACCAAAACAATCTCAGAGGATCATCTTCACCTTGCAAAGCCCTGGGTTCTCTTTAGAGTCCTCATCATTCCTGAAACCTTTGCTGATCTCCTTCCTTCCCCTTTAAAAAACAAACTATTATTTATTCAGCATTTACTGTGAGTCAGGAATTGATGCTAAGTGCTTTATTTAGATTATCTCATTCAATCTTCATGACATTCTTATCTTTAGCCTTATTCTACCCATTTTACAGATGAGGAAAGATAAATAAAATTCTCCAAGGTTACACAATGAGTAAGGGGACAGTATTGGGCATTCGGGTGTCTTGAAAACTTTTCAATACTTATATGTCTTCTATGACATTTATTTTTTGCCTTGTTCTTGTCCTGTGTCTCTGTTGCTCATTTTCAAACTTCAGGAAATTTTCACTCATTAGTCTTCAAATATTTTTTTCTGAAGTTTACTCCTTCTACTCTCTTTCTGGGACTCTGATGGTATAAATTTAGAATTTTTGATGTTCTCCCACGAGAGAGAGAGTGCTTCTCCCCTTCCCACGTCTGCCAAGTCCTTTTTTTGTTGTTGTTCAGACTGGATAATTTCTACTGATCTTTTTTCAAATGTACTGATTCTTTTGTTGTCTTCATTCTGCTATTCAGTCTATCTGAAAAGATTTTTATTTTGGTTATTGTATTTTTTAGTTTTAAATTTTCCATCTGGTTCTTTTTGTATTTTCTATTATTTGCTGAGACTTTTTATCTTTCCATTCATTTCAAGACAGTGCTCATTTTGTGATGCATTTATATAATATTTAAAGGCTATAATTTCAAAATTGTGTCATCTCAATGTTGGCATCTGTTGCCTATCTTTTCTCATGGAAGTCAACATTTTCCCTGGTTCTTAGTACATTGAGCAATTTTGGATTGTGTTCTTTCCATTCTGAATGTTACATTATGAGACTCAGGGTCTTGTTTAAATCCTATGGAGGATTTTGATATTTTTGTTTTAGCAGGCAACTGACCTAGTTGGGTTCAGGCCAAAAGCCAGACCAGCTTCTGTGGGTTATAGTTTTAATGACAGTTCAGTTTACAAAGCCTTTGCAAAGCTACTTGGATCTGTCTCATGTGCACCCAATCCCATAGTTCTCTTCTCATAGTGTCTGGTATTCTATCTAGGGTCAGAAGTACACAAGTGCAGGTCAATGGTGAGCCCTGGGGTTCATAAACAACTCTATGGGATGGATTTTCTGAGCCTTTCTCTCTCCAAGATCTCCCTGATTCTCTCAAATACACTATGGCTTCCCTTTTCAGTCTGGGCATTTAGTTACCCTACTCTTCTGTGTACTTCCCAACATATGTTGTATGCATCCCCCAACCACAAAATATGCACTCAATATGAAACGGCCAATTTAAGTGCCATGTCTACACCTGGACCAAGAATAGTCAGCAAAGGGATGTCCTGAGCTGACTGGCTTGCACCAATTAGGACACTTCTCAGGGGCTCAGGATGGGTTAACCATTTGACAAAATCTAGGCTCTGTGAAGAACGGGGACATGACTGTTGGATGTCTATGTCCAACACTACAACGAGTAGTGTCTATGCACTACTTTTTTCCCCCTTTTCTTCCCTAAGCCACTAAATGGCATCATCACCCTCCTGATCACTCAGGCTTAAAGCTTCAGAGTTTCCTTTGCGTTTGTGCATTTCATCCGCACTCACACACCTGTAAATATCCAGTCCAATGCTGAGCCTAAAGATACCTCCTGATCAAAGCCCCTCTCTTTGATCCTGTCTGTCTAGCCAATCTTTTATTTATGCCTAGTGTTCCATTATTGGAACGCTAAACTTGTGGGAGTTATTTATATCCTACTGCTCAAGGTCATCACCAAGGTCTGATTTTCACCAAAAAAATTTGCAACCTCCGGCATAATTGGGTTAAAGCCTGCTGTCTGGTCCTTGCCCTCAGATTCTCCCCTCTCACAGTCAGCTTCCAAAACAGAGGGCAACTGGTTATCAAACAAATGAAAGTCCTTAGCATTATAATCAAGACTTCCCCATATCTACCCTACTTTTCCAAAAGTTGGATCTTTCAGGCCCACCCAACAACCTCTAGGAAAGAAGGAGTTACTGGAGATCAAGTTCTATAAAAACTCTTGGACAATAAGATTTGATAAGCTGTACATGTGGAGGTGCTGGGAGAGTGCATGACTAGAGAGGGCATGGAAGCTCCATGCCCCACTAAACCTTGCCCTATCCATCCCTTCACCTGGCTGTTCATCTGTATCCTTTGTCATATACTTTATAATAAAACCGTAAATATAATTAAGCATTTCCCTGGGTTCTGTGAGCTGGTCCAGCAAATTATGGAACCCAAGGAGGGGGTGAAGGGAACCTCAATTTGTAGCCAGTCAGTTTGAAGTAGGGGTGGCCTGGACTTGTGTTTGGCACCTGGAGAGGGGGCAATCTTACTGGACTCGGCCCTAGACCTGTAGGATCTAACACTGTCTCTAGGTAGATAGCCTCAGAATTGAATGATAGCATACCCAGTTGGTGTCTGTTGGAGAATTGCTTGGTTTTGGCAGGGGAGTGGGGGGAATCATAAATGTGGTCACAGAAGTGTTCTGTGTTGAGTGTGAGAGGAAAAAGGAAAACAGTATGTTTTCTTTCCTCTATTGTAAAGTCTTGTAAATAATGTTGCGGTAGGCATTCTTGAACATAATCATTGTCCAAATCTCTGATTAATGCCTTAAACTGGAGCCCTAGAAGTGGAATTAGTTGATGAAAATGTATGCTAATTTTACAAAATTTTGATAAGTACTTCAAAACTGCTTTTCAAAAAGGTTGTATTAATTTAGGCTCTCCTACCCTCAAGCAGCCCTCTCACCCCCGCATTATATTTTAAGAGGGCAGCAAAAATATGCTGGGTTCATATCCCAGCTTTACTATCTTAGGAAAGTTATTTAACCTTGCCAACGTCCAGTTTCCTTGTCTATAATACAGGGGTAGTAATAATATCCAGCTCACAGGGTTCCTATGAGAATTAAATAAAGCAATAATGTAAAATTGTCTAGTACAGTCTCTGGCAAATAACACATATATAGTCAATAAATGTTAGCAACTGTTACCAGTAACCAGTAATATCACTCTTCCCCAAATCACTCCTGGACAGGGTAATATTTGGGTGCAAAATCCCCTAAACGCAGTTGGAAAAAGTACCAAGTTTCCCTGTTTAATAAAACTGTTTAATAGCTGAAGTCACTCAACTACCCTATCCACACAAGAGATCTCAGTATTCTAAAAATAATAGCCTATTTGGTTACCACTGGAAGTAAAAAGGATCTTCAGAAAGGTGTTTTCTGCCCTCGACATATTATTTTAACAATGGCATATATTTCCTTATTATTCCAAGAGAAACAAATTTATTTAAGGGGAAACGGCTCCAACCTGGAAAATGAGTTTTTTTCAGAAAAAGGTGAAGTCCACATAAATAGCTTCATTATTAATCATCATAAGCAGACCTCACAGGCATCAATCTGCCACAGTCTGGTCCTCAGCACCCCCAAAAGAGATCTATATTACAAGCCTTTAAAAAATGTCCTTGAGAAGTTTAAGAAAAGCCTTTGCAATTAATTTGGAAGTCTTTCTGGAATTTTGTGTAAATTCAGTCAATTTTTTGTTTGGTTGTTCCCAGAATTTTTGGTTGAGATGATCCCAAGATAAACAGAATCACTTATAGAAAGCTGTTTGTCAGATGGATGCCCTGAAACAATTGCATTAAATTGGTTTAGCTCTATTTAAATACAAAGTAGATTATTTTCTATTGCTTTATGTGCATACATTTGCTTAATCTTTTTATAAACTACATATTTATTAGGCATGGGAACATTAGTATTCAGCTTCTGGAGAGAAACCACTCAAAATTGTTCTGTGTCCATTGCCTAAAAGGATATTACTACCAGGGGGATAAATACACAGAATTTGTTCTTCTAAACTCTTCGGAGTTTTTTGACATTGGGTAAATTTGTGTCTTTAAACACTGGGGCATTTCATGATGTAAAAACAACAGGGGAAATGAAATTGTAGGATATTATAAAAGGTCCTAGCTGCTGCTTTCTTCTGGAGTTTCTTCTCTGGGAATCTGCTAAATAAAAAAAGCTTCAGTCTGACACTGAAGGAAGCATTTGGGAACAGAAAACTGATTCAACAGATTTGCACCCGTCAGAAATACAAATATGCCCAGTGTTTTCCTGTCCTATTTTCCTTCTCTTTAAGTTCAGTGTCATCAAATCTGTAAATTTCCCATGCGGGTCACCAAATAAACCGAGATATGTAATAATAAACAGCTGGGCTTAGATTGTCTTCTCAGCCAACTTTTTCTGCCTGAAAAGATAGGAAACTAGTCCAGTGAGATGGATTAGGGAAAAATTCTATCTTAGAGTTGCCAGGAACCTGAATAAGAAAAAGGTACCCCCTCCTTCATGCTGCAATAAGGATCACAGTTTGACAAACAAAGCACAGACTAGACTTTGCCCCAAACTACCTCCTTGGTCTGTACTATGCAATCCTACATTTTATTTTCACATACGTGTTGCTTAACTCTTGCGGTAACACAGGAAAAGCACCAGGAACAAGTGGTAAAATACAACTTCAGACCTAAGCTCTGGAAATCAAAACTTTTTGTTGTTGTTGTTGTTTGGTTTTTGTTTTTTTGAGACGGAGTCTCACTCTGTCGCCCACGCTGGAGTGCAGTGGCGCGATCTGGGCTCACTGCAAGCTCTGCCTCCCAGGTTCACGCCATTCTCCTGCCTCAGCCTCCCGAGTAGCTGGGACTACAGGCACCCGCCACCACGCCTGGCTAATTTTTTGTATTTTTAGTAGAGGCAGGGTTTCACCGTGTTAGCCAGGATGGTCTCGATCTCCTGACCTCGTGATCCGCCCGCCTTAGCCTCCCAAAGTGCTGGGATTACAGGTGTGAGCCACCACGCCCACCCAATCAAAACATTGTATTTTGAATCTCCATGTGCCTAGTTCTATGCAAGGCGTGCAGGGTACACAAATGAAGAATACTTCTGTGAGTTCCTGAAAGATGCTATGGTATAAAGGGCTCTTGTTTTTGTTTCTCATGTTTCTCATTGTTTGTTACAGATTTGGAGGGAGAGGGGAAGATGCCATCTAGCCTTCTCAACAATAAAAACTTGTTTGAAGGTCTACCTTTCTATTAAGAAAATAGCTTCAAGACTCGGACCACATGGATTCAAATCCCAGCACTGCTATTTACTAACTATATGACTTTCAGTGACTGACTTAGCGTCTGTGTTCCTAGGTTTCCTCAGCCGTAAAAATGTGGATATAATTGCAATGCCTACACCACGGGTTGTTATTATTATTATTAGTCTATGTCCCTCACAGCCCATCTAGCACCAAGAGCAGTATATTATGTCTGAAAGGAGGATATCATCGGTTGTCATAATCACTCTGAGGGCTCAACTTTGCAACTGGAACTGTGAGCAGACCCAGAACAGGCCAAGAGTTAGAGAGGCAAAACAAAAAGTGGCTGCTAAGAGACTGAGAAATGAAACAGAGCTGGTGTCAGTCTCATAGTGCCGGGTAAATAAACACTGGCGTTCAGAGTCCACCAAAGCAGAGGGGCCATGGTAAGCACCTCCTGCTTCTAGCAGGAACTAATAGAATTACATCCTAAAAATAACACTACACAGACATAAATCAGCCTTCATAAGCATTGCAACTCAGGTTCAAATCAGCTTATTTCCTGATTGGTTTAAAGTGTTCTGCTTTATTCTGACTGCCTGACAGAAACTAACATCATAGAGAGCCTCTGCAGTTTTTCCTATAGAATGTCCAGAATTCAATTTAAAATTATAGGTGTACAAAGACAGGAAAAAGAGATTAAAAAATACACAATAGAAACAGACATGCAGATTATCCAGATGCTAAAATTGTCAGATACAGAATATAAAATAACACTGATTAATATGTTTAAGAAAACAGATGACAAAATGGAGAATTTCACCAGAGAATTGAAATCTAAGTGTTTTTTTAAAAAAGGTGAAAATTATGAAACTGTAAAATACAACAACTGAAATTAAAACTTCAATAAATAAATTTGACAATAGTTTAAACACAGGTGAAGAAAGTATTAGTGACCTAGAAGATTGGTTGGTAGAAAATATCCCTATGGAAGCACCCAAGTATTTTTAAAAAGAAAAAATATGTAGGCAATACCATAAAAACAGGAAAAGGTCTGATGTGCAATTAGAGCTTCAGAAGGGTAGGAAAGTGAAATTGAGTTGGGAGCAATAGGTGCAACATTTGAAGAGGTAATGACAAAAAATTTTCCAAAGCTGATTTAAAGGTATCAAGCTATAGATTCAATAAATGCTACAAATCTCAAGCAGGATAAATACAAAAAAATACACATAGAAATGTAATAAGTAAATTGCTAGAGGGGAATAACAGACAAAAAGAAAATTCTAAAAGCAGTCAGATAATCGTCCTAAACAAATAAATTACCTCAAAGAAGCAACAGTAAGACTGATGGCTAACTTCTTAACAGAAACAATGGAAGCCAGAAGGCATTGTGATGTCATCTTTAAAGTGATGAAAGAAAATAACTGCCAAACAAAAATATATTTCAAAAATTAAGGCAAAGTAAAAATATTTTCAGACAAACAAAAGGTGATGGAATTTGTTGTCAGCAGACTTGTGCTTTTAAAAAGTCTAAAGGCATTTGTTCTTGAGGCAGAAGAAACATTATCACTGATGGAAGAGCATATACAAGTGAAATGAATGAAAAACACTGTTGGGAGGCTGAAGTGGGAAAATCACTTGAGCCCAGGAATTTGAGACCAGCCTTGGCAATATAGTGAGATCCTATATCTACAAAATTTTTTTTTTTTAATTATCCAGGCATGATGGCTGGCACACACCTGTAGCCCCAGCTATCAGGAGGCTAAAGGTGGGAGGATAGCTTAAGCCCAGGACTTCTAGGCTATAGTGAGCTATGATCACACCATTGCACTCCAGCCTGGGCAACAGAGTGAAAAGTCTCTAAAAAGAAAAGGAAAAGAAAAAGAAAAAAAGAGATAAACACTGGAAGCCAAACATGAATAATGACTGTATAAAACAATAAAAATGGGTGTTTGGGCACTTTAAAAAGCTAGTGCCAGCAGCCTGCTTTTCAAGTCTCATGTTGAGAAATTTTCATTTCATAAAGAGAAAAAAAAATGACCTTGACTAGGAATATTCTGTTTTCTTCCACATTAGGAGCCCAAATACCATCATAGTATTACTAATACTCACCAAAGAGGGCATGTGATGGACCCTTGAGGGATTATTTAAAGCCCTAGTAGTCACTGTTTAGAGATCAATGCCATGAAAGGAAACTGGCAGCCTGCTGGGGCAATGATGCTTGTGTTACAGTGCTCTACCCTCTATCTCATTGTGTATACAGTATCTCAATAGCTCCTCCCAACAACCCCACCAGGCAGGTGTATTTCTCCCTATTTTATAGAAGTTTAGAAACATTAAAGAAATGACCAAGATCACACAGCTAGAAAGGGATGGAAACTGATTTTAGCCTGAACTGCAAAGCCCATAGTTTTTCCACTTTACAAGGCCATGGGGCAGAAAAATTCTAGCCAGTTAAATTATATTGGTACACATAATAGAGTTAAAATGGTATTCTAAATTTAAATGTGCATAGTACACATGCAGAATACTTACAAAACAGTGAGAAGACAAATGGGTGGGTGGGTGGATGGATGGATGGATGGATGGATAGATGGGTGGATAGATGGATGGATAGATGGATGGATGAAAAGATGGATGGATAGATAGAGTCAGACACAAAGCCCCTGACTTGAGGGTAGAGAGTTAATCCACTTACATACTCAATGTTTGATGTTCATATGGTAAATCCTGCAAGAATGCTGCTACATAGAGGAAATTCTCTGCTCAAAAGCTGTCAGAATGGCTACAGCAGCTGTCTTAGCAGTTAAAATACAAATAAAAACAAAACAAAAATAAATGAAGCTATAATACATTTGTATGTTAAATAATTCAAAAAGTACAGAGCATATTCAATAAAAGTCAGGTTTTCCTCCTACTTCAAAGACTCAGTCTACTTCTTTAGAGGCAATGGTCACTACTCTTAGAAGCATAGATTTATATCTATACTACACGTGTATCTATGTGTGTTTGTACATGAATATACTTTTTTCTCTGTACAAATGGAAGCATATTATACACTAGTCTGAACCTTGATTTTGCACGACTTTTCAAGTAATGAAGATTTTTCCTGTCATATATATAAATCTGCCTCAATCTTTTGGATAGTTGCATAATAGTCCCTTGAAAAGATGAGTCATGTTTTATTTAAATGGTTTCCTGCTAATAAGACATTGGAAGCATTTCAAGTTTTTTGATACTAAAAATGATATTTTTAATGGAAATAAGTCTTTATGCATACATGCAAATAGTTTTATAGGATAAATTACTAGAAGTAGAATTGCTGAACAAGTGTATGTGCATTTTTCATTTTGATAGCTATTGCCAACTATCCCTCCAAATAGATTTCACTAGATTACACATTTCCACATACCCTTACACACTTTACAAACTATCAAACTTTTAGCTTTGCAAACTACAGGATAAAAATTATATCTATTATTTTTATTTGCATTTATTCAATTATCAGTGCAGCTGAGTATTTTTCATATGTTTATAAGTAATTTGTGTATCTTTTTCTCTGAGCTGTCTGTTCATATCCTTTGCCCAGTTTTGAATTGAATTATTGGCCTTTTTCTTATTGACTTTTGCATTTACACAGTGACATTAGCTCTTGGTTTGTTACATGTTCATGTAAATGTTTTTTCTGGGTTATGATTTCTCTTTAAAAGTTGTCTATAATATTCCTATAGACAACTCAAAATTCCTATAGACAACGAATCAAAATATTTGATTTTTACAGTCAAATTTATCCTTTTTTTCTTTATAATGTCTGGGCATCAGATGATCTTAATTATTCATGAGACTACAATGCCCAGGTGTTGTATCATATTCAGATAAGTTGCTAAACTGTCTCAAGATGCAGAAAAGTTTGCAAAAGTATTCATACAATCTTTATTCTGGAGCACCAATAAGTAATAAATGACACCTTTCTGGATTTTTTTTCTTGAAGCCCGTTGTCAAGATTTTTGAAGTCTCTCAAAAACAGGATAGATGGCTCATGGATGTTCCCTACAGACACTGTGTCATGAATATTTAGGACTCCCCTCCACCGCTATTGAGAAGTTGCCACTTAATGTTTCAAAGAGAGCAAAGAAATAGTTTTGGAAGAAACTGTATGTGTGTCTTAATCTAAAATTAATAACTATATTTCACTATCACTCACTGTAGAATGATATCTAATATTGTTGACATTCTACCACTTTACAAAATTCTTACCTGTTCACTGTATAATTGATCTGCGTGACAAAACTAGCACAACAAAAGATTACCATCTCCATTTTGCTGATATGAAAATTAGGAAAGGCAGTGGCTTGCCCCAGCTTACATAGGTACCAAGTAGCAGAAAGAGGCTAGAAATTAGGTCTTTTGATCGTAGGCCCAAAGTTCCTTTAGTGCTATAGCCTTTCTGGCTCCGCTCACTTACTATTTCTCCCCCTGCTGCTCAGATATGTCAGCAAAGAAGAAAGAGCTCCACAGAACCAAGCTCCTCAGCATGTAACACTGGGGGTTGGTGTTCAACAAGGAACACAGAGCTCTGCTTCTTACCCTGACAGGCCACCTTTCAGGATTGAAGCTCAGGATTGGAATCCAGATTGATGCCATGTGGGCACCAGCTGATTTATGCTCAAGTTGAATGACATTTATGGACAAGAGCCACAGGAAAACTGACAGCAGAGACCTTGCTATTTTATGAAGGAAAATCACGTTTACAGTGCTGACCTACACATGCAAATTTACGGTCTCAACTGATCACAAGCCTCTTTGGGATCTCACTTCATCTGAGGATGAGCTGCCACCCTAAATTATGGCACCAAAGATATAGTTCCAAATCTTCTGTTCAGGTCCTATGACTCTGACCTTGTCTACTTGTCAGGGAGAATAACAATGAAGACAGGCATATCGAGCTATCTACTCAAATCAGCCAGGGTTTCTCTTCCAGCACTACTGATACTTTGAATCACAAAATTATTTGTCTGGGGGGGCGGATGGGCGGGTGAGGGGCTATCCTGTGTACCGTAGAATGTTCAGCAGCATTTAGCAACATTCTTCTACCCACTAGATGCCAGTGGCAACCCCCTTCCTCCAATTATGACAACTCAAAATGTCTCCACACATTGCCAAGTGTCCCCTGGGGAGCAAGGCCATCTCCAACTGAGAACCACAGAAATAGATCTTTAATATATTCTGTCAAATTTTTGAAAAGACCCTTGTCTCTCAGTGATGAAAATGCCTGATTGACTCATAGCTCAAACCGAATGGGAAAGGAATAACTAACAATAAAAGCTACCTGAATTCCCAGCACTTTGGGAGGCCAAGGCAGGCAGATCACGAGGTCAGGAGATAAAGACCAACCTGGGTAACACGGTGAAACCCTGTCTCTACTAAAAATACAAGAAAATTAGCCAGGTGTGGTGGCAGCCGCCTGTAGTCCCAGCTGCTCGGGAGGCTGAGGCAGGAGAATGGCATGAACCTGGGAGGCAAAGCTTGCAGTGAGCCAAGATTGAGCCACTGCACTCCAGCCTGGGCGACAGAGTGAGACTCCGTCTCGAAAACAAAACAAAACAAAACAAAAAACTACCTGAATGTACCAAATAGCAATTGAAGTTTGCAAACAATGACCTTGAGTCATCTGCTTACAGAAGGTGTCTATCTGTCTTTTGGACAAAGGACTTCTGATGAAGAGGATGGAGTGGACCATATTCTTTAATCCATGACGTTATTTGTCCCCATCAAATACAAATATCTAAATGTATTTATATATTTTCATTATCACTAGTCCTCATTCTCATTCCCCTCACTCCCCAGTGGGATCTATCCTACTAATATATATCCTTTTGTCTGTGTCTTTGTATAATGTGTACTATTTTGAATATATCATTCTCATTTAAGTCAATAGAGTTCCGCAATCACTTACTCACAATTCTTAAACTTACACAGCTCTGGACACCAGAAGTTTTCTCTTAAATTCTTAACAGCGAAATCTGACTGAAGCGACAAGGGGTTACTTGGGGTTCTTTAGCCACTCAATGTAACTATTCCTATGTTTTGCTGCGGAACTATTATGCTTGATTATGCGATGCCACCTCTTCCTTTTCTAAATTCCAAGCATTTTGAATTCCAAAAACAAATCTGAGCCCCCCCATTTTTTTCTTTTTCTTTCTTTCCTTTTTCTTTTCTTTTAAGTGAGACAGGGTCTCACTCTGTTGCCCAGGTTAGAGTACAGTGACACAATCATGGCTCACTATAGCCTTGACCTTCCGGGCTCAGGTGATCCTCCCACCTCAGCCTACTTGGTAGGTGGGAGTACAGGCATGTGCCACCATGCCTGACTAATTTTTGTATTTTTTGTGGAGATGGGGAATCCCTATGTTGCCCAGGCTGGTCTCAAACTCCTGGGTTCAAGCAATCCACTTTCCTTGGCTTCCCAAAGTGCTTGGATTACAGGCATGAGCCACTGTGCCCAGCCCCAAAGGGTTTTAATTGTCTACTTATACATTATAGAGAGAGATCTTACTCTGTTTTCCTGTTTTTACTCAGTATTATATTTTTAATACATATCCATGTTACTGCATGTACATCTAGTCTATTACTTCTAACTGCCGTAGAATACTCCATGAAGTGGATCCCTACATTCCACTCACCCACTCCCCCAGTAATGAGCAGCTACATTGCCTCCAGTTCCCCATCACTACAAACAATGACTTAATGAACATCCTCATACATGTTCCTTTGTGGACCTGTATGAGAATCTCCATAGGATATACACCCAGGGTTAACAGCTGGGTCATGGGTGTGAATATACTTAATCTGGTCAAGGAATGCCAGAATACCCTTCAAAACAGCCATGTCAGCCTACTGGCATGGTGTGATATAATAGATCCTGTAGTCCCCCATTTTCCCAACACTTACCAGTATCCAGTGTTCTCAACTTGTCAGTCTAAGAGGTGTAAAGAGATATCTCATTCTTTTTTTCATTTGCATTTTCTGATATAACTGAGCCTCCAGGTATGCTCATTAGTCTTTGGGGTTTCTTCTCGTTAAATTGCTTATTCATGAGCTTTACGCATTTTTTACTAGTGTTTCTGTCTTTTTCTTGCTGACTTACAAGAGTTCCTTGTTTTTAGACATTGAAAATATTGGTTTTAGACACTGAAAAATATCTTCTCTCAATCTGTCAGCTGTCTGTTCATTTGGTTCATGCATAGAGGAAATGTGTAAAACAGAAATCTTCATTTTTATGTAATCCAATTGATAGGTATTTTGCCTTATGGTTTGGAGCTTTAGAAGTTTTAAAAAAGTCCTTCCCACTTATAAGTGACAAAGACAGTCCTCTATATTTTCTTCTACTACTGTAACAATTTTACTTTTCACATTTGGTCTTTAATTCACTTCCAAATGGATTCACCTCTGTTGTTTTAGATTGGAGTCCAGTTTTATTTTTCATCATACGCTGAACATTTTCTCTTTTTAAAAAAATTTTTTGTAGGGAGTTTTTGCTCAGACTGGCCTTGAACTACTGACCTCAAGCAATTCTCCTGCCTTGACCTCCCAAAGTGCTGGGATTACAGGTGTGAGCCATTATGCCCAGCCCATTGAGTATTTTCTACTAAATATTGCATGTTTTCCTCATTGATCAGGGAATCATCTGTATTATCTTATACTTAATACCCAAATATACAAATCTATCTATAATTTCTCTACTCTGTTTCAATGGTCCATATGCCTGATCTGTTGCAAAGATCACTACTTTAATTTCTATGGCTTTAAATTATGTCCATATGTGATAGGGTTAGTCCCCCTTTTCATTATTCCCTTAGCATTTTTACTTAAGGCCAGGAACAGCAGCTCACGCCTGTAATCCCAGCACTTTGGGAGGCCAAGGTGGGTGGATCACTTGAGCCCAGGAGTTTGAGACCAGCCTAGGCAACAAAACTAGACTCCGTCTCTACAAAATACAAAAATAAAAATTAGCTGGACATGATGGTGTTGCCTGTGGTCCAAGCTACTCAGGAGGCTGAAGTGGGAGGATCACTTTAGCCCAGGAGGTCAAGGCTGCAGTGAGCTGTGACTGTGCCACCACTACACTCCAGCCTGGGTGATACAGTAAAACCATGTCTCAAAAAAAATTTTTTTAACTTAGTCATAGATTTTATTACATCTGTATTTTAGAGTAGGCTTATTATTAAGTTTCTGAGAAAATTTATTTGTAGCTTGTATTGGAATTACATTGAGCATGTGAATTAACGAAAAGAGGCTTAAGCTTTCTATATAGAGAAACCTTCCACCCAAGGGTATAGAATTATTTAATTAAATCACACTATATTCTTGACTGAACTTTAAAATTTTTCTCCAAACACTATTCTGTAGTTATCCAAGCTCATGTAATAATCATAATAACTCTATACTGTAGGTACTTTTATTATCATCATTTAACAGATGAGGAAACTGAGCCCAGAGAGATAAATAACTCACCTAAGAACACACAGCAAGTAAGTAGCAGAACCTGGATTAACATAGTTTAGTCCATACTCTTAGCCATTATACTGCCTCTGTATCTACAGTCAGTTACTTTATAGTTTGGCTGCTTCTATGCATGTCATCTTGTTTTTATTACATTTTCTGATGGATTGTTGCAGATACAAAGAAAATCGGCTGATTTTTTTTAAGTTGATATGTGTATTGCATGATGTTGTTAAATTCTCTTCTTAGTTCTAATAGTCTATTAATTTTTTTTCTTTTTGTATATCAACTGTAAAAAGTGACAGTTTTACCTTTTCTTTTCCAATGTTTAAAGCTCTCATTTCTTTTTCTTTCCTTATAGCATTGGCCGAGACCTCCACGACAATGCTACACACTGTGAAGTAGTGATTGTGAGCTAAGACTGTCACTTATAGAAAAATCATGTATTCCTAGAAGAAGGTTTTCATTTCATCTTAGCTAGAGGACATGGAGCACTTCAGGAAACTATTTCACAAAAATGTAAATTAGAAACTGTGTCTGGTAGCCAATAATCCATTTTTAACAGTGGCCCTGTGCTCATCTAAGCAACAGAAATTACTTTTGTATAGGAGATGGCCCTTCCAGGGGAGAAACAGCTCAGTTGTGATACACTTGTCTTCATCCTGACTTTAAGTACATTTAACTCCACACTAAACCCTTGTGGCCACAACACAGCTCTGCACCTGTCATTTGCTCTAGACAAACTGCTAAACGCAATTGTTTCTGACAATGGATTACTCTGTATCCCGTGGGGGAATTCTCAGACAGCAGCATTAGAAGGGGCCTTAGAGATCAACCATTTCTCTTATTTTACACACACCTAAAACTCCCTACAGCCGTGCTTCATCAGCTTCGAGCAGATGAGCCACCCAGAAGGCAGCTCCAGTTATTAGGTCCTAGGGCCTGGGTGTAGTCAGGCCCTTTGGAAGCTCCAAGTCAGAGATCAAACACATCCTCCCCACTACCCACGCCTAGGGTGACTAATGCCTGTGGGAAAAACAACTGAACTAAAAAGTCCCACAGGAACCTCAAACCCAGCACATCCAAAATGGAACTTCTCACCATCTCCTCCAAACTCAGTCCTCTTATACAGTAATCCCTGTAAAGCTAGAACAATCTCCATTCCCCATTCTCAGGGCCTTCCTCTCCCGCTCACCTGAGGAGCTACCAAGCCTTGGCCCACAAGCCCTCTGAGAGTCCCTCCTGCCCACCCTGTGTTCTCCATACTGAATAAGGACTTGGCCACACCTTGTCAACTCTTCCCTCTGCTCTACTCCTGACCCCTGGATCCATCCTTCATGCTGTGGCTGAAGGGATCCCCCCATCATGCAAATTCTGCCACATCTCCCGCCTAAAACCCAGGAAGACTCCCCACTACTCTCAGCACAGAAAGTACACTCCTTAGTATGGCATCCCCTGCCCTCATGGCATGGCCCCATCCAGCCCTCCAGCCTCACACCCTGCAAGGACACCTAGACCCCCACCTCCCTCAACCCTTCATGACTGCGCTTCTGATCCCTGTTTCCCCTGGCTAGACCCTGCGTGCCCTCCCGCTGGAAGCGGTCTAATGCCTGCTTGTTTTTAACACTCAGGTTGGGGCCCCTGCCTGCTCCCGGGAGCCTTTGCTGACTCCTGGACCCCGTTGCTCCGGCTGAGCGTGGGCTCTTTCTCTAGGTCTTTCCTCCCAGGACTCTGTGTATTCATCCTATCGTTAAACTGGATTCTCTACAAGAGTAATAATTGCAGAGTCAGCCAGCTCTCATCCCTTTTCAGGTTTCAGAAAAGACCTGTGAACAAAACGCCTTGAGTCTGATTTAGTGTGGCAATGCCCCAAGGGTCCTGTTCTCCCTGGGTGTCCTGCACCTGGTGCAACGTCGGCCTGGCATCTAGTGAGCCATCTAAAGGAACGATGATGAGTGAATGATTTGCCTACCCCTTCCAGTACTAGGCTGGAGGTCGTGGTTAGGGCCCATCCCTACGCAGGACATGCAAAGTGGGAGGCACTCCTCTCTCTACGTCGGCAGGGGGCGCTGCACAGCTGCGGGGCGGGGTAGCTTAGACACGGGGCGTCCGGCTAAGGCCGGGGACCCAGGGTGGTGGGCGGGGTGTCCCGCCCGCCTGTGGACCCCGCGCAGTAACTGCGAACATTTCGCTTTCATTTTGGGCCGAGCTGGAGGCGGCGGGGCCGTCCCGGAACGGCTGCGGCCGGGCACCCCGGGAGTTAATCCGAAAGCGCCGCAAGCCCCGCGGGCCGGCCGCACCGCACGTGTCACCGAGAAGCTGATGTAGAGAGAGACACAGAAGGAGACAGAAAGCAAGAGACCAGAGTCCCGGGAAAGTCCTGCCGCGCCTCGGGACAATTATAAAAATGTGGCCCCCTGGGTCAGCCTCCCAGCCACCGCCCTCACCTGCCGCGGCCACAGGTCTGCATCCAGCGGCTCGCCCTGTGTCCCTGCAGTGCCGGCTCAGCATGTGTCCAGCGCGCAGTGAGTACTCAGCCCGCCAGGTCTTTGGCTCGCTCGGGTGCGGAGGGGCGGCTGCTTGGGAAGAGTGGGTAGAAACTCAAGTCTGCCTAAGGAGAGACTGGAACAGCAGCAGCCGTCTCCTGCAAAGAGGAATAAGAATAGGGGTCTCACCGTGTGCTAAATAGGGCATGTCTCTTTTCATCTCGAAACAGCCTGATGAGCTATCATTATGCCCACTTCGTAGAGGAGAAACTGAGGCCCAGCGTGGGAGATTTCCTGCTTTCCTGCCTAGGGTCCCTCAGCTACAAACAGAAGGCAGATCCTAGCCAGTTCTAAAGTCAGGCTTGGCCGGGTGCAATGGCTCACGCCTGTAATCCCAGCACTTTGGGAGGCCAAGGCGGACAGATCTCCTGAGGTCAGGAGTTCAAGACCAGCCTGACCAACATGGTGAAACCCCGTCTCTACTAACAAATACACAAATTAGCCGAGTGTGGTGGTGGGTGCCTGTAATCCCATCTACTCGGGAGTCTAAGGCAGGGAAAATTGCTTGAACTCGGAGGTGGAGGTTGCAGTGAGCCAAAATCGTGCCACTGCACTCCAGTCTGGGCCACAGAGTGAGACTCCGTCTTAAAAAAACAAAAAAAGTCAGGCTTTCTCACTCCACTGTTTTTAAAACACTGGGTCCCAAGTCTGACTCAGCCACTTCACCACCTGGTCTGGGTTTCCCTGATCAAAAACATGTAGGCTTTCTCTGGGTGAGTGTTGGGTTCAACACCCTTGTCCAAGCTCATCTCTAGACCCTCACAGGGAGCTGGCTTCTAGCCCTAGAATAGAGTGGCGCTTTGTAATAACTCGAGTCATCTCTCAGGTGTTGAAGGAAAAGTGTTGGAAATGGGTTGAGGGAGGTGGGTGCCAAGCATGAATGGATGGGTGAAGGTGGCCAGAATGGAGGGAAGGTGGTGCAGGCAGGCCATCCAGGCTGAAGCTCCTCCACCTGCTCCTCTTCCTTCCAGGCCTCCTCCTTGTGGCTACCCTGGTCCTCCTGGACCACCTCAGTTTGGCCAGAAACCTCCCCGTGGCCACTCCAGACCCAGGAATGTTCCCATGCCTTCACCACTCCCAAAACCTGCTGAGGGCCGTCAGCAACATGCTCCAGAAGGTGAGCCTTTCCTGTCCTCTCCACTGTGGACCTGCACCCTCCCTGAGGAAGGGGCCTCTGATCCTCCCCTCTGGTACCTGATGGAACTGCAGAGAAATTGTGGAAGTTCATTAGCAGCTGTCAACAGCAGGAGAGGGAACTTTACAAATGGCCCAAGTGTTAAAGAGTCCTAGTGAAATTGTGTCTCCAGAGAAAGCAAGAGTAGTAATAAATTATAATGATGTTGGTTTTGGCTATGTCTACACTGAGTAAAGTGGATATTTGCAGTGTTCCTGTAGCCTGCCAACAGAGATAGAATTGTGTCAGGTCCACATGGTTTCTCTGGCACCACACCACTGATCAATCCCGGAAATAGTTACTTGGGTGCATACTCTGTGTTGGGGGGCAGGGGTACAAAGATGAAATAGCCTTGTCCCTCCTGCTGCCCACCAGCTTCTACTTGGTGACACAGTTCCTTCTTGGAGCAACACATCTCAGGGAGGACTATGACAGTGCACATGCAGCCTTCATTTTCTAGGGAAGAGTTACCTAATTTTATTTACAGCTTCGTTCTTTTAGGTTTCATATTTTAATGTAAAAAACATTGCCGTTAAAAACTGCTCCAGTAGCTACTGCTGCAAAGGCTAAAGGCTAATGTTTTAAAAGATGTCCTCTGCCTTTCTGCTCTCTAGGAATTTTTTCTTGAGTATTTTCTAGCTTGTTGCCTTAGGAATATCTTAAAATAAGCTCAATGCCACCAAGCCTTCTTAAAGGGCTCCTTTCCCCTTTCAATCTTTCATAATGTGCTGTGCATTGCTCCTCACAATTCAATTAATCTTAATTGGACAGGGGGCTCAAGTGAAAACTGCTTTGTTTCCCGAAGAAAGGTTCAAAATGGGTAACTTTTAGGTGCTCCAATTCATATAGATTTTTTTGTGCAAAAGCTGACACCCCTACTCCCAGATATAGTCCTAAGGGTCAAAAGATTATAGAAATCAATTTAATGTTTTGTACATCATTTGTCAAATTTGCTGTAGTAGAAAACAAATGAGGTAGATGCAAGTGATTCACCGGCCATATCCAGGGCACAGGTTTGTAGAATTTGGGCTATATGTTTATTTTTTAGTTTGATGCCATTCAAAAACCAAACATTTCAATTAAGATTTCAAAATTCTAGCTTCTCTTGAAAAGATCTGAAGAACAACACTGGACTCACACCTCCAAATCTAACTCTTTATAACCTGCTCAGAATAGTGGGGTTGCCCAGGTCTGTTTAAACACCTCCGGGAATAGTGTATTCATTTCCTACTGCTGCTGTCACAAATGTAGTGGGTTTAAATGACACAAATTTATTATCTTACAGCTCTGGGCATCAGAAGTCCAAAATGGGTCCTACTGGGCTAAAGTCAATGTGTCAGCAGAGCTGTAGCCCTTTCTGGAGGCTCTTGGGGAGAATCTGTTGCCTTGCTTTGTCAGGTCTAGAGGCTGCCCACATTCCTTGACTTGTGGCCCCTTCCATTGTCCATACCAGCAATGTCTGGTTGAGTCTTTCTCATGCTGCTCCCTCTGGACTGACCTTCTACCCGCTTCTACTTTTGAGGACACTGCTTACACTGGATTCACCCAGATAATCCAGGATCATCTCTCTACTCTTAGATCAGCTGATTAGCAAATTGAATGTCATCTGCACCTTCATTCCTCTTTGGCAGGTCACATAGCTCATTACCGGGTTCCAGGGATTGGGAGGTGGATGTCTTTGGAGGTGGAGAATTGGTCTAGCTACCACAGAAAGGGATTTTACTACTTGTGCCCAAACGTATTCTGAATTTTCAGGCCTTGCTTCTTGGCTCATGCTGTTACCTCTGTCTGAAATTTCCCTCCTCCATTGTCGACACTTTACTCCTCTTAATGTGGGTGTCCCAACTCTAGGAAGCTTTGCTTCCCTTCCTGCCCCTCCTCAGAAGCTTCATGCCCTTCTCACCATGTCTCACCTACTGATGCCTCCTGGTCATTTGGGCAATTGTCTGTCTCAGCAGCTAAACTTGCAATCCAGGAGGGTATACATGGTCCTCTTCTCTGTCATGTTCTTAGTACCTAATGGAGTGCCTGCCACCCATTAGGCTGTTGAATGGAAAAATGATCGTAATCTTCAATCATACAGTCCTTTACTTCCTAAGATACATTTCATAATTTTACCCAACGGTGCTTTCCAACACACTAAGATGACATCTCTGTGTATGTGTGTGCGTGTGTGCACTGCAAATTAAATCTCAGCTTGTCTTAAGGGTTTGCATGTTTGTTATATCCATCAGACTGTGACCTTAACAGTTCCCCCTTTAGAAGTTATACTTGAAATAGGTATTCATAGAATACAGTCACTTTAGCAAAAGAAGAAACAATTTTCACCAGAAGCAAGTGTCACAGTGAGGTGTGGAGGCTGGTTAGCACAGGCTGTTGACATGATTTATTGTGTTTACATAATGAAAAAATATGTAATCCAGAGAAACATGCCCCAAGCTTAGGGAGAGGAGGGTGAGAGACAGAATGTAAGGAATCTATTTTCTTTTGTATTATGAAGAACCAGAATTTCCTGCAAGTCAAAGTGACAGAGGTCAAGGGCAGCCAGCCGGAGCCTTCCTGGCACCCTGGCTTACCAGCCTTGTGGGGTGCCAGGTGCATTATCAATGTTATAAACTGAGTTTCTCCTTCATTTTTTATAGGCCAGACAAACTCTAGAATTTTACCCTTGCACTTCTGAAGAGATTGATCATGAAGATATCACAAAAGATAAAACCAGCACAGTGGAGGCCTGTTTACCATTGGAATTAACCAAGGTATAAAGGATTTTCCTCCCAGAGCATGCAGTGTGGTTAAAAACTGTGCATCAAATCTCACCTGCTTCTAAAAATTCACGTTTCTGGTATCCATCATTATGGGATTTTAACTGGTCCTACTTCAGAAGTTAGATTTGGGAGAAAAATTATTTTTAAAAAATGGTTTTTTTTGCAACAATGTGAATACACTTAACACTTAAAAATAGTTCAGATGCTAAATATTATGATATGTGTTTTTACCATAATAAAAAAAATTTGAGACCTGAAGAGTCAGAAAGATTTATACTAAGAATTAATACTTTGATATATGATTTTTTCCCTCTAGAATGAGAGTTGCCTAAATTCCAGAGAGACCTCTTTCATAACTGTAAGTCAAAAAATGAAAAGTTTCAGCCTGTATGATGAATTCATATCACTGATGTCTGATTATTTTTTCCTCTAGAATGGGAGTTGCCTGGCCTCCAGAAAGACCTCTTTTATGATGGTAAGACACACAGCTCTTTCCTCAAATGCAATGGGGGAAATGTTTTTAGCCCATCTCAATGGATACTTCCCCATCTTGTCATGTCACCCAGGCCCTGTGCCTTAGTAGTATTTATGAAGACTTGAAGATGTACCAGGTGGAGTTCAAGACCATGAATGCAAAGCTTCTGATGGATCCTAAGAGGCAGATCTTTCTAGATCAAAACATGCTGGCAGTTATTGATGAGCTGATGCAGGTAAGACTTCATTCTATCAGTGAGAGCACCTTTTTCATGCTAAAGATAACCAGCCAGGGTCTTTGATAAAGAGATATAAAAAGAGGTCTGGAGGCCTTTTAAAGGCCTGACAGACCTACATTTTCAAGAAGACAGCCTTGAGGGTGCCGTCTATAGGGAGCACAAATGTGAGCAGATCACATTATGAAAAGCAGACTCCAAAGTATTCACTCTGTGGTATCCCCCACACTCGGCAAATGTTTTTGTGCATTTTCTTATGTCAGCCTCAAAACAACCATATGGGATCTGCACAAAGGAGGGAACCAAACCTTAGGAGAGTTAAACCACTTGTCTGAGGCTCTGCCTCTTAAAATCCTTCAAGAGGATTTCACTACACTTACCTTCTCACTCACCTCTAAAGGCTCCAGGACGTGCTCCAGGATGTGCATGCAAGGGGCCAGTTTGCATATCTGCAAATATTGCTGGGAAACAAGCAAGATTGGTGCCTGATTATGACCCATTGTGAACCAAAATGTGAACCAAATAAAAGAATGACCTATCATCTGGGGCATCTATAATGTTATTCATAGGCAAGAACTTGCTTTGTTATGTTCTGAATCACCATAACACAGATGCTAATATAAAACAAATATTTATATAAGCGAGGGTGACTGCTTTGGTGACGAGGACATGGGATAAAAATATGGTGGCAGAAATCATTGTCTGAAAAGTAATTGTTTTACTTTTATTCTTTTCGTGTGTGTGTGTGTGTGTGTGTGTGTGTGTGTGTGTGTGCATGTGCCAGATTTCTTGTTTGAAAGGCAATGAGCTTCATCCAAGTATCAAAGAATGTTAGCATCTAGAGAGCTGTAGTTGCTATTTCATTTTTAGGACCAAGAGTTGGGTGATTTGGGTGCTAGAATCAATTCTACCAGTAACCAGACAACTATTCCCAAGTCACTTAACCCCTCTGTGCCTCAGTTTCCTCCAGTATAAAATGGGGTGACTTTATTCTAGCTTTCTTTTAGACTTTTTGTGAGGAAGATATGAAAGTATTTATTCATCAAGGGTGCAAATGTAAGGTTTTATATTCTGTTATCAAATCAAAGTGCTAAACTTGGGAAATTCATTGCCAGGTTTATCTGACACAAATGGCATGTCTTCAGTAAACAGGCCTGTTACTGATAGTGAGTTCTGATCAATAGCAATCCATCACCTCCCTGTGCTAAACAGAAGTGGGCTTTTTAATGTAACATATATAAAATTAATTAGATATTGCAGCAGATGTCATTTTAAAGGAACTGTTTCTTTCTAAGACACAACTCCCACTGATGATTTTTTCTAAATAGTTTTAAGGGTCTTTTCAGAGCTCATTGAAGATGGATGTGCTTGGAAAATGAGTATTTCTTTTCTCATTCTGCCTGGTGATCTGGCTGAGAGTAGATTTGGATTGGGTTTAGGAGTGGCATAAGGGACTGAGTTGCAGGCTCTGAGACATGTACTGGCTTCACTCATTTTTATGAATGAATATTTGAATTTTGGAATACCATGTAAGTCATGCTTACTGTTCATTCTCCTAGGCCCTGAATTTCAACAGTGAGACTGTGCCACAAAAATCCTCCCTTGAAGAACCGGATTTTTATAAAACTAAAATCAAGCTCTGCATACTTCTTCATGCTTTCAGAATTCGGGCAGTGACTATTGATAGAGTGATGAGCTATCTGAATGCTTCCTAAAAAGCGAGGTCCCTCCAAACCGTTGTCATTTTTATAAAACTTTGAAATGAGGAAACTTTGATAGGATGTGGATTAAGAACTAGGGAGGGGGAAAGAAGGATGGGACTATTACATCCACATGATACCTCTGATCAAGTATTTTTGACATTTACTGTGGATAAATTGTTTTTAAGTTTTCATGAATGAATTGCTAAGAAGGGAAAATATCCATCCTGAAGGTGTTTTTCATTCACTTTAATAGAAGGGCAAATATTTATAAGCTATTTCTGTACCAAAGTGTTTGTGGAAACAAACATGTAAGCATAACTTATTTTAAAATATTTATTTATATAACTTGGTAATCATGAAAGCATCTGAGCTAACTTATATTTATTTATGTTATATTTATTAAATTATTTATCAAGTGTATTTGAAAAATATTTTTAAGTGTTCTAAAAATAAAAGTATTGAATTAAAGTGATTCTGCAATTTTTCTAATGTACTTTTAAGTGTTAAAATATACATTGTGGGAAAATTGAAAACTCTGATGAGACTTCAACAAAATTACTCTGGAAAGAATGCCACAATATTCTTATTCCTTTCCTAGTCCCTTTCATCTCATTTTAAAGGGACCCTAGTAAGACAAGATATGCTTTACTACTAAGGCAGCCAAGTGAGTCATGGTTTTTGAGGGTTTATTATTTTTGTTCAACATAAGACTAAAAGTATGCTGTGCATTAGAAAAATACTTCATAGTATTCTTCAACCAGAAAAAAAATGTCACTAAGAGGCCTTCTAGCCTAATTATTCTAATTTTTGTGACCCTTTGGGCTCTGAGAGAAAAGTTGTCTCTAATTTGCAACCAGAAAATCTCTCCATTTGTTTAAAACTGTATAGAACTTTTGCCTGAACCACATGGATAATTGCCTTACTTTGGCTTAAGAGATGTGCTCTTAATGAGCTAAATGTTAAATTCCATCTTTTTAATTCTCTAAACCAGGAGTCCCCGATCCCCAGGCCATGGAGTGGTACTGGTCTGTGGCCTGTTGGGCAGTGGGCCCCACAGCAGTAGGTGAGTGGCAGGTGAGCAAGTATTACCACCTGAGCTCCGCCTCCTGTCAGATCAGTGGCAGCATTAGATTCTCATAGGAGTGTGAACCCTATTGTGAACTACACATGCAAGGGATCTAGGCTGCATGCTCCTTATAAGAATCTAAGTAATGCCTGATAATACGAGGTGGAACAGTTTCATCCCGAAACTATCTTTGCCCCCTGCCCCCCGGGTCTGTGGAAAAATTGTCTTCCACAAAACCAGCCCCTGCTGCCCAAAAGGTTGCGGACCACTGCTGTAAATCATGTAAATCTTAGGTTTCATGACTTAGTTCATTTTGTACTGCTGTAACAGAATATCTGAGACTGGGCCATTTGTAAAGAACAGTGATTTATTTTTTTACTGCTCTGGAGGTTGGGAAGTTCGAGAACAAGGGGCCAACATCTGATGATGGCCTTTGTGCCCCATCATCATATGGCGGAAGGTGAGAGAGAGAGCAAGGGGGTGCTGAACGTGTCCCTTTATAAGGAATCCACTCCCATGATAACAGCATTAATCCATTCATGAGGGCAGAGTCCTCATTGCCTAATCACCTCGTAAAGGTCCCACATCTTTATACTGTTACAATGGCAATTAAACCTCAACGTGAGGCTGGGTGCAGTGGCTCACTCCTCTAATCCCAGCACTTTGGGAGGCCGAGGTGGGTGGATCACCTGATGTCGGGAGTTTGAGACCAGCCTAGCCAACATAGTGAAACCCCATCTCTATTAAAAATACAAAAATTAGCCAGGTGTGGTGACGAACATCTGTAATCCCAGCTACTCGGGAGGCTGAGGCAGGAGAATCTCTTGAACCCGGGAGGCAGAGCTTGTAGTGAGCCAAGATCGCACCACTGCACTCCAGCCTGGGCAACAGAGCGAGACTCCGTCTCAAAAAAAAAAAAAAAAATTCAATGTGAGTTTGGGAGGGGGACACACCACATTCAAACCATAGCAATTCACCTGACACAATACAATTTAATGTTAAGGCTTTGATAATCCATTCCTCCTTAATAGAAAAAGGACCTAAAATACAAAATATTTTGAGTGACCCCTTTCCTCAGTTACTCCTCCCAACTGAATCCCAATCTTTCTCCCTGTAAATGTGTTATCTCCTTCCCAGGTCCTCCTGCATGGCAAACATTCTCGTTTTTCAAATTCTTGCCCTATTAGACATTCAATAAAATAGAAACCATCAGAAGCTAGATCCCATCACCTATCTCCTTCTCTTGAGTGATTCTTCCACAATCTTGAATGGTCCACAAGTGCTTCACAGACATGGGTTTCTTTCAAGTGTCGAGTCTGGGGTCTCAGCAGCTTTGACAGTGAGGAGAGACGAACGGGGCTGTAGAGTTGCAGCCACCCCTCACTTGGAATGGTGACTACTGGTTGTCTGGGCCCAGAGATCAGGAGGGACAAGCAGACGGTCTCTTCCATGGACTGGGTTTACACACAAGAACACGTGTGTTTCTTCTGTTCTAGAAATTAGCATGGGATATGCTTCAAAAACATGACTGGCCACAGAAACAGCTTCATGGTTCATTCCATTCTTTATTGCATGGTTAGTTTTTCACTTTTTTTAAGCCTGTGTCTGCAGTTTACAAGTAGTGTAGTATGCTTGCAACCAAATCATTCCAATGCTCCCCATTGGTCTCCTCTTCTGAAAAAGGAAGGTAATACTAGAATCTACCTAAAAGGATCAGAGAAAGGGTAAAATGGAACAACTCGTGCAAAGGGCTAGCGTTGCACCTGGCACATAGTAAGTGCACAATAAATGTAAGCACATTTTGAAATGTATTATTAGTCTTTGGGCTAAGCACCTGCACCGAATTTGTTACCTCCTCTTTGCTGCTATTTCCTCATTGATGAAATTCAGAAAACGGTGGGACCTAATTAACTGTGTTATTGTGAAGATTAAATGACACAATACAGTGCCAGCACCTAGTTATTACTCAACATAAATTTGTCACAGTTCTCACAAGACATCAGAACACCCGCTGATGTGCTGTCCCCCATGGCACTCAGCATATTAAGTGTGGTCGGCACAAGCGGCTGCCTGGTGTGAAGTATGAGGGCAAAAGGCAGGGTCTCTGCCTTCCAAGAACAAAGGGTGGAGAGCAAAGTAACTTTTTTTTTTTTTGAGACGGAGTTTCACTTGTCACCCAAGCTAGAGTGCAGTGGCGCGATTCGGCTCACTGCAACCTCCACCCTCCAGGTTCAAGCGATTCTCCTGCCTCCGCCTCCTGAGTAGCTGGGATTACACGTGTCCACCACCATACCTAGATAATTTTTGTATTTTTAGAGACAGGGTTTCACCATGCTGGCTAAGCTGGTCTCAAACTCCTAGCCTCAGGTGATCCACCCACCTCGGCCTCTCAAAGTGCTGGGATTGCAGGCATGAGCCACTGAGCCAGGCCAGGAGCAAAGTAACTTATCAAAACCAAGGACCATCCCCCTAAAAATACCCCCCAGTCAATTGGAGATTCGTTTGATTAACAAACTACTTTATTCAAAAGAAACTAAACCTTGAAAGTGTATCTCACACCTAAGAATGACTAAATCAGAGAATTAACATGAAAAATATTTAGTTGTCAGCTGCCCCATTAAAGGTCCAGGACTTTGGGAAGACAGAACAGTTCTAGGACATGGTCTGGCCAGACATCCAAAGGTAAGTATTGAAAAACTCAAGAGATGTAAAAGACCCTTAGACACCCAAAGGAGGATAAGAAACTACAGACAAAAAGAAAAGAACACCAGCTTTGTTGGGGGCCAGCACCCACAGCCATCATAAGTCCTCTTCTCTGTGTCACACTGGGCCATTCAGTTATTATCCTTATTTGAGGACTAAACATTTTGGGCCGGGCGCGGTGGCTCACACCTGTAATCCTAGCACTTTGGGAGGCCAAAGCGGGCGGATCACAAGGTCAAGAGATCAAGACTATCCTGGCCAACATAGTGAAACCCTGTCTCTACTAAAAATACAAAAATTAGTTGGGCATGGTGGTGTGTGCCTGTAGTCCCAGCTACTCAGGAGGCTGAGGCAGGAGAATTGCTTGAACCCAGGAGGCGGAGGTTGCAGTGAGCCGATATCGCACCACTGCACTCCAGCCTGGCAACAGAGCGAGATTCCATCTAAAAAAAAAAATTAAAAATTAAAAAATACTTTTGGTTCTGGCTAGCATAATTTGGCTTCCTAGTTTAAAGCAAACTGCATTACAATATGATAAGTAAGAAAAAAATATGGCCGCATTGTCCAAAAATTGAATTCTATGTACTTGAAATATTTTATTTAAAAAAGTGAAATAGGATGCGTATAAATGTTTTGAAATATATGTGGTGAGAACAGGCACAAAAACTTTAGTTATATTTATGTATCTTTCAATTTTACATTAAAAATATGAGTATGAATTAGATCTATGTAATATCAAAAACAGTATATTAATGGAATCTGTTTTAGACAAAAAAAAAGTAGTAGCAACTGCTCAGTTGTGCTTCCTAAATGCCAGGCATGTTCCTAAGAGTTTACCACAAATAAACATAACCATCCTAATAACCCTTTTTATGGATGTGGAAAGTGAAGAAAATTATTGAAGTTGACCAGGTGCGGTGACTCATGCCTGTAATCCCAGCATTTTGGAAGGCCGAGATGAAGGATTGCTTGAGCCCAGGAGTTCAAGACCAGCCTGGGCAACATGGCAAAATCCCCATCTCTACAAAAAATAAAAATAATAAATAATAAGATTATGTAAGCTCACATAATTAACATTTTAAGTGGCCTGGTCTCAGCCTGTGCCAGCAGCTATGCTCATGTTGAAGTCACTGTCTAAGTCAAGGGAATGCTTTCCCTATAACCATATAAATATCATCCCAATTATTTATGTATCTCCCTTCTCTCTCTTGCTAAACTGTGGGAACCTCAGATATAGGCAATGTAGTATTACCCACGTATTTGTGTTCCCAGCCCCAGGAACTTAAAAATGATACAGAAACAAAGGGAATCTTCATGAGCCCCCACAATTCTCATGTCTTTTCCTAATCTAGATAGAAATAAAGAAGTCTCAGCCAGGTGTGGTGGCTCATGCCTGTAATCCCAGCACTTTGGGGGGCCGAGGTGGGCGGACCACCTGAGGTCAGGAGTTCGAGACCAGCCTGGCCAACATGGTGAAACCCTGTCTCTACTAAAACTACAAAAATTAGCCAGGTGTGGTGGTGTGCGCCTGTAGTCCCAGCTACTCAGCAGGCTGAGGCAGGGAATTGCTTGAACCCAGGAGGCAGAGGTTGCAGTGAGCTGAGATCGTGCCACTGCACTCCAGCCTGGGTGACAGAGCAAGACTCCGTCTCAAAAAATACATAAATAAAAATAAAATTTAAAAAATAAGTCTCTAGTCTTTGAAAGAAACTTATTCACAATTATAAAAATAAAGAGTTAAAAAATTGAAAATGCATATGCTTACTTAGTTCAAAATAATTATACATGTTCATAATGGGGAAAAATCCAAATTCATAAACGTTTTGATTTAGTTAACATAATTTAAATACCTGTGGTCTGAGTATATGTCTATGCTTCAGAAACAACGTGCCAATAAATATTCCACACCTAGGGGTGGGAAAGTGTTTTACTTCCCATTAGGTTGCAGATGTCTTAGAAACACATTCCTGCACCACAGCTTCAAGAAATCCAAATAATGACCTGATCTGCTGGTTTCCAAGCTACCCTACCAGGAGCAAGTCAGAGGCCCTGCAGGGCTCCTCGGTAAGCCCTCGAAATCCCTCTCCCCTCAATGACCCCACCACAGCAGCTCCACTTTTGAATATTTTACCAGTGCGTGTTCCAGGTAAGATTTCCTTTCACAAAAGGTTTTCGTGGGTAAGGAAAAATGAAAACTTGCTGAATTACTCTAAGCCCCTCTCTCCAGTTGTTTTTATAATGGAACCACCTGTTGATTTCCAGGCTTGCTCGAAAAGAAAACACTGCTATAAATGCATAGAGCGTCTTCCCTTCTGAAAAGGAAACTTGTGCTAGAGGTTACAGAAAACAGCAAGAATGGGATTGCAAAGAATAAAGGTGGCTGACTAACTCTAGACTTCCTAACTGAGGACTTACATCAGGACCAGAACAAATTAGGTCTAAATCTACAGTGGGCTCCAGGGTGGAAATGGAGGTCTCACTTAAGAAGCAGGAGAAATCTCAAAACTCAGAGCCTAGAATTTAACCCCAGGGCCTCCGTGTTAGCATCAGCGGCTGCAGAGCCAGGATCAGGACTTCTCAAATCCTGACATATAGACAGGGAGGCTGAGAACACCTGTCAACCAAAAACACATGATTCCAGCAGTGAATCCCTGGGATCAAGCTCTTCAGCAAGCAGTGTGCTGGTTCACCCTAAGAAGGACTTCCAGAAAACGGGTAGTGGCCTAGGCTGACTGCTGGAAACCACGATTCTCATGGGAACAAATTAAAAATTCAGCAACTGCTGTGTTCTCTTTAGAGAATGGAGTGAAGCGTGCTTTCTCATGAAAAAGCAGCGGGAGGAAACTTTTCCCCGAAAGGAATACAGCAAAAGGACCAAATGAGAGTCATTATGTGCAGAAAAATCCCTTGTCAAGAGAAATGCACAAATGAGGAAGTATTAGGAATCTGCCTGGTTTTAAATAAAAACACACCTTCCCATCCTTGGAAGGGAGAAAACCATAATTATTCCTGTGGCAAAAGGGCTGTGGGGACAATGCAGGTTGTCCTGAACCTGTGTGAACACCTGGTGAACTAGTTTACCCTGTCTGGCACTCACTCAGCCTTGGCCCAGGAGCCAAAGAGCTGGGATCAAAACCAACTATTGCCAAAGAGCCAAAGGAAAGACAACCAAGGAATAGGATGCTTTAAAACAGGACCTGTAAGTAAATAATACAAAGAAGAGCAGTGTCAAAAAGCAGACTTCCTTTTCTTCTCATCATCCATGATTTATGAATTTATGGATCAAATAATGTAAAATATATCCAGAATATTAATCACCCACCACACTCATGATGCTGAAGTAGTGACAATATCTACACAGACCAAAAAAAAAAAAAAAAAACATTTCACCAATTAGCAGCAGCCAATGAGGCCCATTATTTCCTGAGGCAAGTCTTTTTCAAGAAAAGAAGACAGCTTTCCCTTGGTTCTGTGAAAGCTATCTCTGAGTAGCATTCTTCCCCATGAAAAGTAAATAATTCCACCGTGAAAGTCCAAGAAAAGTAGTGTTTGGCCAGTTGTACTTCTCCAGGGGATGAGGAGCTCACCTTTGAGCTTGCATCCCAAATTGCTAGGTGGGAGAGAATTGCATTTGTTTCTAATCTCTTGAGGCTTCAGCACCCCAAGACTAGAGAGTAGAAAACCTCAGTGGTCCTCCAGGCAAAGTGGGCCCGAGGGTTCAGAACGCTCGCTCACCATGTCTGAAAAGCATGCAGAGAGATCATAGTACTTTGACTTCTGATATAACCTTCTGGGGTGTTTATGTACTTATTTTTTTTGAGACGGAGCCTCGCTCTGTCATCAGGCTGGAGTGTGGTGGCGTGATATCGGCTCACTGCAACTTCTGACTCCCTGGTTCAAGCGATTCTCCTGCCTCAGCCTCCTGAGTAGCTGGGGTTACAGGCACATGCCACCATGCCCAGCTAATTTTTGTACTTTTAGTAGAGACGGGGTTTCACCATGTTGGCCAGGATGGTCTTGATCTCCTGACCTCGTGGTCTGCCTGCCTCGGCCTTCCAAAGTGCTGGGATTACAGGCATGAGCCACCGCGCCCGGCCAGGAATAAAAAAATCTAAATAGAATTTTAAATAAAACCTCTCTCTGAATTACTGAGGATTCTTAGAAAAAAAAAACACTATATTCGTTGTAGTAACAACATATAATAATCAAAGTCTTGAATTGATTTGAGCTCAGTTATGACAATGTGCTACATCCATCCACACACATACAAAATTAGAAGTGCTTGAAAACCAAGACAAGGAACCCTGTGGTTTTCTGGATCAACACCAGGAACGATCCCCTCCAGCCCTCCCTGGGCTCTGCTTTCTCCCTTGCCCTCTTTGCTGGTTGAATATTGCTGGCGCCACCCAGTGGCCCCCATGACCCCTGCTTCAGTGCCACAGAAGGCCCAGAAGGCTCAATGCTACCAGCCCTGCCTTAAGTACCAGGGTGACATGACTGCTCCCTTACTGAGCCAGACCACCTGCCTGGATCTTGACATGCATGGTCTCCTTTCATTCTCACCACAGCCCAGGACATAGGAGGGTCTGAACCCATTTCACAGATGGGAACAGAGAGGCTTCAAGTTAGGTTGAGATTTTACTTACAGTCCCAAAGCTAGGGCAGCACTGGGGCTGGGCTTCCAACCCTTCCTCTGACTCAGCTGCACACACCATCCTTACTAAGAGGACAGCAGCCCCTTGCTTGCTTTTGCATTTGCATAACTCTCTGAACCCAAGCTTATAAATAACCAAGCCACATGTTCTATAGCTATTCCCAAAGACACAGCTTGATTCCAGACAAATAACTAAGATATAATTTTCTGCTCACCTTCCAACACATCTTGGACTTCAAGAGAGATGATGTCTTTCAAGCACTTACATAAATTCTGGGCTGTGGCAAGGCTCTGATCCTTTTCTTGCCACTTCTTCAGCATCCTAAACTTGCAGATGGTAACATCTTCTGCCCTCTTCCAGATATCATCAGTTTTGATAACTCCAACTCCAGATTGGCAGTGGCAGGTTTTGTTTTGTTTTGTTTTGTTTTGTTTTGTTTTGTTTGCAATGGCACAATCTCAGCTCACTACAACCTCCGCCTCCCGGGTTCAAGCGATTCTCCTAACTCAACCTCCCAAATAGCTAGGATTACAGGCGCCTGCCACCATGCCCAGCTAATTTTTGTATTTTTAGTAGAGACAGGGTTTTGCCATATTGGCCAGGCTGGCCTCGAACTCCTGACCTCATGATCCGCCCGCCTTGGCCTCCCAAAATGCTGGGATTACAGGAGTGAGCCACCGCACCCAGCTGGCAGTGGCAGTTTTTATCCACTCTTTCCTCAAGTCGCCAGCAAGGGTAATCAAAAAACTGAGTAACTGTTAAGGGGGTTTCGTCTTTGCTTCATCTAAACACAGATGATGAATTCAGTAGTTCCTCTGAACATTTCAATCATTAATAGATACTTACAATGAAAATATACTCTCCTTATTAAAAAAAGTATAGCATTAATTGTTACTTCTCTCACTTTTAAAATATATTTAAATGTTCCCCAATCACTGTTTTCCAATCAATTTTAAGGACTAAATGGTACCATTTCATATAACATACCACTGTTAGAGTGTAATGTTCATTCACAGTGATAGTTCCAATAATAAGACTGTTTTGAAGACAGCACAAATTAGGTTGGAATTTTGAAAAATTCAGACATCAAAAATAATTCAAGTGGCTTAAAAAGAGAAAGATACAGTTTTGGTCTTACACACCTGTCTTTATCTAAATGTTAGTGGCACACCAAGACACTTAGTGACCTCAGTGACCACTAAGGAGAAAAGCAAGAGATCTGAGCTCTCATCTCCATTATGCCACTTCCTGGTTTTAGGGGGAAATGCACATTTCAAAAAAAAGCCTCATGGGATGGTAATATCTGTTTTATATCTGATTTGTAATGTCTGCTAATTTCTTAGAAAGTGTCATACACTTAGAAGGTGTGATTTTTGTGAAATATACATTTGGTCTTCCTTATCTTTTCCTGGCATAAAGCTCCTAAAATCCTTGGAATCTAAGGAGTGTTTAGAGTGTATACGCTAATTATATAGCATAATTATATATTAGCATATAAAGGAGTGTATGCTAACTATATTACTAGATAGCATATATAATATAGCATGTAATTATAGATATATATATTATATTATTATATAACATAATAATATATACTATATAATTAGCATATAATCCTTTATATGTTAATGAGGTGACTGGTAGCTGAGGGCCCCTGGATAGCTTCAGGTTAGGAGTGGGTCACAGTAAAAACCAAGGCTGGATTGGAAAGTTAGGATTTTCAGCTCCACCCCATAACCAGCAGATAGGGAGGAGGGCTGAAAATGGAGTTGATCACTAACGGCCAGTGATGTAATCAATCATGCCTACAAATTAAAGCTTCTATAAAACCAAAAGGACAGGGTTCAGAGAGGTTCCAGGTTTGCAAATACATCCACATGCTGGGAGTGTGTGCACCCTAACTCCACAGGGACAGGAGCTCCAGTGCTGGGACCATTCCAGATAGCTCCCTGAGTATCTTTCCATCTGGCTGTTCATCTGCATCCTTTATTATATCTCTAACTAATAAACCAGTAAATGTAAGTAAAGTATTGCCCTGAGCTCTGTGAGCCACTGTAACAAATTAATTGAACCCCTGGGCAGGGTCTTGGGAGCCCCAATTTGTAGCCAGTGGATCAGAAGTTCTGGCAATTCAGTCTTATAACTGGCCTCTGAAGTGGGGGACAGTCTTGTGGGACTGAGCCCTTAACCTGTGGGATCTGACAGTATCTCTAGATAGCTAGTGTAAGAGTTGAGTTGAATTAGAGGACACCCAGCTGGTGTGCACTGCAGAATCTGCAGAAAAATTGCTTGCTTGCTTGCTTGCTTGGCATGTGAGGAGTAGTGTGTGGTGAGTGAGGGTAGGAAAAAACACTTTGGTTTGATTTTTGCACTCTATCTCCTATATCATGTAGGAGGGCATATATGTCTACCAATTCAAATCATTGGCCCCATAAAAATATTAGCCCTCTCATTGAGCTAGTTTTCCTACTTTCACCTTTTTAAAGTGGTTGTGCTATAGTACAGCACAGTTGACTAGTGGAGAGTTTCAGTTAAGGATCCTCCAGGCATTTCAAATACTGGAGATAAAGCTAGAAAGAGGTGAGAAGTGACAGGAATCCTTCCCACTCTCCCGCTAGGACCCAACACCTAAGCTCATCTTCACCATCCACTTATTAACGTGCATTTAACATGTGTACTTGGACTCTTCCCCACTCCACTTTCCTCTCTGACCACTTTCTTGATTGAAGAACGGGCTCCAAGGGATGGCCCTGCCATCTAGTGGTTTCCTGATACCTGGCAGCTTACTCCTAGCTTTCTAAACCTCTGCCCCATAAAAGTTGCCCAGAGAGCCTATGAAAAAACCTAAGTTCTCAGGGCCATCTCAAAACCTGTATCAGACTCTAAACTCAACTTTTTAACAAGATCTCCAAGTGACTCTGTTAGGGTTGAGGCCTGACTTTTTTTTTTTTTTAAAGCAGTACAGTGAAATACTGAATAAGAAACTACCAGGGAAGTGACTTGATATCTCACAGAACATTGCAAAAATATGCAAAGGAAGTCAATCTATTAGTTTGTTGATTTTGATAACACATTGTCATCTCCCAAAAGGTTGGAAGTCCTTCATCTTTCTAAGTTAGATATGGCTCCAGGAAGACTGATCCAGCAGCATGGGCATTGGATGAATGTCAATGGGGGAGGCCAGGGAAAATGAGAATTCCATCAGAGGGAAGGAGCAGAAGAGGGGGATTAAACTCGGTTATTATCGGTTACTGGCAGTCGCCACTTGTGCTGCTTTTTGAAATGGTTCAGCTCTAATCATATTGAACTCAGTCACCTGTCAAGGTGTAAGAATCATCAGTTAGAAAAAGTGGTATGAAATTTGAACTAACGAAATCAATTTGTGAGAACATGCAAAACTCTAGGGTCTTGGCAATCTCTCTAAATTTCAAATATGAGTTTGAGGCCGCGCGTGGTGGTTCACGCCTGTAATCCCAGCACTTTGGGAGGCAGAGGCGGGCAGAATACTTGAGGTCAGGAGTTCGAGACCAGGCTGGCCAACATCGCGAAACCCCGTCCCTACTAAAAATACAAAAAATTAGCCAGGCATGGTGGCAGGCACCTCTGTAATCCCAGCTACTTGGGAGGCTGAGGCAGGAGAATCGCTTAAACCCAGGAGGCGGAGGTTGCAGTGAGCTGAGATCACACCATTGCACTCCAGCCTGGGCAACAAGAGTGAAACTCTGTCTCAAAAAAAAAAAAAACCTATAATTACTGTAAATAAAACACTGCTATCACTGGTATATGGAGGCCGGGTGCAGTGACTCTCACCTGTAATCCCAGCACTTTGGGAGGCCGAGGCATGTGAATCATGAAGTCAGGAGATCGAGACCATCCTGGCTAACACGGTGAAACCCCGTATCTACTAAAAATACAAAAAATTAGCCGGGCGTGGTAGCGGTGGCGCCTGTAGCCCCAGCTACTCGGGAGGCTGAGGCAGGAGAATGGTGTGAACCCGGGAGGCAGAGGTTGCAGTGAGCCGAGATCACGCCACTGCATTCCAGCCTGGGCAACAGAGCGAGACTCCATCTCAAAAAAAAAAAAAAAAAAAAAAAGAAGTCATAAAAATAAACATTTTATTTTGACTACCAAGAAAATAATTAGAAAGAATGAATAAGACCAACTATTTGATAGCACAACAGGGTAACTATAGTCAGTAATAACTTAATGGTATATGTTAAAATAACTTAAAGAGTGTAATTTGATTGTTTGTAACTCAATGGATAAACGCTTGAGGGGATGGATACCCCATTCTCCATGAAGTGCTTATTTCACATTGCATTTCTGTATCATAATATCTCACATATCCCATAAATATATACACCTACTATGTACCAAAACAATTTTTTCTTTCTTTTTTTTATTTTTTTGGAGGCGTAGTCTTGCTCTGTCTTCAGGCTGGAGTGCAGTGGCGCAATCTCAGCTCACTGCCACCTCCGCCTCTCAGGTTCAAGCGATTCTCCTGCCTCAGCCTCCCAAGTAGCTGAGACTACAGGCACATGCCACCATGCCCAGCTAATTTTTCTATTATTAGTAGAGACAGGTTTTCACCATGTTGGCCAGGATGGTCTCGATCTCTTGACCTCGTGATCCACTCGCCTCGGCCTCCCAAAGTGCTGGGATAACAGGCGTGAGACTCCTGGCCACAAAATTAAATATTAAAAAAACACATTTTGGCTGGGCACAGTAGCTCACACCTGTAATCCCAGCACTTTGGGAGGCCAAGGTGGGCAGATCACCTGAAGTCAGGAGTTCGAGACCAGCCTGACCAACATGGAGAAACCCCGTCTCTACTAAAAGTACAAAAAATTTTCTGGGCGTGGTGGCTCATGCCTGTAATCCCAGCTACTCGGGAGGCTGAGGTAGGAGAATAGCATGAACCGAGGAGGCAGAGGTTGTGTGAGCCAAGGGAGCGCCATTGCACTCCAGCCTGGGCAATAAGAGTGAAACTCCATCTCAAAAAAAAAAACAAAAAACACTTTTTATTTTAAATGTATTCATAGATGTATTCATAGAAATTCCAGCAAAATAATAGTCTCCTACAATATCACTCAGCACGTTGGAAAACACAGTACTGCAGAAGTTCCCTCTGGACACTTACTTTATTGTGATGCAACACCACGTTCCTTGTTTGAAATTTAGCCCCCTTCTGACAGGTGTCTGCATCTCAGGCAGCGTTTCCACAGCGCCCTTTAGTGAAGATGCCTTAATAGTGATGCATAGTCTCAATTAGCTATTGCCTTAGGCCTGAAAAAAAGAGCAGAGACCAGAAGCATCTTACAATGCAAAATATTATTAAAATAGATTCTAAACAAGTAAACCAGAGGTATTATAAAGTAGCTTTTTAAACAGCCAAGAAACTCAGTGTAGAAGAACATCTGTTATTCTGGGTGCTACCAGTTAAATATCCCTATTACTGAGGCATCTGCAGTGATGAAAAAGTCACACCTTTCAGGTTCATTTATTTGAACATAGCAATGAATACCACAAAAAACAACCCAATTCCTGACATAGAGAGTCCAAACTACCTCTTTATGCAGCTGTAATTTTAGCTTTGAATAAACTGGCCTGTTTTAAACTGGCTAATTGAATGGGATAGTATCTAGAGTAAAATTCAGCCACATCCATAGGAGAGGCTTATGCTTAAACTGAGACTGAGAATTCTAAACATGACTGAGTTCCAAAACAGTTTCCTTTTGAGAGACAAAGACATGACAGGAGACAGACTTCAATGGATGACCTGTGCACAGCACTCATTCTGTGCCAGCATTGGTTGTTACCAAATCATCTGTCCACATATAACTTGATGGATATAATAGAAACAAGTTGAAAAATGATTCAAAAGTTATTTAAGTGATAAGTAGGTGTACAGAAAACAGATCCATGATATCCCAATGTCATTACATTTATGGAGCAAAATAAAAATTCTACATGACAGAAGAAATATAATTTCTTGTCAGCAACATATAGTTTTTTAAGAGAGAGAAGAAATAAAAGAGTTGGTTAAAACTCCTTTAATGTCCATCTACTAAACTCATCTGTGTGCTTGCTTGCTTGCTTGCTTTTTTTTTTTTTTTTGAGACAGAGTCTCACTCTGTCATTCAGGCTGGAGTGCACTGGCACCATCATGACTCACTGCAGCCATCATGGCTCACAGCAGCCTTAACCTCCCAGGCTCAAGCTATCCTCCCATCTCAGCCTCCCAAGTAGCTGAGACCACAGGAACGCACCACCATGCCTGGCTAATTTTTAAAAATTTTTATAGAAATGGGGTCTCGGCCAGGCGCAGTGGCTCACGCCTATAATCCCAGCACTTTGGGAGGCCGAGGCAGGCGCATCACGAGGTCAGGAGTTCCAGACCAGCCTAACCAACATGGTGAAACCCCGTCTCTACTAAAAATACAAAAAAATTAAAAAAATTAGCAGGGGGTGGTGGTGCGTGCCTGTAATCCCAGCTACTTAGGAGGCTGAGGCAGGAGAATGGCTTGAACCCGGGAGGCGGAGGTTGCAGTGAGATGAGATTGCACCATTGCACTCCAGCCTGGGTGACAGAGCAAGACTCCACCTCAAAAAAAAAAGAACTGAGGTCTCCCTTTGTTGCCCAGGCTGGTGTCAAACTCCTGGCACCGAGGATCCACCTGCTTCTCCTTCCAAAAGCATTGGGATTACAGACATGAGCCACCATGCCCGGCCTGTGTGCTTTTCAGAATATCATAGTCAACACTGAATTGTGTGTGATACTGAGAAAGAGGTGAAGTATCATAACTGAAAATGCAAATGATGCAGAAATAACATCTGCTGCAAACTTGTATCAATGGCAGGAGAAACTTCAGTGCCATTTGTAGATGATGACACTATGGCCCTGAGCTCCCACATGGAGCCAGTGAATTTCAGTGGTCTCACTTCCATCCCATTCCTACTTTCCCTCTTTACGTTCGAAAATGTGTTTATTATACATGTATCTGTTATTCTAAAAAATTTCCTTCAAATAGAATAAGAAATCAAACTCAAAACAGCTGCAGGAGATGGAGGTGTATCTGGTGTTTCTCTCCATCTCCCTTCTCCCAGAGGAGGACCTCATGACCTGTAGCTCTCTCCAGCTTCTCCCAGGAGAAAGGAGGATATTAAAGGAGTGGTTGCAAGAGGGCTTCCCAGCACCAACATTAAACAAGGGAAATGCAGTCCCATGCCAAGGCTGTAATCATACACAGCAGGAGCAACCTGGTGAAGACCAAGCAGGCAGGGTCTGGCAAAGTAGCTAGGCCATCAGGCAGAGTGCAGATCCACCCCCAGGATACAGAAGAGACCCTGTCACAAGACCCCACATTCACATTAAGACAGCTAAGATGCAGACTTCTGCTGCCTTTGAACCAAACCAAACCAAACCAAACCCACTCCCAGCTGAGCACACCCACTATTAGAAGCATCCCCACACTCACTGTGAGCCCCACTGACCTCCAGGGATTTGGGCTGTGGGTGTCTGTGGAACCCAAGTGGAACCTCTGCTCCAGCAGCTGGGGCTTTGTTTCACTTAATCAAATCTTTAAATGTTATAGAGATGAGACAATTATTATATTTGCTTTCTCACCCTTTTCTACCCTCAGTTCCACTCACCCCACCCTGAAAACTAGTTTTTATTCAAGATAAAACTTACATTCTTTGTTTTCTATCCATACCATTTCTTCAGAATCCATTTTGGTCAAAAATAATTTAAACTCCACTGGTTGCACCAGACACATTTCAATATAACTTCCCAATTTTAAAACTTTACTATCAACAAATTCAATTTTCTTTAGAAAAGGAGATTTTTAAAATTCTACTTAGACTGGGCACAGTGGCTCATACCTATAATCCAAGGGGATTTAGGAGGCCAAAACAAGTAAATTCCTTGGGCCCAGGAGTTTGACACCAGCCTGGGCAAAATAGTGAGACTCCATGTCTAAAATAAAAAATTTTTTTTTAGTTAGACAAGCAAGATGGCACATTCCTGTGGTCCCAGCTACTCAGGAGGCTGAGATTAGAAGGATCGTTTGGGAAGCTGAGGCTGTAGTAAGCCATGATCACAGTATTGCACTTCAATCTAGGTGACAGAGAAAAACTCTATCTTGAAAAAAAAAGTGTATTAATTAATAAAATACCATATCAATATACGAAATAATGACAATTTAGAAGGGTTAGTGATTGCTTGGGTGGTAACTGAAACTGACTTTGGAAATCTCACTCTCAAGTCACACACGTGCTTTTCTTTTGCTTTCAGTTCCTCCTTACTCCACCCTGGTTTTCTACCTCATTGAGGCTTCCAGTCCCTAAACTCTATTTTTCTAAAGACTTATTTTTCAACTCTCTCTCAGTTTCAGTCTTTCATGTTATCAAACTGCAACACACACTTATCACCCACTGACCATGGTTTCATTGGAGCTTTCCAACCTCCTCATCATTTTTGCTAACTTGAATCATTCTCCAACCTGGAACTGGAGAACATTTACAGAAATAAGCTAATAGTTTAGTTGTCTCCCCTCACTGAATACCACCTTCCCCCCAGAAAGCCCTCTTATCACTATATTATGGACAGAGAACCTCAGAGGAGCTACTCCATTTGCCCAAGTCCTCCTCTAGGAAGGGGTAGAACTGGAATTTGAACCCCACTACATGCACTGGCCCTTGCCTCCCACCTCCTCGGCTCCTGTCCAGGTTTGACAGCAAGTCTGGAGGAAATACAGGAACAAAGCACTTAACTGCACTGGGCATTGCCATCGCCACCTGATTGCCTTAACCTGGCTCCTCTCTCTTTCCATTCCTAGTCCTAGAAACTTTTAAAGGATCCTCTGAGTGTCTGACAATCACCAGGGCCCATAGAGCTCAGAAAATGCCCTCCCATGACTCCACTTCTGCAAATCCTCCAAAGCTGCTTCTTTGGAATAAGCTACAAGGTTAACAAACTATTGTTTTTTCAGAAATAGGATTATAAAATGTGAGAACACAATGCACTATTTTGAAACATTGAAAATACCATATCTGGCCCGGCACGGTGGCTCACTCTTGTAATCCCAGCACTTTGGGAGGCTGAGGCAGGTGGATCACTTGAGGTCAGGAGTTCGAGAACAGCCTGGCCAATATGGTGAAACCCCGTCTCTACTAAAAATACAAAAATTAGCCGGGCGTGGTGGCACGCACTTGTAGTCCCAACTACTCGGGAGGCTGAGACAGGAGAATTGCTTGAACCCAGGAGGCAGAGGTTGCAGTGAGTGAAGATCATGCCATTGCACTCCAGCCTGGGCATTACAGCAAAATGCTGTCAAAAAAAAAAAAAGGAGAGAGAGAGAAAAGAGAAAGAAAGAGAGAGAGAAAGAAAGAAAGAGAAAGAGAAAGAAAGAAAGAAAGAAAGAAAGAAAGAAAGAAAGAAAGAAAGAAAGAAAGAAAAGAGAAAGAAAGAAAGAGAAAGAAAGAAAGAAAATACCATATCTAAGGGATATACATCTCTGCTGCTAATTCAAGTTGGTTTATAGAATATGTGTTTCTGGGCCAGGCGTGGTGGCTTACGTCTGTAATCCCAACATTTTGGGAGGCTAAAGCTCGCAGATCACTTGAGGTCAGGAGGTCGAGACCAGCCTGGCCAACACAGTGAAACCCCATCTCTACTAAACATACAAAAATAAGCCAGGCATGGTGGTACACACCTGTAATCCCAGCTACTTGGGATGCTGAGGCAGGAGAATCACTTGAACCCAGGAGGCAGAGGTTGCAGTAAGCCAAGATCGTGCCACTGCACTCCAGCCTAGGCCACAGAGCAACACTCTGTCTCAAAAAAAAAAAAAAGAAAAGAAAAGAAAAGAAAAGAAAAAGAATATGTATTTCTAGGGTAATTACAGTTTCTGGTTCACTCATCACTCTGTATTTATTTCCATTCTACAATAAATTCTGGCAAACAAGAGGCTTCTCCATTGTCATTAATTTCTCAGGGGATATCTTAGAAATATCCTACAAGTAGAAACAGACTTTGGTTTTGAAATTTGTCAGGAATAACTGTCAGAACTGTAAGAGTCCAAGCAGTGCATGTGGCACCTTACAATTATCTTCATATTCTTCTAGAAAACCACAGCAATTAAATAACTTTCACAGAGTCCAAAGAGACATGCCACAGAGGTCAAGGCACCTGTCATCTGACTTCAGGCTCCTGGATCTCCAAACCTCTTCCTGCGCAAACTCCACAGCCAAAAGAACACAGGTACCCCACGTGGCACAAGCAGCCTTCTTCTAAAAGATTTCAGAAAATTAAATAAGCACTAGCATCATACCTGTAGGCTAACTACATGCCCTTCATGCAAATACAATCTAACTTTATTTTTTTGAGGCAGCATCTCCATCTGTCACCTTGGCTGGAGTGATGTGGCTCACTGCAGCCTCAGCTTCCTGGGCTCAAGCTATCCTCTCTCTTCAGCTTACCAAATCGTTGGGACTACAGGTGCACACCACCACATCCAGCTAATTTTTAATTTTTTATAGAGACAGGGTCTTGCTAATTGCCCAGGCTGGTCTTGAACTTCTGGACTCAAGCAATCCTCCCATCTTGGCCTCCCAAATTTCTCGGATTACAGGCATAAACCACTCACTCAAACCACAATCTAATTTTTTGCTCTACAGGCTTCCATTCTACTCAGTTACTTTCTACTTAGCACTTTAGATGTTTTTATCCTCATTTTTACAACTATCCCTTGATATTTTCTATGTATGTTTCAAAGGCCACAAAGAGGTTAATGTAACCATTCTCCCAGGCTCCCCTGATAAAGCTGAACTTTAAATTTAGGTTTTCTGAAGGCCAAGTCCAAGGAAATCTTCTACATAGGAAAAAAACAATCAACCCAAGAAGAAAGGTGTAAAACATCAGCCAGGAAGGACGTCCAGCCTTTCCCATGCCATTGTCCCTGTTGTTCTTGGGGGAACCTCCCTCCGCATTAGCAGAATATGATCAGCTATTCTAGCTTCCCAGGAAGTGTGCATGAGGCCTTTCTAATTAACTTAATGTACTTGTTAAAAACATAAACCCATTAAATGGTACTACTTATTCTGAATTTGTGTTAATTACTTAAACTATAGTTCATTAATAAAGACAGTTTATTATAGACCTAATCCTTATTTTTCAACTGCTGTCAATCCCACATTTCAAATCAGAAAGTGGGATTTGTAGTCACCATTGCATCTGTCTACTTTGCTACTTTCAGTTCACCATCCACGTCTACCCTCATTTTAACTGGACTTACAATAGGTAAAGATGAGAAAGGAGATTCAATGCTGAATTACACAAAAGTTTAGAAAAATGGTTTAAACATTGCAGCTTTGTTCTATATTCTAGGAATCTCGTTCCATTATGAATATCCAAACCACCTCCCCTCAGGCCATAATGCCTTGCACCTAACAGGTGCTTAAATATGTATATTTGTGCAACAAAACCCAAAATGAACCCAATTTTTGTTTTTTCTTTTTCTTTTTCTTTTTTTTTTTTTTTTTTTTTTTTTTTTGAGACAGAGTCTCACTCTGTCACCCAGGCTGGAATACAGTGGCAAGATCTCAGCTCACTGCAGCCTCCTCCTCCCTGGTTCAAACAATTCTTATGCCTCAGCTGGGACTACAGGCGCACACCACCACTCCTGACTAATTTTTGTATTTTTGGTAGAGAAAACGCTTCACCATTTTGGCCAGGCTGGTCTTGAACTCCTGACCTCAGGTGATCTGCCCGCCTCGGCCTCCCAAAGTGCTGGGATTACAGGCGTGAGCCACTGCGCCTGACTCCAATTTTCTAAATCTGAAAAATTGCTCTGAAATTAGTTAACCTGGGAGGCCTATCTTATTTGAGGAGCTCTCAACCAAGGAGAAACCTCAAGTCACTCTACACTTGATCCTGAGATCTCATATGGCTCCCTAGTGTATTCTAGAACAGTTGCTTCTCAAATTCTGATGTGAACAAGAGTTGCCTTGGAATCCTGCCTACTGCAGATTACAGTGCTGCAGGTCTGGAGTGGGGCTGAGACTTCGCGTCTTAACAAGCTGCTCTCAGTTGATGCTGATCCTCATGGTACCTTGGTTCCCAGACCCCATTTTAAGCAGCAAGGCTGCAGAAAATAGATGCCCTAGGTTAAATATGGGGGAGTCCTCTCCATGGCCAGGCCTGGTACCAGCGCCCACACCAATTCTGGATAGCTCTTTCCCATCTGTTATCTTCTTTTCACACGTGGAAAAAACCTTGCGCCATGGATCTGAGGATGCAGCACACAATCCTCTGTAGGGAAGCTCCAAATTAGACCCCTAGTGGAGGAAAATTTAGATCAACAGGGACAGGACCCACCTCAGTGTGGAGTTAGGTTTAACCACAAAGTCTTAGACATTTATTATTCATTTCACTTTACTTTGAGGAAGGACTCGTTATTGGTTGCTCTGTACATGTTAAAAGTCAAGGATGGGGCCAGGTATGGTGGCTCACGCCTGTAATCCCAGCACTTTGGGAAGCCAAGGCAGGTAGATCACAAAGTCAGGAGTTCGAGACCAGCCTGGCCAACATGGTGAAACCCTGTCACTACTAAAAATACAAAAATTAGCCAGGCATGGTGGCAGGTGCCTGTAATCCCAGCTACTTGGGAGGCTGAGGGAGGAGAATCGCTTGAACACGGGAGGCAGAGGTTGCAGTGAGCTGAGATCGCGCCATTGCACTCCAGCCTGGGCAACAGAGCAAGACTCTGCCTCAAGAAAAAAACCTCAAGGATGGGTAACGATCAATGACTTTGCACAGAATCAAGGGCCCATAATGGCACACTGTTTCTTTGTTTAAAATATCAGGACCCAGAGGAGAAAGAGAGCTCATGTACCATTTGGCATGGGATACACAGTGATCCATAGTACCTTCTAATGTGGATGCAGAACTTTTAACATATAAGACTTTGACATGATGTTGGAATCATGGTCTGTTAAAATATGAAGCTAAATTGGTGTTCCAGGCATTGTATGGGTTGCATACATATTGGCATGCACACACATACACACAATGCACACACTATTAAACTTCTGGCAAGCAATGACTTTTGACCCAAGCAGAGAGAATTTGGAAACTGAAAGGAGGCAAGAGAGGGTGAGTCACAGTTAACATCAATCAAAGGTCCAGTGTCAAGCCAGGCTCAACAGCAAAGTCTACATATTTGGCTCCAGGACAAAACATGATACTTGATCTCAACTTCTTTTCTGTTGACCTCAAATAAAGTTTTCAGTTTCCGAACATTGGAATACTCCCTCTGAGTCTACCAGTCTATGTTGGACAGACAAGAACACCTGTTTAGTTCTAATTTTTTCTTTCTTTCTTTCTTTCTTTTTTTTTTTTTTTTGAGACGAAGTTTCACTCTTGTTGCCCAGGCTGGAGTGCAATGGCGATCTTGGCTCACTGCAACCTCCACCTTCCAGGTACAAACAATTCTCCTGACTCAGCCTCCCGAGTAGCTGGGACTACAGGCACACGCCACCACCATGCCCGCCTAATTTTTGTATTTTTAGTAGAGATGGGGTTTCGCCATGTTGACCAGTCTGGTCTCAAACTCCTGACCTCAGATGATCCACCCACCTCGGCCTCCCAAAGTGCTGGGATTACAGGCGTGAGTCACCACGCCCAGCCTAGTTCTAATTTTTACATAGAAGAAGACTTCTTAAAATAATTACGGGTTTTTATTTCATTCAAAAGCACTAAGAGGCCAGGAGCGGTGGCTCACGCCTATAATTCCAGAACTTTTGGAGGCTGAGGCGGGCGGGTCACTTGAGGCCAGGAGTTTGAGACCAGCCCAGCCAACATGGCAAAACCCCGTCTCTACTAAAAATACAAAAATTAGCCAGGCGTGGTGGTGCACACCTGTAATCCCAGTTACTTAGGAGGCTAAGGCAGGAGGATCTCTTGAACCCAGGAGGCGGAGGTTGCAGTGAGCCAAGATCATGCCACTGCACTCCAGCCTGGGTGAGAGAGAGAGAGAGAGAGAGAGAGAGAAAGAGAAAGGAAGGAAGGAAGGAAGGAAGGAAGGAAGGAAGGAAGGAAGGAAGGAAGGAACTAAGAGAACTCAATAGCACTCTGTCAGAGCATCATTATCCAAGGAAACAATCAAAGTGACTACATAAGATATGTGAACGTGACTTACGCACCTTTGTTTTTCTCCTACTAGAGTTAGTTTTATGTAAAAACTTAAATGATCAAAGATATTAGGTATCCTGCATTCACAATTACTTACAAAAACTGTGCCTGGGAAAGGAGCCCAGTGATCACTTGTTCACTGTGTGTGTCTGGGAAAAAGTACATAGATAATATATAAGTACTATATAAATAATTTTTTTTTTTTTTTTTGAGATGGAATATCGCTCTGTCACCCAGGCTGGAGTGCAGTGGCGCGATCTTGGCTCACTGCAAGTTCTGCCTCCCTGGTTCATGCCATTCTCCTGCCTCAGCCTCCTGAGTAGCTGGGACTACAAGTGCCTGCCACCACGCCCAGCTAATTTTTTGTATTTTTAGTAGAGACGGGGTTTCACCGTGTTAGCCAGGATGGTCTCCATCTCCTGACCTCATGATCCACCCACCTTGGCCTCCCAAAGTGCTGGGATTACAAGTGTGAGCCACCACACCCAGCCAATAAATGCTTTCTTAAAGCAATTTACAGAATTCTATTTTATAGTAAAAATGAATTTTCAGCAGTACAGTGTTCACAGTGAGATTGGATTTTATTAAATTATATATGATAGAAAAAATGTTACTTATATGTATAAAGTAAAATAAACGTGATTGGCATTTTTAAACAAAATTTTTAAAATAAAGGTATACAATATGCCCAGATTACATAATTCAAAAAGTGCATGCCACTCAACAATGCTGGCACTTAAAAGACTATTTTGGAAAATGTAAGGTTATACCTGTGTGACAACGATCTGTGGGCATGGCTTTATCCTCCGACTCTTCAGCTGTGAAAGATGTTGTCACTTGTGTATTGGCACAAATCCATCCTGGGTTAGTCGTTGACTACTCCAACACCCACTTCAGGCTTTATAGCCAAGGGCAACTTTAAATAAACATTTAAACATCCTAAGTGGTCAATTCAATGACACCCCTCACAGGTCCAATGTATGACAATGCTGTTGAATGTGCCTCTTCATTTCAGCACACTGCCTTCAGGCAGGTAAGTGTTTTATTAGATCTTTTTCCAGAACTGCAACCACTCCTGCTCTCTCATCACCCTTTAACACAATCCTCACGTCCTCCTCTCGCCGCAAGCACATGGGAGAATGGGAGGAATTACAGAAAACAGGAAGGCAAGCTCACTGCCTCACAAAAGATTCCTTGGTGGAAGACTTTCCCAGTTCCCTTCCGCAGAAACAATGAAGGTCTGAGGACATGGGGTTATCATCAATCTCTTCATTACAGTCACTCATCTCAGAGACCAGCATTGCAACTGGAGGGCAGCTGCTCCCATTCGAGAGTCACCTGGGGCGACCAGGACCCCAGAACTCTGCTAGAGTCTCACAGTGCTCACAATGGCACTTAGCCTTGGCTGCCATCAGCCTTCCAGGCTCCTTATGCAGTTCAGAAACATGTGTTTGGAAGTAAGAAAGGCACTAGGGCCAGGCGTGGTGGCTCACACTTGTAATCCCAACACTTTGGGAGGCTGAGGCAGGTGGATCACGAGGTCAGGAGTTCAAGACCAGCCTGGCCAATGTGGTGAAACCCTGTCTGTACTAAAAATGCAAAAATTAGCCGGGTGTGGTGCCGGGCACTTGTAGTCCCAGCTACTCAAGAGACTGAGGCAGGAGAATCACCTGAACCCAGGAGGCAGAGGTTGCAGTAAACCAAGATCGTGCCACTGCCCTCCAGTCTGGGCAACAGGGCAAGACTTCGAAAGAAAGAAAAGAAAGAAAGAAAGAAAGAAAGAAAGAAAGAAAGAAAGAAAGAAAGAAAGAAAGAAAGAAAGAAAGAAAGAAAGAAAGAAAGAAAGAAAGAAAGAAAGAAAGAAAGAAAGAAAGAAAGAAAGAAAGAAAGAAGGAAAGAAGGAAGGAAGGAAGGAAGGAAGGAAGGAAGGAAGGAAGGAAGGAAAGCAAGCAAGCAAGCGAGAGAGAGAGAAAGAAAGAAACAAACAAAGAAACAAAGAAGAAAGAAAGAAAGAGAAGAAAGTGAGAAAGAGAAGAAAGAGAGAAAGGAAGGAAGGATGGAAGGAAGGAAGGAGAGAGAGAGAGAAAGAAAGAAGAAGGAAAGAAAGAAAGAAAGAAAGGAAAGAAGGAGGGAAGGCAGGCAGGCAGGCACTGACACCTGGTTTCAGGTGACTTTAAAAGGGACCTATTCTGAGAGACTCCGTTTCACAGGAGCTTCTTTCAGTGTGGCCAGGGCCCTCTAGGATCTCATTGCCCTTTCCTCCGTCTCCTCCCAGCCTCCCTGCACTTGCTGTCCTCCAGCCATTCCTTGCCATTTCTTTTCAAAGGCACGCTCCTGCCTCAGGGCCTTTGCACTTACTGTCTTCCCCCACAAATAGCCCTGTTGCTCACTCCCCTCATATCCTCTGGTCTCTGCTCAGATGCTGCCCTATCAGAGAGAATCTCCTGACACAACCACTCTCCCCTTTCCTTTTCTTTCAGGGAATGGGCCACTCCTGGCACCCTGCACATTTTAGCATTTGTTTCCTGTCTCTCCCCACTAGAATGCAAGCTGCAGAGGAATTGTATCCGTAGCACCTGGTAAGTGCTCAATGACCACTTTTTCAAGGACCACATTTCCATAATATTAAAATGTATTATGAGAGGGAAGAGCAGTGAATTTTCCTGTTATCTGCACTGGCCACGTGTTGCCTGAGCATGTGCCTTTATGTGTGTAATTGAGTCTCTCTGTGCCTCACTTTCCTTATCTGTTAAATGGGAGTTACAATATTATCACCTCCACAAAGTTATGGAAATTAAATCACAGGTGGGGATTGTGCCTGGCAGGCAGCAAGCACTCGGTAAGTGTTAGCTATCTGATATTAACTATTATTTTGCTATGGATATGGGTGTGGACCATGTAAAAATGCAAGGCTTCAAAAGTAGACAACAACCTGCTTCAAAAGTAGACAACAACCTACTTCAAAAGTAGGTATAAACACTTGGGGTTCATACCTAATGTGCCACGAGATGGGCTTTGGACCTTCCAGATCTGAGCCACCTTTGGGAGGGTCGCGTGAAGGGAAGCTAGGCACTCCTGCTCAGCATGATTGGCAAGGTCCTTATGCCAGCACTAGTGCCCAGAAAGTGCAGGCAGTTCCAGCTGTTGCCACAACTGCTGCCTAGACAATTGGCCTATCAGGGCAGTGTTGGGGGACCAGGGATTGCAAGAGAACCAGCTTTTAAAAACAGCATTGAAGATAAAATGGCAAATAAAGACTAAAAGTTTTCAGAATCCTTGTCTCAGAAGGTTCTAGGCTGATCTGAAGGTTCTGAAACACAGACATGAGTCTTGTCTTGCTTGAACTTATCCTGTTTTTCACTTTCCTTGACAACTAGAAGTTATTTTATTTACCATATAAATACTTTTCCAATGCTGTCTAAAACCATGCTTGTAATTAATATATCTGGAAACAACAATTAATAAATGATGTGTGTATTACTTTAAAATAAAAATAAAGGTTTCTATGTAATTTCCGTAATTAAGGAGATTAATATCTTACTTAACAGACTTACATCCAGAACTGCTCTCAGAACTGTTGTCCTGTCTTAAATGAAAACAAAGGTCAGGAAATGCACACACTGAATAAAGAGTAGAAATGATTTATTTTAAAAATCATACATTTTGTAAAACAGATCCAAACTCAATTAATTTCTTTTCTAAATTCTCCCTGAGTCCACAACCAGTCTGTTTCACATCAAAGGAGCCTGTTCGTCTTTGAAAATGGATAAAAGAGAATTTAATTGTTTGAATTTGAGCTCAAATCACAAGTCTGGCTTTAATACTAATTTCATTTGGTGTCACCCAAGTCCTACCCAGCCTTGACTCGGCCCTGCTCCTCCAGTCTTACCCCTCTACCCACACATCTAGAAGGCTGACATGCACGACTTCAATGATACAACCTTGCAGAAAGCTGGAGTGGGAATGCCATTTCTCCATTGGCCTTCTCGTTCTTCTCTGTCATCCCACCTCCAGCTGCTAACGCCCCAGGCCCCACTGCCCACTCCCAGCCTCCTTTCCACGTTGAGAGCCCAGGGAGGGCATCTAACCTACTCCCCAATCTGCAAATCTAATCTCCACCCCCAGAAGCACCCGACGTCTCTCCTACTCGACCTCACAGGTGCGCCCCATGCACAGTCCTGCCCAGCACAAGCACATGGCCTCACTCCCACGTCTCCTTATTTCCCTGACACAGCCTCACCCTCCACTCAGGCTCAGGATTAAATGAGGAAATATAGGGAAAGATATGAACACTATTCTCAAATCTTTCCCTCCCTCCATATAACTATAGACAACCAGAACCAAGGATCGGCAGTTGTTACATGGAGGAAGGAAAAAGATTTGAACTAATGAAAAGAACAATAATAATAGCAGCTAATAGCGGCATATTTTTTTTCTTTTTTGAGACAAGATCTCACTATGTTGCCCAGGCTGAACTCAAAGAACTCCTGGGCTCAAGAGATCCTCCTGACTTAGCCTCAGAAGTAGCTGGAACTGCAGGTGGGCACCACCGCACATGGCTAATAGCAGATTTTTGTGAGTGCCCACTATGTGGTAGGCACTGTCTATATATTCTCATATACACATATGACTAATATGCATATACTTGTGTGTGTCTACATAAGCACAAACACTTCGCATATATCTCAATAATGGGGGTGGGGCTCAGCTAACCAGTTGAAGGCTTTAAGAGCAAAAATTGAGGTTTTAGAGGGAAGGAATTCTGCCGCGACTTTAGCATCAATTCTTGCACATTTCCTGCCTGTCCTGCACATTTCAGACTTGCCAGTCCCCACAATCACACAGGCCAATTCCTTGAAATGAATCTTTTCTATATCTTACATACAAATGCATATGTTTCTCTAGAGAACCCTGATACATACAGGGGAAATCTGAAAATGGATTATCTGCGGCAGCAGGAGGAAGAAAAAGAGAGGCACAAGTGGCCCTGTGATGGTTAATATTATGTGTCGGCTTGACTGGCCTGCAGCACCTGAACCCTGCCAGGCACCAGGAGGCTTCAGGGAGAACACGAGCTTGCTCAGATAATGAGGTCAAGTCCTCTAAGCCCCTCTGCCCTGCACCAGGTAAAAGATCAGAACAGGACAGTGGGAAGGGCCCGGAGAAGCATCTGCACCTGACTCCCCAGGGGCAAGGTGGGCTGGAGGTAGGTGACAAGGTTTGGCTCCCAAACGGGCACTGGCCAAAAACAAATGGACCAGCAGGGCCAAGTGACATGGCAGAAGACCAGGTGGGTGACTCGGTCACCACTTTCAAACATCCCCAAAGTTATAGTAAGCATCAAGAGACCACTTACTAGAGTCTCACTGTTAAGAGTAAAAAGAGATTGTGTATGCAAACAATTAGAAAAATCAGAAATAACTAATGTTTAAACAAAACCTAACACCGTAATACTTCAAGACCTTTGGGCTCATAGTCTGCCTGACTCATAGGAAGTGGACAGGATGGCTCAGAGCACTGTCAAGGACCTCACTTGACCTCCTGCAAGTCAGTTCTTCTCAGGACAAAGTGGACTTTTCCACAAGTTTGCCTTTAGCAATATTATAATAAACTGCACTTCAACTGTCTTGAACAAACTCACAGCTCCACACCAATGCAGTCTTAAAAATGAGACTGGCCAGTGGCTCACACCTGTCATCTCAGCACTTTGCGAGGCCGAGGTGGGTGGATCACCTGAGGTTGGGAGTTCGAGACCAGCCTGACCAAAATGGAGAAACCCCATCTCTACTAAAAATACAAAATTAGCTGGGCATGGTGGTGCATGCCTGTAATCCCAGCTACTCAGGAGGCTGAGGCAGGAGAATCGCTTGAGCCCCAGAAGCGGAGGTTGCGGTGAGCCAAGATCAAGCCATTGCACTCCAGCCTGGGCAACAAGAGTAAAACTCTGTCTCAAAAAAAAAAAAGAGACAGGCATCCCACATCAATGCTTCCAAGGTGTGTACCCTTTTGATCTGGCAATTCTGCCTAGAAGGTCATCTGAGGAAGTGGCCAGGAGAGCACAAACACACACATTTACAGATGCTCATCACAGTGTCACTTTGAGGACTTAAACAGAAACTCTGTGAGTTATAAGATCATTGAAGAGCTGTGACTTTAACCTCTCCACCTTACTTCCTCCCTAGATTCCTCTAGGAACAGAAAAATACAGATTCCTCAAGAACTATTAGAATACATACATAAAACTTACTGACACGGAAGATGCCCACTTCATATGCGGTGTGCGTCATGGCCCCATTGTAGAGCCTTCTTTCATTTTAAACAGCATTACTGGCCGGGCACGGTGGCTCATGCCTGTAATCCCAGAACTTTGGGAGGCCAAGGCAGGTAAATCACCTGAGGTCAGGAGTTCAAGACCAGCCTGACCAACATGGTGAAACCCTGTCTCTACTAAAAATATAAAAAGTTGGCGGGGCGCGGCGGCTCACACCTGTAATCCCAGCACATTGGGAGGCCGAGGCAGCGGATCACGAGGTCAGGAGATTGAGACCATCCTGGCTAACATGGTGAAACCCCGTATTTACTAAAATACAAAAAATTAGCGGGTGTGGTGGTGGGCGCCTGTAGTCCCAGCTACTCGGGAGGCTGAGGCAGGAGAATGGCATGAATCCGGGAAGCAGAGCCTGCAGTGAGCCAAGATCCCGCCACTGCACTCCAGCCTGGGGGACAGAGCAAGACTCTGTCTCAAAAAAAACAAAACAACAACAACAAAAAAGTTAGCCGGGCGTTGTGGTGCATGCCTGTAATCCCAGCTACTCGGGAGGCTGAGGCAGGAGAATTGCTTGAATCTGGGAGGCAGAGGTTGCAGAAAGCGGAGATCGCAACATTGGACTCCAGCCTGGTCAAGAAGAGCAAAACTCCATCTCAAATAATAATAATAATAATAATAAAATAATAAATAAACAGCATTACTGTGGCTGGCCACACAGGAGCCTCCTAGAAGAGTCTACAGCATTGTGAGGTGTTCATTATCTTTGGGCAGAAGGAATACATGTGATCTTTATTTTCTTCTTTCTTCTTACATTACTCTACATTTTCTGAACTTTTGCAAATCATATAAATAACTTAGAAATCACAATAAACAAAGCTATTGTTGTGCATCTGCAGGTGTCTCCTAAATGTTATAAGCCCTAAGATTACCCATAAGGGTAATTGAGAGTACTGAGAGGCTTCAATATCATCAAATTCATAATTACATCAAACAATATATTTATGAATAGACGTATTTCCAAAACAGGCCCCCTCACCTTTTCTAGAGCTAAGATTTTGATCCATAAAGACTTACTTCTCCATTGCCTTCAATTAGACCAACCTGCAGAAAATAATAATAATAATAAGTACAATATCTAGAAGAACTGCAAGGCAAATGTTAGCAAAATCATCCTTGTCAAATGTTTCTATAAAATATCAGAAGCAGATACATGACTGACATGCAAACTCCACCAACAACCAGAAGAACGCCTAAGTCTTTGGAGCAATGCTGAAACTGTGGTTACTTCCAGTTACCAAAATGCCACACTCTCCTAGAAAATGGTTATGACTTGGAGAATCCATTAAAAATCAAGAAAGTTTTCATAACAGAGGAACATTTTCAAAAAAATAGAATGTTAAATGAAAAGTAGCATATGTTTATAATACAGAATATGAACACATAGTCAAGCATCCTAAGAAGGAATCTTACAGGAATTGTCAGCCTTATCTGGCTTCTCCAGAAATGCAAGACCTTCCATTCTGTCCCTATTCTAAGGGAAATGTCAGTTCCCAGGGGCAGGGCTCTTCCACGGATCCACAACCTAAGAGGAAGCCTCAGAGGCACAGGCTCTGGGAGTACCAGGTGGCAGCTTCAACCCAGAAGCGCACTCGAGTGCAGTGCACTTGAACTCTCCAGGTCAACTGTGGAAGGCCCCTTAGCTCAGGCAGTGGGATGGGTGATAGGAATGGGTTTATTGACTTCATAGAGTATAAAATAAACAATTCAAATACACCCAAATGCACTCTTTCATAAAAGAAACGGAAGTAACAAATTCTGACCCCATGATGAGACCCCAGATAAACGTTAGGGGTCACCAGGGGTGAAGGGAACTGGCAACAAGTCAGGTGGCCAAGACTCAAAGCCTGCCAAGACCACTGGGCACTTTTTTGGACTTCCTGAAAACTCCACATGCCTATAAAATACGAGAAAAACAAGAGCTTCCCATGAGCTCTTGACTATCCCAGGATCACACCCAGTTTGGGCTAGAAAGACCCCCATGAGGGATCCACCACAGCGAAACCAGTTGAACTGCCCTTTCCTGAGCCTCTCTGTGCTCCAGGCACTGCCCCATCCCTCCCACGAGACCTGACGGGAAGCGGGTTAAGGTGGTTTCATGTTGACCATGTGTCCACAGGCTTCGCAGACCAAGAGCAAGTCGGCACACCAGGACAGGCACTCGCATGGGTGCCCAGAAGTTTCAAGATCTGACCTTGGAGAGACCAGGTCCGGGAGGCTGCCGGGAAGTCTCCATCACACCGGCCTCAGCCGAGTCACAGGAACGCAGGCTCTGCCATGCCCAGAAGCCTGAGATGCAACTTCAAGGACAACGGGAGCCAGAACGCTTGACCTCACACGGAAGGTGACTCCTAACCACCACCACACTTGACGTAGCACCAGCACACGGAGATTAGGTGAGAGTGGGCTCTGGTGCAAAGATAACAGTGCTGGGGACCTGTAAGCCAGTCACTGACCAAAGGTGGATGTGGCCTGCTGGATAAGGGCAGGGGGAAAGGCTGGAGGGAAAGGCCACAAGGTTAAGAGCAGGTAGTAAGACCAGGTGACTGAGGCCTGGTGTGTGAGGCTAGAAGGACAGAGCACCCAGTTAAGGCAGGGTGGTTAAAGCAAAGTGGGCAAGGCCAGGAGAATAAGACTGGGTGAGTAGGACTAGGGGGCTGATAAGGCCAAGTAGAAACTCTAGGTAAGTAAGGCAAAGTGGTATGGCCAAAAGCTAGTGCCAGGTGAGTAAGGCCTAATTGCTAAGGCCAGGAGATCAAAACCAGGTGGATAATACCAGGTGGGTAAGCACAATGGGTAAGACCATGAGGTTAAGACCAGGTGAGTAACACCAGAAGGTTAATAGAAACAGGCTGGTAAGGCAAGGAGGTTAAGGCCAGGTAAGTAAGAACAGGTAGGTAAGACTAGGGGGTAAGACCGGGGGACAAGGTCAGGAAGCTATGGCCAGATTGGTAAAACCAGAAGGTTAAGGCCACTAGTTGGGTAAGGAACAGTGGGTACAACCAGAAGTGGAAAGCTAAATCTGAAGGCCAGATGTAAAGGTCAGGTGTGTAAAGTACGATGAAGACCAGGTAAGTAAACTAGGAGGATAATGCAAGTTGGTAAAGCCATGAGAATAAAGCCAGCAGGGAAAGCCCGATCTGTGTAGTGTGAGTCAGAGCACACACTTTAGAGCCAGAAGGTTGGGCTCAGATTTCAGTTTCACCCTTTCCTAGATGAAGACTGGAGCAAGTGGAGTAGCTTCTCAGAGGTTCTTTGTCCATCACATAGTGATAAGGCCAGGTGCAGTGGCCCATACCTGTAATCTCAGTGCTTTGGGAGGCCAAGGTGAGCAGATCATTTGAGCCCAGAAGTTTGAGACCAGCCTGCGCAACATGGCAAAACCCCATCTCTAACAACAACAACAACAAACTCATAGTGATAAGAGGGTTTGTTAGGGAAATATGTTATTCAGTGAGGAGAGGCAGTTAAACCACTAGCTTAGTTCTGTAAATGCTGAGTCATTTCCAGATTGGAGAATGATTTAAGCAAAGATGGTGAGGAGGTTAGAAAGCTCTTAGGAAACGGTTGTCAACGGTAAACTCATGTCCCAGTTTGAAACATGAAACACTGTGAAACTATGAGAGGGCAGAAAAATAAGACTTCGGAAAAATGGAGGTGAGGGTCTAGAAGCCTCAATGAAGTAGTAAAACAGGGTCTGGAAGGCGGGGCTGGTAGCAAAAGAAAAGAAGGTGTGTGATTCCAGATGCGGATTCCCAAGGTCAAAGTTTCAGTTGCCACTCAAGCAATCTAACCCTTCTAACTGTCATCATTTTGTATCTTGATATTGTATATTATCAACTAATACAACTTTTTAATTTAAAAAGTTTTCTTAAAGGAAACTGATATTAAGGATTCACTTTTAAAATTATAAAGTTTGCCAGGTACAGTGGCTCACACCTGTAATCCTAGCACTTTAGCACTTTGGGAGACAGAGGCAGCAGGATGGCTTCAGACCAAGATTCAAGAACAGCCTGGGCCCCCTAGCAAGACCTCCATCTCTACAAAAAATAAACATTAGCCTGGTGTGGTGGTGTGTACCTGTAGCCAGCTACTTGGAAGGCTGAGGCAGGATCTCTTGGGCCCAGGAGTTTAAGGCTGCAGTGAGCTATGATTGCACCACTGCACTCCAGCCTGAGCAACAGAGTAAGACCCTGTCTCAAAAAATAATACATAAAATAGTTATATTGAAGTGTATCCAGAGAAACCAGTGGGAATTTAAATTACTTTTGGTTGAAATGGATTCTGAGGAAATTATACGGACAGAAAACTGAGATAATGTAAGTTGTATCTTGAATAAAAACTCTGATTTTGGCTGGGCATGGTCACTTACACCTGTAATCTCAGAGCTTTGGGAGGCTGAGGCAGGAGGATCACTTGAGCCCAGGGGTTCAAGACCAGCCTGGGCAACATAGGGAGACCCTCATGTCTAAAAAAATTTTTAAATAAATAAACTGGTTTTGGGGTGGGGTGGGTGGAGCTGGGGACGGAGGAGTAAAAAACATAATTGTCCCATCACTATAGCATTTAAAGATTTGACTAAGCAAAACAAAAGCCCCAGCTTCTGGAGCAGAGGTGCTGGCACTGGTTCCACAGGCACCCACAGCACAAATCCCTGGAGGTCAGTGGGGTGCACAGCTAGTGTGGGAACACTTCAAATAGTCGGTGTGCTCAGCCAGGAGTGGAATTGGTTTGCTTTGGTCTGTTTTAGCAGTGCAGAAGCTTGATTGATTTGATTTCTTCATCCTTTACATTTTGGATTATATTTCACATCTTTCCCAATAAGTAACACACACAACCCAGTATTGGTTATCATATCATTCTGAAAAGCATCACAAGGGGCTAAGTAGCTGGACATCAAAGGAGTTTTAACCCACTCTTCTCTTTCTTCTGTCCTCCAGAATTTGTTTGTTTGCTTGTTTGTTTTTTGGAGATGGAGTCTCGCTCTGTCACCCAGTGCAGTGGTGCTATCTTGACTCACTGTAACCTCCGTCTCCCGGGTTCAAGCAATTCTCCTGCCTCAACCTCCTGAGTAGCTGGGACTACAGGCATGCAAAACCACTCCCGGCTAATTTTTTGTATTTTAGTAGAGACAGAGTTTCACCATGTTGCCCAGGCTGGTCTTGAAATCCTGAGTTCAGGCAATCTGCCCACCTCGGCCTCCCAAAGTGCTAGGATTACACCTGTAATCAGTGACCGCACCCAGCCCTTTTCTTTTTTTCTTTTGAGACAGAGTCTAACTCTGTCACCCAGGCTGGAGTACAGTGGCGCAATCTTAGTTCACTGCAACCTCTGCCTCCCGGGTTCAAGCGATTCTTATGCCTCAGCTTCTCAAGTAGCTGGGATTACTGGCCCGCGTCCCCAAGCCCAGCTAATTTTTGTATTTGTAGTAGAGATGCGGTTTCACCATGTTGGCCAGGCTGGGCTTGAACTCCTGGCCTCAAGTGATCCACCTGCCTCAGCCTCCTAAAGTTCTGGGATTACAGGCATGAGCCACCATGCCCGGCCTCTGTCCTCCAGAATTTTTATTTTGCTGCATAAATGTAATGATATTAGGGATCTGTTAGGTATTCCATACATCTACTTATCTGAATAACTTTTGAATCATTTCTTAACTTGTTTCTATGGTATCCATCAGGTTATATGTGGACAGATGATCTGGTAAGTACTGGTAATGATGCAGAAGAAGTGCTCTGCACCAGTCATCCATTGATGTCTGTTTTCCAAGACACAGAATTACGATCATTACGGATCATTATTTCCCATCATGTGTTTATCTTTCAAAAGGAAATGGTTTTTGATTTTCAGTTGTTTTGGAATTCAGCCTTTCCTATGGATGTGACTGATTTTTGCTCTCTATATTTTACCCTTCAATTAGCAACTTTAAAACAGGCCTGTTGGGCCGCATGTGGTGGCTCACGCCTGTAATCCCAGCACTTTGGGAGGCTGAGGCAGGCAGATCACCTGAGGTCGGGAGTTCGAGACCAGTCTGACCAACATGGAGAAACCCCGTCTCTAATAAAAATACAAAATTAGCCGGGCATGGTGGCACATGCCTGTAATCCCAGCTATTTGGGAGGCTAAGGCAGGGAAATAGCTTGAACCTGGCGGGTGGAGGTTGCAGTGAGCCAAGATGGTGCCACTGCACTCCAGCCTGGGCAACAAGAGTGAAACTCCGTCTCAAAAACAAAACAAACAAACAAAAACCAAAAAACCACAACAGGCCTGTTTAGTCAAGCTAAAATTTCTGATCCATAAAGAGTCCTAGTTGGGACATTGTGTTATTTTTATTTATTTACTTATTTTTGAGATGGAGTCTCGCTCTGTCGCCAGGCTGGAGTGCAGTGGCGTGATTTTAGCTCGCTGCAACCTCCCCCTTTGGGGTTCAAGTGATTCTCCTGCCTCATTCTCCTGAGTAGCTGGGACTACAGGCACCCGCCACCATACCCAGCTAATTGTTGTATTTTTAGTAGAGACGGGGCTTCACCATGTTGGCCAGGATGGTCTCGATCTCTTGACCTCATGATCCACCCACCTCAGCCTCCCAAAGTGCTGGGATTACAGGCGTAAGACACTGCGCCCGGCCTTAGAATCTTCTTTAATAATTATCAGCACTGTAAGATGTTTCTGGTCTCCACTCTTTTTTCAGGCCTACACCAATGGCTAATTGAGACCATGCATCACTATTAAGGCATCTTCAGCAAAAGGAACTATGGAAGTTCTGCATGAAACATAGACACCTGTTAGAAAAGGAACTAAATTTCAAACCGGGAATGTGGTGTTGAATCACAGCAAAGTGTCCAGAAGGAACTCCCAAAGTACTGTTTTCCAAAATATAGAATGATATAGAAGATTGTTTTAGGTGGAATTCCTGGAAATAAATTTTTAAATGTTTCTTTTTGACTTCCTTTTCATATGGCAAATGATACCAATGTTCCATTTATATTAGTTATGAATTTAAAGAAATATTGAGGAAATCACATTTCACCTGGCATATGAGTATGGGAAAAATCATGACAATGGAAGGCAAATGACTTAAGTTTGGGAAACATTTGGCTGAGAGGATGTGTTGGAAAGCAAGTTAAAATCCCAAACTCAGCCATGTGCAGTGGCTCATGCTTGCAATCCCAGCATTTTGGAAAGCTGAGGCAGGAGGATCGCTTGAGCCCAGGGGTTCAAGACCAGCCTGGGCAACACAGGGAGACCTCTGTCTATACAAAAATAAATAAGTATTGATTAGCCGGGCATAGTGGCACACACTTGTGGTCCCAGCCACTCGGGAACTTCAGCCCAGGAGCTCAAGGCTGCAGTGAGCCATGACCATGCCACTGCACTCCAGCCTGGGCAACAGAGTGAGAGCCTGTCTCTTAAGAGAAAAAAAGATAGATTCAAAATCTGATAACAGTAGGTTTGGGGATGGCCCCGAGGTCTTGGGCTTTTCTTTTCTCTCTCTCTTTTTTTTTTTTTTTTTTTTTTTTTTTTTGAGATGGAGTCTTGCTCTGTCGCCAGGCTGGAATGCGATGGTGCAATCTCAGCTCACTGCAACCTCTGCCTCCCAGCTTCAAGCGATTCTCCTGCCTCAGACTCCCGAGTAGCTGGGATTACAGGCACCTGCCACCACGCCCAATTTTTTTTTTTTTTTTTTGTATTTTTTAGTAGAGACGGGGTTTTGCCATGTTGGCCAGGCTCGTCTTGAACTCCTGACTTCAGGTGATCCACCCGTCTCGGTCTTCCAAAGTGCTGGGATTACAGGCCTGAGCCGCCGCGCCCAGCCAGGTCTTGGGCTTTTCATAGGCTCCCTGGGCATCTTTCAAGGTGTGGAAATTTGAAAGCCAGGAACAATCTGCCATACATCAGGAAGCCACTAGATGGCAGGAGCCATCCCTTGGAGCCCATTCTTCAGTCCAAAAAGTGGTCAGAGAGGAAACCTGTCAAGTGGGGAAGAATCCAAGCACACATGTTAAATGCACTTTAATAAATAGCTGGTGCAGATGAAAGGGCAGGAAGAGTTTATCTCATCTCTTGCCCCCCTCTAGTGTCCCCTCAAGTATTTGAAATGCTTCAAGGATCCTTAAATAAAACTGCAACCAGGGAGCTGTGCTACCCTGTAGCACGACCAGCTAAGGAAAAAACTAGCTCAATGATAGGGCTAGTATTTATATGGGGTCAATGGCTTTTACTGGCAGACATATATGGCCTTTTGTGCAATATAGGAGATAGGAAAAACCCAAACCAAAGCTTTTTTTTTTATTTTTTTTCTGCTCTCAATCAACACAGAATACTTCTGTGACCAAATGTGGGCAAGGTTTTCCCCAGACACCAAACAATCCGTTTTCCAGCAGGTTCTCCAGTGGACACTAGCTGGGTGTCCTCTAATTCAACTCAATTTTGACACTCCCTACCTAAAGACAGTGTTAGATCTCATAGGTTCAGGGGTTAGTCTCACAAAACTGTCCCCAACTTCAGATACCAGTTGCAGATCTGAGCCTCTAGAACTTCTGACCCACCAGCTACAAATTAAGGTTGCCACATGCCCCTCCCCAGGTTCAATTAATTTGTTAGAGCAGTTCACAAGAACTCAGGGAAACACATTTACCAATTTATTAACAAAGAATATAATAAGGGCTCACCTAACTAGCCTAAAAAAAAGAATATGATAAAGGATACAGATGAAGAGATCCATGGGGTGAAGTCAGCAAGGGTTCTGATCCTAGGAGCTTCTGTCCTCATGAAGTTGGGGTACACCACCCTCCCAGCATGTGGATGTGTTCACCAACCCAGGAGGTCTCCAAACCCAGTCCTTTTGAACTTTTTTTTTTTTTTTTTTACAGAGTCTTGCTCTGTCACCAGGCTGGAGTGCAGTGGCGCGATCTCGACTCACTGCAACCTCCACCTCCCGGGTTCAAGTGATTCTCCTGCCTCAGCCTCCCAAGTAGCTGGGACTACAGGCCTAGCTAATTTTTATATTTTTAGTAGAGACGGGGTTTTACCACACCACCATGCTCAGCTAATTTTTATATTTTTAGTAGAGACAGGGTTTTACCATGTTGGCCAGGATGGTCTCCATCTCTTGATCTCGTGATCCGCCCACTCAGGCCTCCCAAAGTGCTGGGATTACAGGCGTGAGCCACCACGCCTGGCCTCCTTTTGAATTTTTATGGAAGCTTCCATTTGTAGGCATGATTGATTATATCATTAGCCATTAACGATCAACTCAATTTTCAGCCCCCCTTCCCTCCTTGGAGGTTGGGGCCTGGGGCTGAATATCTTAACCCTGTAATCAGAACTTGATTTTTCCCACAAAAAGTTCCCACCCTGAGGCTATCTAGAGGCCCTCAGCCTCCAGTCACCTCATTAGCACAGAAGATTCCAAGGATTGAAGGAACCGTATGTCAGGAAAAGATGAGGAAGACCAAATACATATTTCACAATATCACACCTTCCAAGTGTATGACCCTGTACCTAAGAGATAACACATGTTAAAATCAGATACAAAACAGATAGTGCCATCCCGTGATTTTTCTGTAGAATGTGCTTTTCCTCCAAATGCCAGGAAATGGCATAACAGAGACTAAAATTCAGAGTGCTTGCTCTTCTTTTTAGTGGCTACTAACGTGGTGTCAATGTGTAGAGCTAATATTTAGATAAAGACAGGTAGGCAAGGGCACTATTTGAGACATATGAATTATTGTTGGTGTCTGATTTTGTTTTATTCCAACCTAATTAGTTCTGCCTTGTAAAATACTCTCATTACCTGAATTACCACTGTGAATATTATACTCTAACAATTTATTATTATAGAAATAGTACCCTTCAGTTTTTGAAATAGTTTAGAAAGCAGTGATACTGGGGGCACTTAAATATATTTTTAAAGTGGTTAGGCCGGGCGCTGTGGCTCATGCCAGTAATCCCAGCACTTTGGGAGGCCAAGGCAAGTGGATCACCTGACGTCAGGAGTTCAAGACCAGCCTGCCCAACATGGTCAAACGCCATCTCTACTAAAAATGCAAAAATTAGCTGGGTGTGGTGGTGCACGCCTGTAATCCCAGCTACTTGAGAGGCTGAGGCAAGAGAATCACTTGAACCTGGGAGGTGGAAGTTACAGTGAGCCATGATCATGCCACTGCACTCCAGCCTGGGTGACAGAGCGAGACTCTGTCTAAAAAAATATTAAATAAATAAATGTGGTTAATGTAACCAATCATGGTGTACTTTTTTAATTTATTATTATTATTTTTTTTTTTGAGACAGAGTCTCACTCTTGTCATCTAGGCTAGAGTGCACTGACATAATCGGCTCACTGCAACCTTCACCTCCCAGGTTTAAGCGATTCTTGTGCCTCAGCCTCCTGAGTAGCTAGGATTACAGGCACCTGCCACCACACCCAGCTAGTTTTTATATATTTTAGTAGAGATGGGGTTTCATCATGTGGCCAGGCTGATCTTGATCTCCTGACCTCAGGTGATCTGCCCATCTCAGCCTCCCAAAGTGCTGGGATTACAGGCATGAGCCATCACCCCCAGCCTACTTATTTATTTTTTGAGATAGAGTCTCGCTCTGTTAGCCAGGCTGGAGTGCAGTGGCGCGATCTTGGCTCACTGCAAACTCCGCCTCCCAGGTTCAAGTGATTCTCCTGCCTCAGCCTCCCAAGTAGCAGGGATTACAGGCATGCACCATCAGGCCTAGCTAATTTTCCTATTTTCAGTAGAGATGGAGTTTCGCCATGTTGATCAGGTTGGTCTCAAACTCCTGACCTCAGGTGATCTTTTTTAAGTATGAAGAATATATTTTCATTATACTTGTCTATAAGTGATTGAAGTGGTCAGAGGAGCTACTGAATTCCTCATTTACTTTTAGATGAAGCAAAGACTAACATCCTGCCCTCCCAGCCAAATAGATACTAAGTTGAATATTCTTTCTGGGAACCTGGAGAAAAAGTGGATAAAAATCACTACTTCCAGGCTGGGCGTAGTGGCTCACGCCTGTAATCCCAGCACTTTGGGAGGCCGAGGCGGGCAGATCATGAGGTCAGGAGATCAAGACCATCCTTGCTAACACGGTGAAACCCTGTCTCTACTAAAAATACAAAAAATTAGCTGGGCGTGGTGGCGGGTGCCTGTAGTCCCAGCTACTTGGGAGGCTGAGGCAGGAGAATGGCGTGAACCCAGGAGGCAGAGCTTGCAGTGAGCCAAGATCTTGCCACTGCACTCCAGGCTGGGCGACAGAGCAAGACTCCGTCTCAAAAAAAAAAAAAAATCACTACTGCCAATGTGGCACTGTAGATTAGCAATACTGATTATATCTGATGGAGGACAACAGATGTTATCATGTGCAAATTTAGGATGCTGAAGAAGTGACAAGAAAAGGATCAGAGCCTTGCCACAACATAGAATTTATGTAAGTGCTTGAATGATGTCATCTTTCTTGAAGTCCAAGATGTGCTGGAAGGTGAGCAGGAAATAAACTTAGTCATTTTATTTTGAATCAAGCTGTATCTTTGGGAATAACAAATGCATAGTACAGAATGTGTTGCTTGGTTATTTATAAGCTTGGGTTCAGAGAGTTAATGCAAATGCAAAAGCAAGCAAGGGGCTGCTGTCCTCTTAGTAAGGATGGTGTGTGCAGCTGAGTCAGAGGAAGGGTTGGAAGCCTAGCCCCAGTGCTGGCTAGCTTTGGGAGTGTAAGCAAAGTCTCAACCTAATTTGAAGGCTCTCTGTTCCCATCTGTGAAATGGGTACAAACCCCCCATGATCTGAGCTGTAGTGAAAGAAAGGAGGCCATGCACGTCAAGATCCAGGCAGGTGGTCAGGCTCAGTAAGGGAGAGGTCATGTCACTCTGGTACTTGAGACCGAGACCGGACTGGTAACATAAGCCTTCTGGGCCTTCCGGGGCCCTGAAGCATGGATCACGGGGACCACTGGTTGGCGCCACAGATGCTCAACCAGCAAAGAGGGGAAGGGAGAAAGCAGAGCCCAGGGAGGGCTGGAGGGGATCGTTCCTGGTGTTGATCCAGAAAACCACAGGGTTCCTTGTCTTGGTTTTCAACAACTTCTCTTTCTGTGTGTGTGTGGATGGATGTAGCACATTGTTATAACCAAGCTCAAAATAATGCAAAACTTTGATTATATATGTTGTTACCATGGTTAACAAATGTATTCTTCCATCTGAGAATCCTCAGTAGTACAGAGAGAGGTTTTGCATTTAGAATTCTATTTAGACTTTTTATTCCTTGAAGCATCAAAAGTACATAAACACCCCAAAAGGTTATATCAGAAGTCAAAGCATTATGATCTCTCTGGATGCTTTTCAGACATGGTGGGTGAGCGTTCTGAATCCCAACCCCGCCCCCAATGCCCCCCAGCCGCCACCCGGCCAGCTTTGCCTGGAGAGCTACTGAGATTTTCCACTATCTAGTCTTGGGATGCTGAAGCCTCAAGAGGTTAGGAATGAATGCAATTCTCACCCACCTGACAATGTTGGTATGCAAGCTTTGGTTGCTTTGGTTGGTATGAGACCACCTCATCCTACTGGAGAAGTTATTTTCTTGTCTTTCACCATGGAATCATTTACTTTTGTGGTGGGGGAGGAATGCTACTCAGAAAGAGATTTCAAAGAACGAAGGAAAAACTTCCTTATCTTCTTCTTCTTCTCCTTATTCTTCTTTTTTCTTTTAGTAGAGACAGGGTTTTGTCCTCCAGGTTGCAGCACAGTGGCAAGTTATGCTCACTGTACCCTGGAACTCCTGGGCTCAAGGAGTCCTCAAGCCTCCCAAGCAGCTAGGAGCACAAGTGCATGTCACTTCTTAAAGGAGACTTGCCACAGAGAATAATGGGCCACACTGGCTTTTGTTACTTGGTGAAATGATTTTGTTGGTCCATATAGATACTGCTACTCTACGGAGCAACAAAACCATTTCACCAATTAAATTAACCACCTAGCATCATGCATGTGGTGATTAACAACTTGGATATATTTTGCTTAAGCTATTTGAAGAATCCCTAAGTTATGGATAAAGGGAAGAAAAATAAACCTGCCTTTTGACACTGCTCATGTATCTTCTTTGTATCATTATTTACTTACAAGCCTTTTTTTTTTTTTTTTTGAGACAGTCTTGCTCTGTCTGAAGTACAGTGGTGTGATCTCGGCTCACTGCAACCTCTGCCTGCCGGGTTCAAGAGATTCTCCTGCCTCAACCTTCCTAGTAGCTAGGATTACAGGCGCCTGCCACCACGCCTGGCTAATTTTTGTATTTTTAGTAGAGATGGGGTTTCGCCATGTTGGCCAGGCTGGTCTCGAGCTCCTGACCTCAGGTGATCTGCCTGCCTTGGCCTCCCAAAATGTTGGGATTACAGGTGTGAACCACCGCGCCCAGCCACAAGTCGTATTTTAAAGCGTCCTATTCCTTAGTTATAATTCCCTTGACTTTTAACAACAGTTGGTTTTGACCCCAGCTCCCTGGTGCCTGGACCTCCAGATCCACCCTGGAGCCCACAGGTGGATTTACATCTAATATGTTACAATCCTGATGTAAATCCCCAGGAGGAAGCCTGGCGTTAGCCACCCTTACTCTGCACAGTGCTATCCTTGCTGTTGCTTTCATCTCTGGCAGGAGTTTCCTTTTCACAAGGGAGAAGGCTCTATGCATTTATAGCAGTGTTTTATTTTCCAGCAAGCTTAGAAATCTACAAGATGGTTCCGCTGCTTATAAATACTGCCGCAGAGAGGGGCTTGGACTAGTTCTAGAGTGCTGAATTTTTCCTTAGCCATGGAAGTCACTTGTGAAAGGAAATCTTACCTGGAACCTGCATTGGACAAGCATTCAAAAGTAGGGATGATCTGGTGGGGCCATTGATGGGAGAGGATTTTGAGGAGTTACTGAGGACCCCTGTGGGACCCCTGACCTGCTTCTGGCAGGGCAGCTTGGAAACCAGCAGATGAGGTGACTGCTTGCGTCTCTTGAAGCTGTGGTCCAGGAGTGTGTTTCTAAGACATTTGCAACCTAATGGGAAGTAAACCACTTTCCCATCAGCTGTGGTATGTTTTGTAGTAACCACATAATCCCAAACCAAAGATATTTAAATTATTTTACATCAAGAGGCTTGTGAATTTTGGATTTCCCTCATTACAAGCCATGTATAATTATTTTAAGCCAAACAAACGTGATGTTTAACTTTTTAACTTTTTTTTTTTTTTTTTTTTTTTTGTATTTTGGAATCATTTTCTTTTCAAAGACTAAGGACTTTCTTGTTTATTCCTAGATTAGAAACAGAGCCAGGGAAGAGGGGGTACTGAAAGGGCATAGCCTGTCCTGTTGGCGGGGCCGTGGGACCCGGCCGCCCTTTCTCCTCCGTGGCTCCCCAGCCAGGAGGCTGCGCTTACCTGCTCCGCACGACCTCTGCGGCTTGGGGGCTCTCAGCTCTGTCGCTGCGGGGCTCCAGGCTGGTGCTTGTGCTGAGAATGACTGCGGGAGGGGCTCGCGTGCCCAGCACTGCACCGCGAGGCGACCAACCGCTGACATGTGGGGCGATTGGGTGGACAGGAAGACTCGGCGAGCTTTTGTAGCCGCGGGTAGGGACAGCCTGGGCTCCCTGAACCAAGCGCGCGTGGGCGGCGACCCCGTCCCTGTGCACCGACCCGCCAGCGCGCAGCCTGGTGAGAGCACTTGTGCGCCTTGGGATCGCCTGGGCTGCTTCTTGGCGCTCTGCCTAGGGGGAACCTGCTTGGTGACAACAGGGCTGGAGCTTCTCTGAAGCCGAAGGGTGCTATGCTTTGAATGGGTGTCCCTCAAAACTCATGCGAAAATTCAATCCGTATTTGAGGTGTAGCCTTCAGGAGGTTAGTAGGTTTGAGGACTCAGCACTTGTGAATGTCTCAGTGTTCTTGTAAAAGAGCTTGAGGGAGGGAGTTTGGTCTCTTTTGTGCTTCTGCTCTTTGCCACCTGAGGAGGCTTCACCTTGAGCTTGGACTTCCCAGACTTCAGAGGCTGTGAGAAATAAATTCCTGGTTTTGTTGTTCTTGTTGTTTTGTTTTTTACAAATTACCCAGTCTTGGGTATTTTGTTATTACAGACAAAAAGACTGAGACAAAGGGCCAGCACCATTCTGGACAGGACAGAGAGCTCCTGTCACCCCAATTGGAGGTGGACACTCCTGCAGCTGGACTTTTCTCACTTGGGGACCACAAGGCCCACAGGCGTTCCCTGATTCACTTCTTGGGATCTGTAAATCCCCTGAAATACTATGCCAGGTTTTACATCTAAATGCAAGTGCCTGGAATGAGAGACAAAAGCTTTTATCCAATTCAACATCTGTGACACCCTCCACTGCCCACTCCCCACCTCCACCCCCACCCCCCCAACCCCCGCCAAGCTTGTAAAAATGATGGATTAAACCAATAGTACCCAAACTTGGCTGCACATTGATCACCTAGGGAGTTTTTAAAAGCTGGAAGCCCGAGTGGAAGCCCAGATCACTTAACTCAGTGGGATGGGACCCCAACCATTAGTGTTTTGAAAGATTCACAGGTGATTCCATTGCATAGGAAAGTGTGGGCACCACTGCCCTCACTGAACACTACATGCTTTTACATTTTTTCAGCTAGATTGTTTGCTTCTCTGCCTTTTTCATGAGGTGGTGGGTGTCACAGTATCTAGCCCAGCTCTGAGACACACTGCATATTTGCTGCATGAAGGAGGCAAAGGCAGATCACAGGATAGGTCATCTAACTTGCAGGCCCCTCGTTGCTGTGTCCAAAATTCTCCCTGGGCTGAAATACCACTGACTTCATGGAAATGGCTTCGTGTAATGTTTGAAGCTCAGGAGGAAAATGAGTCATTACTCCCTGATGGGACATCTGTCTTTTAGCCTCTCCAGAATGCACCTGCCTGTGTCACTGTGGCTCAGAGGTCTGGGATGGCATTTGGGTAAGCACCATTAGAGTCATAACCCCTGTGGTTCCAACACCGGTGAGTCCAGCACTGGGATGGATACCTTATATTCTGAAATAGATCTGGCCTGGCACTACCCTGGGCCATGTCCTCCTGTTGAACATGAACATAAACGATTTCCCACAACACCATTAGACAAGACTCCTCTGTGACCAGGATGGATCTAGACCAGAATAAGACCACTTCAACATCATATCTGAAAACAGACAAAGCATAAACATTGTTCAAGCCACAAAAGAAAACACACAAATATAGCAGTTGTCTTGGCTAATAGAACTGGCTGCTGCTTCATTGCCAGTTACAGCTTTTATTTTCTGACAGAGTCTCGTTCGGTCACCCAGGCTGGAGTGCAGTGGCACAATGACTTACTGCAACCTCAGCTTCCTGGGCTCAAGCAATCCTCCTACCCCAGCCTTCTGAGTAGCTGGGATCACAGCACATGCTACAACACCTAGCTAATTTTTAAAAAATTTTTTGTGGAGACAGAGTCTCGCTACATTGCCCAGGCTGGTCTCAAACTCCTGGGCTCAAGCAATTCTCCCGCCTCAGCCTGCCAAAGCACTGAGATTACAGGTATGGGCCACTACACTCAGCCCAATTACAGCTTCAGACTTGGTGTAGTCTGCTTTCCCTATGGGTAAGATTTATGAGGATACACATTCATAGAATTACCCCAGTTTCCTGACCCTATCCAACCCAGAGAAAAACTATGCTTTCTTCAACTTCTCCCAAAGCAGCAAACCAAAGCCCAAATCCTTTAATAACATTTTCTAACATCATCTCACTGAGACACCCCCAGGGTTTCCCATTGTTTGCATTTTCCCTCTTTGCAATGAGAATTAAACCCAACTTTCTTAACTATAGGTGTGTTCCTAGTGGTTTCTGGCTGGAGAGCATTGACAAATTATGTTATTTACACATCCCAATAACAGTGCAAGAAAAATATTACACCCCCTTCCCACATGAGCTAACTGAGGTTCTTTTAGATTACATAGCTCACACAGGGCTGCTGGGCTTTAAGTGAAGAGCTAGGGTTCATTTTCACATAGTTTTGTTGGAAGACAAGCTAGCATGTTGCTTACTTACATGAACTTTAGCTGCTAAGTGGAGTTCCAACCCAGCACTGCCCTTTTCTGGTTGTAGGAACTTGAGGAAGTCCTGTAACATTTCTCAACTTCCTTACCTAAAAAAAAAAGTGCTACCAAAATGCCAGGAGTTTGATCTAGGTACAATTGCTCACCGCACAGGAAGCCAATCACTGAGACAATGATTATTGCCAGGGAAGAAGGCTTAATCACATGCTGCAGCTGTGATCTGGCCAACTGAAATCAGGGGTTTATATAACAGGGAAGAAATGTAACTACATATAGGAAAATAGGAATTAGGGAGGGGTAAGGAAGAGGAGTTGGTCAAGAAGAAGCAGGTGATCAGTTAGGCAATCATGACAGGTGAGGGGTCTGGCTTCTTATTGTCCAGATGTGATGATCTGGTAAGTGTCAGTTCCTTGATACTGTTACCGCACTGGAGGGTCTTGACTGTGAGTCATCCAGGTTCTTGGCATTTTGAACGAAGAATTGAACGGATCACACATACAAAGCGACAAAAGAATGAAGCAACAAAAACACAGATTTATTGAAATGAAAGTACACTCCACAGAGTGGGAGCAGATTTGAGCAAGTGTCTCAAGAGGACCAGTTACAGAATTTTCTGGGGTTAAATACCCTCTAGAGGTTTCCCACTGGTTACTTGGTTACACCCTATGTAAATGAAGACTTGGCCCACAACCAGTCTAATTGGTAGAGGGAGGCAACCAATCAGAGGTACTTTCAATTTTTCATCTGCAATGCAGTGGAATGGGAGTGGGGAGGGGCGGAGTGTAAAGGGAGTAGCCTCTGATCTTTTTGTTACTTGGACATGGAGAGGTGGGGTTTTCCTTTTGATTCAGTTCTAGGAAGTCAGCCTGAATCGGCCTTACATCCCCTGTTTCCAGACCCTGTTCTCCTGCCTCATTACTATCTGGGAGGGCTGACAGTTGGAAACCCGAGAAAGGAACTCAGATAAGACAAATGTAACTTTCTAAAGTTTTAAGAGTGGGAGGATCAATTTCTATGTTTATTCAGAAGAAACCATAAACATCAGTTCTCTAGGACAAGTGAGCTGATTTCAAAAGGAAAGGGGATAACATTCCAATCTCAAGAATCTTAGTGTGGAAATAATAAAAACCCACAAAGCCTGTTGATCACAGAGCTATGCTCAGGCATCTGCCCCCTGTAGAAATGTAAAATGTGAGGTGGGAAAGGTAAGCAGTGGACCCACCAAGCAGTGCCCAGCCCATCTGCACTACTTCACTCCAGCTGAGTCTTGCTGATTTGTATTTGACTGGTGTGGTGGGTCATTGTAGATGTAAACCTGACTGGGTTAAGGGATACCCAGATAACTGGTGGCACATTATTTCTGGGTATGTCTGTGAAGGTATTTCCGGAAGAGATTGGCATTTGAATCAGTGAACTGAATAAGGAAGATCTGACCTCACCAATGTGGGCAGGCACCATCCAAAGGGCTGAGGGCCTGGATAGAACACAAAGGCAGAGGAAGAGAGAATTTGCTCTCTCTATTGCAGCGGGGACAACACCCTTCCTCTTCTGCCCTTGGACATCAGAACTCCAGGTTCTCAGGCCTTCATACTCAGACTGAGCCACACAACCAGCTTCCCTGGTTCTCTTGTGGACAGTATATTTTAGGTCTTCTCAGCCACCATAATTGAGGGAGCCAACCTCCATAATAAATCTCTGATAGACGTAGACTCATGCACTATATAATGACATTTTTGTCAACAATGGACTGCATATACAATGGTGGTCCCACAAGATTATAAAGGAGCTGAAAATCTCCTATCATCTAGTGATGTTGTAGGTGTCATAACATTGTAGCACAATGCATTACTCATGTGTCTGTGGTGATGCTGGTGTAAACAAACCTATTGCATGGCCAGTCATATAAAAGTCACATACAATTATGCACAGTGCATAATACTTGATAATAAATGACTATGTTACTGCCTTATGTATTTTCTGTGTGATATGGTTTGGATCTGTGTCCCCACTAAATCTCATGTCAAATTGTAATCCCCACTGCTGGAAAAGGGGCCTGGGGGGAGGTGATTGGATCATGGGGGTGGTTCCTTCATGAATGGCTTAGCACCATCTCTTTGGTGCTGGTCTCATGATAGAATCCTCATGAGATCTGGTCATTTAAAAGAGTGTAGCACCCCAGCCTGGCCAACATGGTGAAAACCCATCTCTACTAAAAATACAAAAATTAGCTGGGCGTGGTCGTGAGTGCCTGTAATCCCAGCTACTCAGGAGGCTGAGGTAGGAGAATCGTTTGAACCCAGGAGACAGAGGTTGTAGTGAGCTGAGATCGCACCATTGCACTCCAGCCTGGGCAACAGGGTGAGACTCCGTCTCAAAAAAAAAAAAAAAAAAAGTGTGTAGCACCTCCCCAGCCCATTCTTGCTACTCTAACCACGTGACGTGGCTTCTCCCCTTTCACCTTCCACCATGATTGCTAGTTCCCTAAGGTCTCCCCAGAAGTGGATGCCGCCATGCTTCCTGTATAGCCTGCAAAACTGTGAGCCAATTAAACCTCTTTTCTTTACAAATTATCCAGTCTTAGGTATTTCTTTATAGCAATTTCAGAATGAACTAATACACTGTGCTATACTTTTTCTTATTTTAGAGTGTACTTCTTCAAATTATAAAAAAAGAAGTTAACTGTAACTAGCCTCAGGCAGGCCCTTCAGGAGGTATTCAGAAGAAGGCATTGTTATTGTAGGAAATGACAGCTCCATGCGTGTCATTGTCCCTGGAGACCTTCCAGTGTGTCAAGATGTGGAGGAGGAAGACAGCAATATTGATGATCTTGACCCTGTGTAGACCTAGGCTAATGTGTGTGTTTGTGTCTTCATTTTTAACAAAAAAAAAAAAGTTTAAATGTAAAAAATTTAAAAAATAAAAAAGCTTATAGAATAAAGATATAAAAAAGAAAATATTTTTATACAACTACTTAACGTGTGTTTTAAACTAAGTGTTATTAGAAAAGTCAAAAGGTAAAAAAATTTGAACATTTATAAAGTACAGTTACAGTAAAGTAAGGTTAATTATTGCAGATTTAAAAAATTTTTAATAGGCTGGGTGCAGTGGCTCATGCCTGTAATCCCAGCACTTTGGGAGGCCAAGGCGGGTGGATCACCTGAGGTCAGGAGTTCGAGACCAGCCTGCCCAACGTGGCAAAGCCCTGTCTCTACTAAAAATACAAAAATTAGCCAAGTTTGGTGGCGCATGCCTGTAATCCCAGCTACTCAGGAGGCTGAGGCAGAAGAATTGCTTGAACCCAGGAGGTGGAGACTGCAGTGAGTGGAGATTGTGCCACTGCACTCCAGCGTGGGCGACAGAGCAAGACACTGTTTCAAAAAACAAAAATTAATTAATTTAGCGTAGCCTATGTACACAGTGTTTATAAAGTCTACAGTAGTGTACAGTAATGTCCTAGGCCTTCACATTCACTCACCACTCACTCGCTGACTCTCCCAGAGCAACCTCCAGTCCTGCAAGTTTCATTCATGGTAAGTGCTCTCTACAGGTGTACCATTTTTTATGTTTTAAGCCATTTTTTTACTCTATCTTCTCCAGGTTTGGATGTGTTTAAATACACAAATACTTACCATTGTATTACAGTTTCCTACAGTATTCAGCACAGTAACATGTCATACAGCTTTGTAGCCTTGAAGCAATAGGCTCTATCATATAGCCTAGGTGTATAGTAGGCTATACCATCTAGGTTTGTATAAGAACACTGTGATGTTTCCACAATAATAAAATCGCCTAAAGATGCATTCTCAAAATGTATGTTTGTTAAGCGATGTATGACTGTGTATCTATCTATCTATCTATCTATCTATCTATCTATCTATCTATCTATCTATCTGCCTGCCTGCCAGCCTGCCTATCTATCTATCTATCTATCTATCTATCTATCTATCTATCTACCCACCTATCTATCTATCTGCCTGCCTGCCTATCTATCTATCTATCTATCCATCCAGTGGGTTCTCTTTCTCTGGAGAAACCTAATATAGCTGGGTTATTTTGTCTTCCTGACCCCAGCAGAGGGCAGAGGTAAAGAGTGTGAGGCCCTGAGCTATTGAAAGCCTGAATGACAACAGCAGGAACCTGCCAGCTCAGTTGAGAACCAGAAACATACAGAAACAAGTGCAAATTAGACACCAACCTGTGTTACCTCAGCATTCAAAGCTGATATTTATGTTAAATTATGTCCATTGTTTTCTGAAATAAAATGTTTCCATTCAAAATGGTTAAAATTTTGGCTGTGTGTTGTGGCTCACGCCTGTAATCCCAGCACTTTGGGAGGCCAAGGTGGTTGGATCACTTGAGGTCAGGAGTTAGAGACCAGCCTGGCCAACATGAGGAAACCCTGTCTCTATGAAAAATACAAAAAAAATGGCCAGGCTTGGTGGCTCACGCCTGTAATCCCAACACTTTGGGAGGCCGAGGTGGGTGGATCACTTGAGGTCAGGAGTTCAAGACTAGCCTGGCCAACATGGTGAAACCCCATCTCTACAAAAAATACAAAAATTAGCTGGGCGTGGTAGCTCTTGCCTGTAATCCCAGCTACATGGGTGGCTGAGGCAGAAGAATCATTTGAACTCAGGAGGCAGAGGTTGCAGTGAGCCAAGGTCACACCACTGCACTCAAGCCTGGGCAATGGAGTGAGACTGTGTGCAAAAAAATAGATAAATAAAAATAATTCAAGTGATTCTCCTGCCTCAGCTTCCCAAGTAGCTGGGACTACAGGTGTAAGCCACCATGTCCAGCTAATTTTTGTATTTTTGGTAGAAATGTGGCTTAAAAATATATTTGTTTACTATTTTTCCCAACATGTTTGGTTAAACCCATAAAGGTATAAAATTATATAGGTGGTGTGTTTCCTTTAGCTGAGATCCAAGTAGGGGTAGTTCTTTTTGTTGTTGTTGTTGTTGTTGTTGTTGTTGTTGTTTTCAGATGAAATCTTGCTCTTGTCCCCCAGGCTGGAGTGCAATGGCACCATCTCAGCTCACTGCAACCTCCACCTTCTGGGTTCAAGCAATTCTCCTGCCTCAGCCTCCCGAGTAGCTGGGATTACAGGTGCCTGCCACCACACCTGGCTAATTTTTGTATTTTAAGTAGAAATGGGATTTCACCATGTTGGCGAGGCTGGTCTCAAACTCCTAACCTCAGGTGATCTGCCCGCCTTGGCCTCCCAAAGTGCTGGGATTACAGGCGTGAGCCACCATGCCTGGCCAAGTAGGGGTAGTTCTTGGGGATCCCTGTCAGCGAAGCCCATGCTTGAATTTTCTTTTCTTTTTTTTTTTTTTGAGATGGAGTTTCGATCTTATTGCCCAGGCTGGAGTGCAATGACACGATCTCAGCTTACTGCAACCTCCACCTCCCGGGTTCAAGTGATTCTCCTGCCTCAGCCTCCCAAGTAGCTGTGATTACAGGCATGCACCACCACGCCAGGCTAATTTTGTATTTTTAGTAAAGATAGGGTTTCACCATGTTGGTCAAGCTGGTCTCAAACTTTTGACCTCAAGTGATTCACCCGTCTCAGCCTCCCAAACTGCTGGGATTACAGGTGTGAGCCACCGCACCCAGCCCCATTGTTGAAATTTGATATGACAAAGTCTACTCAGTTTTCTCTCTACATCTGCTTTCTCTGTATCATAGACTCCTGTCTTCTGTTATCATGCCTGAAAAGGCAGGTGCAGCCAAGAAATCAACACTAAGAAGTTCTTTTTGGATGCTGATATTAGCTAATAGAAATCTTTATGGTGTATTTAAGCAAATCTTGGTTTTCTCCCTAAAGGCCATTTGGGATGCCAAGGCGGGCAGATCACTTGAAGTCAGGAGTTTGAGATCAGCCTGGCCAACATAGTGAAACCCCATCTCTACTAAAAATACAGAATTAGCTGGGCATGGTGCTGCATGCCTGTAGTCCCAGCTACTCAGGAGGCTGAGGCAGGAGAATTGCTTGAACCTGGGAGGTGGAGGTTGCAGTGAGCTGAGATTGCGCCACTGCACATCAGCCTGGGTGTAAGAGCAAGACAATGTCACACACACACAAAAAAAGAAAAAGAAAAAAAAAAGAAATGCAGAGCCTCATGCCCAACCAGACCTACTGAATCTGAGTCTACATTTCTTTACCTTTTTTTGGGGGGGGGGGGGGACAGAGTCTTGCTCTTGTTTTTAAACAATTAAAAAAAAATCCATTGGATAACTCACAGACTCTCCAGAGGCTAGAGAGCCAGATTTGGTGATGTTGCCATCAGGTACAACACCCACATCACTCCAGAGAGGGGACGAGCCCAGTGCCTGGGTTACCAGGCACCAGGCAAGAACAGACACCTGCACTGCTAACAGTGGGCAGCTGACTTCACAGCAGAGCCGCCAGAGAAGAGTCCCACGAAGAAGAGGAAGAGATCACATGAAGATGGAGGCAGAAATTGCAACTATGCAGTCACAAGGCAAGAAACAGTGGAACAATCAGAAGCTGGAAGAGACAAGGCAGAATTCTTCTTTACAGCCTGTGACGAACTCAGCCCTGCCGACACCTTGATTTTAGACTTCTAGGCTCCAGAATTGTGACAGAAGAAGTGAGTGTGGTTTCAGCCAACAAGTTGTTTTTTCTTTTTTTGTAATTTGGTCATTTGTTGTGACAGACACAGGAAACTAATACAGTTGGTGGGGGCAGGGGGTGGGCCTGGGCCTTTGTACTTTTTTTATTTTTTAGAGACAGGGTCTTACTGTCACCAAAGCTGGAGTGCAGTAGCATGATCACAGCTCACTACGGCCTTGACCTTCGGGGTTCAAGTGATCTTCCCACCTCAGACTCTAAAGCTGGAGGAGCTGAAACTACAGGCACACACCACCACACCCAGCTAATTACAAAAGTTTTTTTCAGAGATGGGGTTCTCACTGTGTTGTCCAGACTGGTCTCAAACTCCCAGGTTTAAGTGATTCTCCTGCCTCGGCCTCCCATAGTGTTGAATTACAGACTGAGCCATCATGCCTGGCCACATTTGTACCCTTTTTTTTTTTTTTTGTAAAGACAGAGTCTCACTCTGTCACCCAGGCTGAAGTGCAGTGGCACTATCTCAGCTCACTGCAACCTCTGCCTCCTGGGTTCAAGTGATTCTCCTGCCTCCGCCTCCTGAGTAGCTGGGATTACAGGTGCACGCCACGCCGCCTGGCTAATTTTTTCTATTTTTAGTAGAGATGGGGTTTCACCATGTTTCCCAGGCTGGTCTTGAACTCCTTACCTCAGGCAATCTGCCTGCCTCGGCCTCCCAAAGTGCTGGGATTACAGGTGTGAGCCACAGTTCCCGGCCCACATTTGTACCTTTTTAACAGCTTCCTAGGTGCTTCTAATATGCATCCAGGATTGGGGACCACTGGAATAGGGCATGTCAGAAGCATCTCCCTCTGGCAGTTTTCCTCAGCTTAGGGTCTAAATGCTTTTGCAATATCAAAATGTCTTCTTTTTAATTTTTAATTTTATCTTTTTTTAATACAGGGTATCGCTATGTTGCCCAAGCTAGACTGGATCTCCTGGCCTCAAATGACCCTCCTGTCTCAGCCTCCTGAGTAGCTGGGATTACAAGCACACACCAGTGTGCCTGGCTATCATAATGTTTTCTTAATTCTATTTTTATCATTTTTAGCAGAGTAAATATTTGATACACTATGAGAACAGCCAGGGTAAATAAACTTGATGGTAAGAAAATAAAAAGCTTTGTGAACCTGCATATAGGTATCTATATCTTAAGTAGTTTGTGTCTCTAAGGCTGTTTGGGCTATAACTGCGGTGTTGCTTCTGCTTCTCTGTTTAATTTATAAATTATCCTGCCGCTTTCCTCTCCTGCCTTCCCATCTCCTTCCAGCTGTCTATGTCAGGGGAGTTTATCCCAGGGCTCATTAGCACCTCCAGAAACACTGGGCTGAGGAAGGACAAAGAACAGTTCCTGTGGCTGCTTTGTCATCAGGGCTGATGAAGTGTTGAGTAGGAGAGGAGCAGAGGGCCGCAGTGAGGTTCTGATGTTTTGTCCTGTATCTGTGTCCCTGGACAGTGAGATGCTGTTTCTGAGGTCTACTTGCCTTTCAATCTAGCCCTGGGGGAGGAGATGCCAGAGAGTAATGAGGAGGCATCTGTATTACAGGTAAAGGGATTCTGTTCCTCTTCTATGGGAGTCTGGAGTAACTGAACTGACATTCTGAGAGTTTCCAGGTGGCTGGATGCAATCCAAGTCTGATAGTCTCTGAAGCCTGAGGCTTCTCTACCATACCCTGCTTCTTCAGACAAATAGATAGAAAGTACTCATCCACGTGACAACATGGATGACCCTGTCTCAAAAAAATAAAAAATAAAAAAATGTACAAAGGCCCAGGCCCCGCCCCCGCCCACCAACTGTATTAATTTCCTGTGTCTGTCACAACAAATGACCAAATCACACACACAAAAACAACAACAACAACAAAAAAAACTTGGCAGAAACCACACTCACTTCTTCTGTCGCAATTCTGGAGCCTAGAAGTCTAAAATCAAGGTGTCAGCAAGGCCGAGTTCCTCACAGGCTGTAAGGAAGAATTCTGCCTTGTCTCTTCCAGCTTCTGATTGTTCTGATGTTCCTTGCCTTGTGACTACATAGTTGCAATTCTGCCTCCATCTTCACATGACCTCTTCCTCTTCTTCATGGGACTCTTCTCTGGGTATCCCTTACAAGGACACGTGTAGTTGGATTTAGTGCTCACTGACTAAACCGTAATAATCTCATCTGAGGTCTTTAATTATATCTGCAAATATCCTTTTTCCAAACAAGTTAAATTCACAGCTTATAGGATATGAACATACCTTTATGGGAATGACCACTTAACCCACTACATATAACCAAGTAAATCAGAGTGTTTAGGGTGAAACCTGGGCATTTGCTTTTACATATATATATATACAGGGTCTCCCTCTGTTGTCCAGGCTGGAATGCAAACACAGCTCACTGCAGCCTTGACCTCCTGGGTTCAAGTGATCCTCCTGCCTCAGCCTGCCAAAATGCTGGGATTACAGGTATAAGCCACCACGCCCCACCAGCATTCTTTTTTTTTTTTTTTTTTTTTTTGACACAGAGTCTCGCTCTGTCGCCCAGGCTGGAGTGCAGTGGCACGATCTCGGCTTACTGCAACCTTCGCCCCCGGGATTCAAGCAATTCTCCTGCCTCAGCCTCCCAAGTAGCTGGGATTACAGGCGCATGCCACCACGCCCAGCTAATTTTTATATTTTCAGTAGAGACAGGGTTTCACCATATTGGTCAGGCTGGCCTTGAACTCCTGACCTCGTGATCCACCCGCCTCGGCCTCCCAAAGTGCTGAGATTACAGGCGTGAGCCACCACGCCCGCCCAGAGCAGGATTTGTATTTTTTAAAGGTCCTTGGGTGATTCCAAGGTTCAGCCAAGGTTGAGAATCATTGATCCACTTGAATTGCCATGTTGTGCCCAGCAGAGGTCCTGGGTACAAACAGACAGGAAGCCCAAAAGAGAGACCAAAGGATGTTTCTGGCCCCCAAACACATGAAAAACTGAGAGAGATCAAGTGGACTGCTTGATCTGTCTTTGAGGGCTATGCTTCAAAAGTGGAAATCCCCATGGAATAATGTAAGGAATGCCCAGTAGGATGGGAGAAGCTTCTAGGGTTTTTGTTTGTTTCTTTGTGGTTTTTGAGGGGTGAAGGTCTCCTCCCACCTAGGCTGAGGTGCAGTGGCATGATCATGGCTCACTGCAGCCTCAAACACCCGGGCTCAAGCAATCCTCCCACCTTAGCCTCCTGAGTAGTTCAGACTGGAGGAGCGTGCCACCACACCCAGCTAGGTATCTTTTAAGAACTGGGGGTCTCATGATGTTGCCCAAGCTGGTGTCAAGCTCGTGGGCTCAATAGATCCTCCCACCTCAGCCTCCCAAAGTGCTGGGATTACAGGCATGAGCAGCTTCTAGTTTTTAAGGTTTAGAATCTGTTCATAGGAAAGAGTGTTGCTAAAGCTTAAAGAGAAGGTCTTGAAGTCAGATAAACCTGGTTTCAAATACCACCTCTTGTCATTTTCTTGCTGTGTGACCTCGAGCAAGCTACATAACCTCTCCACATTTTAGTTGCCTTGTCTCTCAAAACAGGGACAAGACAGCAGCTGCCCTGATGTCTGTTACTGAAGATGTAGTTATCAATGGGATTGAGAAATGACGACCCCAACTCCCAAGGTGTTGACTCTTCAGATACATAAATAAATGGAAAACAATGAGAAAGAAAGTAAAGTGTAAATCCTTCAGCGATTTTTTTTTTTTTTGAGACAAAGTCTCGCTGTGTCACCCAGGCTAGAGTGCAGTGGTGCAATCCTGGCTCACTGCAACCTCCACCTCCCAGGTTCAAGCGTTCTCCTGCCTCAGCCTCCTGAGTAGCTGGGACTACAGGCATGCACCACCACACTGGGCTAATTTTTTTTGTATTTTTAGTAGAGACGAGATTTCCCCATGTTGTCCAGGCTGGTCTCAAACTCCTGACCTCAAATGATCCACCCACCTTGGTTGGCCTCCTAACGTGCTGGGATTAAATGCGTGAGCCACCGCGCCTGGCCTCCTTCAGTGATTTTTATCTGTAATAGCTAAAATGAAAGTAAAGGAGAGTGCTGGGGCAGATTCTGGTGCTGTGCCATGCTTGGACTTCAGCTGGTCAGAGCTATGGTTATTAGTCTCAGGACCACTCTCTAATAGAAAAATGGTGCCTGAACAACAGATAACACTGTTGCAAAGTCAAGATGGCAAGCCTGTGCAAACCCAAGAAACTACTAAAGCAGAGGATAAAATGTGAAGGAATGTCTCATTTATTGATCGACATCTGCAGCTTCCTGAGGAAGTTTTACCAAAATGGATTGTGAGACTGGCTGAGGAGCAGCCTTCTAGACTTTGAATGCTGCGGACTAGAAGAGCATGTCTGGATTGCTGCAGGACCCACAGCTTATTATGGAACGATAAAAGATGCCTGTGTATGATCCCAACACATGACAGGTTGTCTCTGAGGGGTCAGCCAGCCTGCTGGAATGGAGAAATGCCGCTGTAGTTTGTTTACCCTGAGAAGGTAAATCAACATTTCCCTCCTTTACATGCTAAGTGGCCTCCCAAAATGAGGCAGCTGATTTGCCACATATCCAATCCCGGCTGTACTGGCTTTATAATGATCAGGTTGTTCATCCCCCTCATATGTCCCTTAACCAGGTCACAGCACCTAGATAGTGATGCAGATGAATGCCCAAATTGGAGCTCAGCCCAGAAAAGTTCTTGGCTTCACACAGAAAAGAATTCCTGAGCAAACTGACAGAGTAAAGTGAAAGCAAAGCAAGTTTATTAGAACAAGAGAGTACAAGAAAATGGCTGTTCCGCAGACAGCACAGGCTTCCCCATAGGCAGAGAAGTAGTCGGGTATTGCTGGGGAGCTGTGTTTATAGCTACTCCTTCATCATAAGCTAAATAAGGGGCAGGTTATTCACGAATTTTCTACAAAAGAGGTTGGGAGTTCCTGAGACTGAAGTTCCTCCCCTTTTAGATCACGTACAGTAACTTCCCAGGGCATCGCCATGATATTTGTAAACTGTCACTTGCTGGTGGGAGTGTCTTTTAGCATGCAAATGCATTACAGTTAGCGTGTAATGAGCAGTGAAGGCAACTAGAGGTTGCTTTTGTTGCCATCTTGGTTTTAGGTGGTGTTGGCCAGTTTCTTTACTGCATCCTTTTTGACCAGATCCTGTTTCAATCAGCTGGGTTGTGACCAGTGTTCAGAAAACAAGTCCTGCTGATCTCCTGCCTCAGTGTGATTACGCGAGCTCCTTTTGCACACGAATCCCATGGAAACTTACTGCTGCAAAATCAAGCGCAGTTCAAGACATCATACCAGATTTGTTATCTCAGCTTCCCCTCATGGGTCTTACAGATGCCAAGAAAATGATGCCCAGTCACAAAAGGAATGGGCAAAGTCAAAGGAAATAGTCAAGGGACTTATCCCAGCAGGGTGGAAATTTTCAAATATTAACAACTGGGATGGGCCAGGCACGGTGGCTCACGCCTGTAATCCCAGCACTTTGGGAGGCTGAGGCGGGTGGATCACTTGAGGTCAGGAGTTCAAGACCAGCCTGGCCAACATGGTGAAACCCTGTCTCTACTAAAAATGCAAAAATTAGCTGGGTGTGGTGGCGCGTGCCTGTAGTCCTAGCTATTCAGGAGGCTGAAGCAGGAGAATCACTTGAACCCAGGAGGTGGAGGTTGCAGTGAGCCGAGATCTCACCATTGCACTCCAGCCTGGTGACAGAGCAGGACTCTATCCCCCCAAAAAAAAAAAAAACTGGGATGAAAAAGCTGAATATTGATGATTCAAAAGAAATATCTTATTGCAGCACTATGGAAGGTTCAGTGGACTCACAGGTGCCCCTGCTGGTGTTCCAACATTGAAGGGCTCTAAACAGATCTACCCTATTTACCTGAGTTTGCAGGAATTTGAAAAGACTGAACACAAAGATGAAAATGAGAAATCCAGCTGGGTGCGGTGGCTCACGCCTGTAATCCCAGCACTCTGGGAGGCTGGGGTGGCTGGATCACGAGGTCAGGAGTTCAAGACCAGCCTGGCCAAGATGGTGAAACCCTGTCTCTACTAAAAATACAAAAATTAGCTGGGTGCAGTGGCAGGCACCTGTAATCCCAGCTAGTCAGGAGGCTGAGGCAGGAGAATTGCTTGAAACCGGTCGGCAGAGGTTGCAGTGAGCCGAGATCACACCACTGCACTCCAGCCTGGGCGATAGAGTGAGACTCCGTCTAAAAAAAAAAAGAGAGAGAGAAATCTGACCTCAAATCATGGGGCTAGTGATCAGACACATTAATCAGAACAAAGACTGATGCAGGGGTCAGGGTCCCTCGGCCTGATCCTCAACAGCAGACCCGGGGCTTGTGCATATGTGTGAGGATAGTGGACATGGGGTAGAGAAAAACTTCTGAGAGTCCTTCCCACAGGATCCCAATGCATTATGTTATCAAAACCTATCGGTGAAGTCCTAATTGGGTGATAGTTTTCTAGGGAGCATCTGGGGATATAAAGACTGATGAGATGAAGGTGAAAGTTTGGATGAAAATTGGAACGTTAGGACGGACTTCATGTGAAGTGCTTGTGTCTCCTCTACCTAAGTGTATTATTAGGTGGAATCACATCTGACTGGGAGCACTTCCCATTCCTAGTATTATAAAATCAAAGGTATGTAAGTTTGCCCTTCTGCAATCATTAACTGGGCATACTAAATGGGAACCTATAGAATTGCCTGAGCCCACATAGCTTGTTAATTTGACACAGTGTCGGATGAATCCTAGTAGACAAAAAGAGAATACCACTTTAATTGCTGACATGTTAGAAGTTGGAATGCTGGTACTAATAAATTTTCTGTACAAATGTCCTGTGTGGCCCATGAAAAGGGAAGTGGCTCATCAAGACTACAGTAGATTTTCCAGACTTGAATAAAGTAGTCCTGGCCGGGTGCAGTGGCTCACAGTTGCAATTCCAGCACTTTGGGAGGCCAAGGCGGGTGGATCACCTGAGGTCAGGAGTTCAAGACCAGCCTGGCCAACATGGTGAAACCCTGCCGCTACTAAAAATACAAAATTAGCTGGGCATGGTGGATTGTGCCTGTAGTCCCAGCTACTCAGGAGGCTGAGGCAGTAGAATCGTTTGAACCCGGGAGGCAGAAATTGCAGTGAGCCGAGATTGCACCAACTGCACTCCAGCCTGGGCAACAGAGCAAAACTCCATTTCAAAAACAAACAAAAAAAAATAAGCTGGGCATGGTGGTGCATGTCAGTAGTCCCAGCTACTCTATGGAGGCTGGGGGCAGGAGCTTCACTTGAACCTGACAGGCAGAGCTTGCGGTGAGCTGAGATCACACCATTGCACTATAGCCTGGGCGACAGATTGAGATTCTGTCTCAAAAAAATAAAAAATAAATAAATAAAAATAAAGTAGTCCTGCCTACAGCACTAGCAGTTCCTGATATGGTTTCAATAGTGCAAAAAATACAATGTCTTGCAAAAGTTTTTTCTGTATCACAATCTTAGAAAAGAGTCAAACACGATTTGCCTTTATGTGGGAAGGATTCCAGCCTACTACATTGTATTGCCATATGGTTATTTGAATTCACCAGTTTACTGCTGTGTCAATACGCTACATCGCTAATGCTACAATCACATCACAAACTGAAAAACAAGCCAGGATTGACTTTAGTGCAGTAGTGACAGTCATGACTAACACAGGCTAGTTGACCAATCCAGCAAAGATCCCAGAGTCCATATCAACAATGAAATTCTCAGGAATAACCTGGGCAGGAGCTATCACATCCCACAGGCAGCTAAAATAGACTGCTTTTGTTACCTACCACTGGAACTCAGTGAGAAGCACAGTGTCGGGTGGGTTGTTTGGATTTGGAAGACATGTTCTGCATCTGGAAAGAGTGCGAGCTCCTATCCATTAAGACTGTCTGAAGGAAGCCTATAGTTGAATGGGAGCCATCATAATAGCACTCTATGACTGAATTTCAAGAAGTGATGTCTAGATATATATTAGGCCCTTATGGTCCACTCTGATATGACTTTGGAAGTTTAAGTTTAGTCAGCACTCTTTTTTTTTTTTTTTTTTTTTGAGACAGTTTCGCTTTTGTTGTCCAGGCTGGAGTGCAATGGTGCGGTCTTGGCTCACTGCAACCTCTGTCTCCTGGGTTCCAGTGATTCTGCTGCCTCAGCCTCCCAAGTAGCTGGGATTGCGGGCGCCCACCATCATGCCCGGCTAATTTTTGTATTTTTAGTGGAGATGGGGTTTCACCATCTTGGCCAGGCTGGTCTTGAACTCCTGACCTCAGGTGATCCACCTGCCTGGGCGTCCCAAAGTGCTGGGATTACAGGCGTGAGCCACCTCACCTGGCCTCATTCAGCACTCTTATCTGCAGGCTTCATATCTGGAAACTGAAGGAACCTCAGGTCTAAATATTTGCTGCTGCATGTGATAGCTCACACCTGTAATCCCAGCACTTTAGGAGGCCAAGTCGGGTGGATTACTTAAGCCCAGGAGTTCAAGACCAGCCTGGGAAACATAATGAGACCCTGTTTCAAAAAGAAACAAGATTCAAAAAGAAACAAGATTCAAAAATAAGCATGGTGTGGTGGTGTGCATCTGTAGCCCCAGCTACTTAGGAGGCTGAGGTGGGAGGATTACTTGAACCTGAGAGATGGAGGCTACAGTGAGTCATGATCATGCCACTGCACTCCAGCCTGAGCAACAGAGCAAGACCCTGTCTTAATACATAAATATATATATATATACACACACACACACACACACACACACACACATATATATACACACATGAAATATTTGGAAAATGTTTTAAAAACAACAATAAAAAAATACAAATTTTAAAATAATAGAACAACTATTTCCATAGCATTTTCTCTGTGTTAGTTATTGTTAAGTAATCCAGTGATTTTTTAAAGTATAGGGAAGGATGTACATGGGTTATATGCAAATGCTATGTCATTTTAAAAAGATACTTCAGTCCCTTGTGATTTTAGCATCCTCTTAGGGAGGGGTCCTGGAACTAATTCCCCACAGATACCCAGGGACACCTGTATCTGAAATTGCATTTCCACAGACTAGATTCTATGGTAAAAGCCCATGAGTGCTGCCTAATGGTGAGCACTTGAATTTTGGACCAGAAAATTTCCAGATGGGACAATACGGTATGTCTCATTTCAGAGACAATTATTGGGTTGCTATTTTGGGGGGCATTAATTGAAACTGCTCCTATGACTGAAGCAGTCTATGACTGAAGAATAAAATATTCTTAAGATCTGAAATACCCACGATGTCTTGGGTGATGTCAGAGAAACACTAATGAGGAAGTTACTGCCCAGAAGAGCTGACTCTGTAATAAAATGGAAATGGTTTATACAGGAACATGATACTGGAGGAATGCAAAGAGGTTTGCATCATATTCACAAGCAGGTAGGCTCATTACCTCTAGGACCAACTTTGGAACCATCTGAGGAGCTACCAGATCCTATTGACATGTGGCTGATGATGCCTCATGAACACCTCTCCACTGACCAACAAAAATCTCCTTGGTTTACATTAACACTTCTAAAGTAGATGGTCAGCATCCTGTTTGGAAAGCTCGCCAATGTAACCAACTGATGGTAAAACGAATTGAAGAGGTTGAAAACAAGTAAAGCTCAGTGAGCTGAACTGCATGCTATTTTCCTTGCAGTGATGGAAGACTTCAACACTTACAGCCCTGAAGTCTAGGTGCATTCCAACTCATGGGCATTGGCCAATAGCTGGCCATGTGGTCAGGAAGAGGAACAATGGAAAACTGGATTGTTAAAGGGGCGTCCGTATGGAACATGGCCTTATGGAAATCATATGGGAATTTAAGGGATGCATTAAATAGGATATGTTAATGCCCATCAGAAAAACCTTTTTCCCAGACTGGAAAGTGATTGGAACCCCAAGTGGATATCATGGTACACCCGAGGTGGCCAACTGGGCCCATGAAATGAGTGGACATTGGGGAGCAGCCGCCATGCAGAGAGGGGTGATCACAGACACATATTCTTCTGCACCCTCAGAAGCATAAAATGCCAACAAGAGCTGTCCTGTCTGCCAGCAGGAAAGACAGAGACTGCGGATGATTATAGGGCAGGTTTCCTGCAGGGAAAGTCCCTGATGCAGAGCTTAGAGATAAGCTATATGATGCCATTCAGTGCTGGTCACCTTGGAAGACTATAAAATGGTCCTGACACGAATAGACACTTGCTCCCAATTGCACTTTCCATACCCAGTAATAGACGCACAATGCTTAAAACACCATAAAAGGAATGGAACAAAAATAGTGTACCATGTAGAACCACTGGCTTACATTTTTTTAAACCAAGCAACGCACTTCACAGCCCGTAGTGTCCAACAGTGGGAAAAGATATCACACAAAAGGGACACCAAATGGGACAGTGAGCTGGCATGGTGGGGAGTGAGTAGGGTTGTGAGTGGGGTTGGTGGGGAGTGGGAAGGGGATTGAGCAGTACGGAGGTTCTACTTAAAATGCTGGACCTCACTAGTGTGCTTCAGGGATTCTTTTTGCTAAGATGCCTTCTAAAAGAACTTGAAACTTTTCATGCATCCTGTGGTAGATGTATTCTGTTTTTGTTTTTGTTTTTTGAGACAGAGTTTCGGTTTTGCCACCCAGGCTAGAGTGCAATGGCGCAATTTCAACTCACTGCAATCTCCACCTCCCAGGTTCAAGCGATTCTCCCACCTCAGCATCCCAAGTAGCTAGGATTACAGGTGCGCACCACCACACCCAGCAAATTTTTGTATTTTTAGTAGAGATTGGGTTTCACCATGTTGGCCAGATTGGTCTCAAACTCCTGACCTCAGGTAATCCACCCACCTTGGCCTCCCAAAGTGCTGGGATTACAGGCATGAGCCACCACGCCCGGCTGATAGATGTATTTTGGTTTATAATAGTATATGGGCCTGTGAGCAGATTCCTGACTGTGTGAACAAAGTAGAAACACTTGATATAACGATAGTCTCACTGCATTCTTTCCCACATCCATTTACTTAACTTTTACGGGGTGCCTGTGTGCCAGGCAGGACCAGGTGGTGACCACTGCCATGGTCTGACCTGCTCAGGGAAGTCGCTATGAGGCATGAGGGGCCAGGCCAGGAAGAGCAGGGCATTAGGAGATGCCAGAATAGGGAGGTGTGAAGTGCAGCAGGAAGGCTGAAGAAGAGCAGCAGAGACATGTATGCAGATGTGCAGCTGTTACCACGACACCAGGGCTTCGGCCTGGGTCCTGCTGCTCACAGCACAGAAAGCCAATCGCTGAGAGGTGAGCATTGCCAGAGAAGAAGGGTTTAGTTGGGTGCTGCAGCCATGGAAGTAAAAGATCACGCTCAAATTTGCACCCCTAACCAACTAAAATTAGGGGTTTATGTAGCAGGGGAGTAATGCAACCATGTGTGGGAAAATGAGAACTCAGGTGGATTAAAGAAGCAGTCATGAAGAAGGAGGGACTAGATGTCTCATTGTCTGGAGCCGATGAGCTGCTAAGCCTCAGGTCTTTGACAGTTTTTGAGAGGCCTGGAGGTCTTTTGCTGAGGAAGGAGCTCAGATAAAACAAGTATAGGTTTCTAGCTTTTAGATCAGAAAGGTAAGTTTCTAATTTTAAAAAAACTGCCAATGGGACTATTGGGTCAGTTTCAGAGAAAGTCAGGTGGATGTCAGCTGGCATGTGTGGGCTCTGGCATCAACTGTAAATCTTATTTCCACTATTCTGTTTCTAAAACACACATAAACCTTTGAATATTTTAATAAAAGATATCTAGAGAAAACACTAATTTTTTTTTAAATACACACCATATTTTCCAGCCATACATGAATATAATTCTAACTCCTTGGTGACTAATAGGTAACATTTCATTTTAAAAATGCTTCTCTTGGCTGGGCATGGTGGCTCATGCCTGTACTCCCAACACTGTGGGAGGCCAAGGCAGAGGGATGCCTTGAGGCCAGGAGTTCAAGACCAGCCTGGGCAACATAGTGAGATCTTGTCTCTAAGAAAAAAAAAATTTTTTTTTTGAGAGGGAGTCTCACTCTGTCACCCAGATTGGAGTGCAGTGGTGTTGAGAGGTGACAGCGTGCTGGCAGCCCTCAAAGCCCTCGCATCCCTCGCTCACTCTTGGCACCTCCTCGGCCTCGGCGCCCACTCTGGCCACACTTGAGGAGCTCTTCAGCCTGCCGCTGCACTGTAGGAGCCCCTTCCTGGGATGGCCGAGGCTGGAGCCGGCTCCCTCACCCTGCGGGGAGGTGTGGAGAGAGAGGCACGGGTGGGAACCGGGGCTGCAGGCGGCACTTGCGGGCCAGCTAGAGTTCCAGGTGGGCGTGGGCTTGGCGGGTCCCACATTCGGAGCAGCTGGCCGGCCCTGCCGGCCCCAGGCAGTGAGGGGCTTAGCACCCGGACCAGCAGCTGTGGAGGGTGCGCTGGGTCCCCCAGCAGTGCTGGCCCACTGGCGCTGTGCTCGATTTCTCGCTGGGCCTTAGCTGCCTCCCCGCGGGGCAGGGCTCCAGACCCGCAGCACACCATGCCTGAGTCTCCGCCCCGCCCCCTACCTTGGGCTCCTGCGTGGCCTGAGCCCCCGCCACGAGTGCCGCCCCCTGCTCCACAGCACGGAGTCCCATAGACCGCCCAAGGGCTGAGAAGTGCAGGCGCAGGTGAGGGACTGGCAGGCAGCTCCACCTGTAGCCCCTGTGCAGGGTCCACTGGGTGAAGCCAGCTGGGCTCCTGAGTCTAGCGGGGACTTGGAGAACCTTTATGTCTAGCTAAGGGATTGTGAATACACCAATGGGCACTCTGTATCTAGCTCAAGGTTTGTAAACACACCAATCAGCACCCTGTGTCTAGCTCAGGGTTTGTGGATACACCAATCAGCACTCTGTATCTAGCTAATGTGGTGGGGACTTGGAGAATCTTTATGTCTAGCTGAGGGATTGTGAATACACCAATCAGCACTCTGTATCTAGCTCAAGGTTTGTAAATGCACCAATCAGCACTCTGTGTCTAGCTCAAGGTTTGTGGTTGCACCAATCGGCACTCTGTATCTAGCTAATCTGGTGGGGACTTGGAGAATCTCTGTGTCTAGCTCTGGGTTTGTAAATACACCAATCAGCACTCTGTATCTAGCTAATCTAGTGGGAACTTGGAGAACTTTTGTGTCTAGCTCAGGGATTGTAAACGCACCAATCAGCACCCTGTCAAAACGGACCAATCAGCTCTCTGTAAAACAGACCAATTGGCTCTCTGTAAAATGGACCAATCAGCAGGATGTGGGTGGGGCCAGATAAGAATAAAAGCAGGCTGCCAGAAGCAAGAGTGGCAACTCCTCCCCTTGCTTGTTGTGGGAGCGTTGTTCTTTCACTCTTTGCGCTAAATCTTGCTGCTGCTTTTTCTTTGGGTCCTCACTGCCTTTATGTGCTGTAACACTCACCACGAAGATCTGAAACTTCACTCCTGAGTCCGCGAGACCACAAACCCACCAGAAGGAAGAAACTCCGAACATCAGAAGGAACAAACTCGCCACATGCCGCCTTTAAGAACTGTAACACTCACCACGTGGGTCCGCAGCTTCATTCTTGAAGTCAATGAGACCAAGAACGCACCAATTCTGAACACAGCATGATCTCAGCTCGCTGCAACCTCTGCCTCCTAGGTTCAAGCAATCCTCCTGCCTCAACTTCCCAAGTAGGTGGGACTACAGGCGCCTGCCATCCAGCCTGGCTAATTCTTTTTTTTTTTCTTTTCTTTGTTTTTCTTTTAGTAGAAATGGGGTTTCACCATATTGGCCAGGCTGGTCTCGAGCTCCAGACGTTATGATTTGCCCGCCTCGGCCTCCCAAAGTGCTGGGATTACAGGGGTGAGCCACTGAGCCCGGCCAGAAAAAATGTTAAAAGTAGCCGGGAGTAGGGACCAGGTGCAGCTTGCACGCCTATAATCCCAGCACTTTGGGAGGCTGAGGCGGGCGGATCACGAGCTCAGGAGATCGAGACCATCCTGGCTAACATGGTGAAACCCCGTCTCTACTAAAAATACAAAAAATAGCTGGGCATGGTTGTGCAAGCCTGTAGTCCCAGCTACTCGGGAGGCTGAGGCAGGAGGATCACTTGAACCTGGGAGGCGCAGGTTGCGGTGAGCTGAGATGGTGCCATTACACTGCAGCCTGGGTGACAGAGCAAGACTCTGTCTTGGAAAACAACAACAACAAAAAAACATGCTTCACTCTTCAGCTGTAATGTATTACTGAGTACCTTTAAAAATCTAGCAAGATGCTAGGAATAGCCACCCCTGAGGTGAGACTTCCACTTCTTTATTTCTGGTTCCCAGTGTTTTATTTGGCATGGTGGAGAACTGGTTTTTGTTTGTTGTTTTCTGAAACAGAGTTTCACTTTGTGGCCCAGGCAGTGATACGATCACAGCTCGCTGCAGCCTCGACCTCCCCGGCTCAAGTGTCGTCCTATCTCGCCTCCCAAGTAGCTGAGACTACAGGTGCATGCCACCACACCTGGCTAATTTTTTTTTTATTTTTATGTTTTGTAGAGATGAAGTCTTGCCGTGTTGCCCAGGCTGACCTCAAACTCCTGAGCTTAAGCACTCCTTCTGCCTGGGCTTCCCAAGGTGCTGGAATTACAGGCATGAGACATCACCCCCAGCCTGATACTTACTGACAAATTGAGGTAATACGGGAGGTAATACGGGAAATAAGAAAAAGCAATCCATATCTAAACATTTCATTTTAAATTCAATGCTCTTTTGGTGAATTTTTCCACATGTATCTGTTTTGTTTTTTGTTTTGAGTCTTGCTCTGTTGCCCAGGCTGGAGTGCAGTGGCTCGATCTCAGCTCACTGCAAGCTCTGCCTCCCAGATTCAAGCGATTCTTCTGCCTCAGCCTCCTGAGTAGCTGGGATTACAGGCACGCACAACCATGCCTGGCTAATTTTTGTATTTTCAGTAGAGATGGGGTTTTGCCATGTTGGTCGGGCAGGTCTTGAACTCCTGACCTCATGATCCGCCCGCCTTGCTCTCCCAAAGTGCTGAGATTACAGGCGTGAGCCACCACACCTGGCGCACCTGGCTTTTTTTTTTTTTTTTTTGAGATGGAGTCTCGCTCTTGTCGCCCAGGCTGGAGTGCAATAGTGCAGTGGCAAGAGATTTCGGCTCAGTGCACAACCTCTGCCTCCTGGATTTTGAAGTGATTCTCCTGCCTCAGCCTCCTGAGTAGCTGGGATTACAGGTGCCCACCACCACGCCTGGCTAATTTTTGTATTTTTAGTAGAGATGGGGTTTCACCATGTTGGTCAGGCTGATCTCAAACTCCTGACCTCATGATCCGCCCACCTCGGCCTCCCAAAGTGGTGGGAGTTCAGGCGTGAGCCACCGTTCCTGGCCTTTTTTTCTTTCTTTTTCTTTTTCTTTGAGATGGAGTCTCACTCATGCATTCCAGCCTGGGCCACAATGGCACGATCTCGGCTCACTGCAACCTCCAACTCTCGGGCTCAAGCGATTCTCCTGCCTCAGCTTCCTGAATAGCTGGGATTACAGGCACCCCCCACCACGCCCAGCTAATTTTTCTATTTTTAGTAGAGATGGGGTTTCACAATGTTGAGCAGGCTCATCTCAAACTCGTGAGCTCAGGTGATTCGCCCGCCTCAGCCTCCCAGATTGCTGAAACTACAGGCGTGAGCCACTGCGCCCAGCCTTACATACATCTTGTTTTTAAAGCTCTTCACTCTTGGTATTATTTATTTATTTATTTATGTTTTGGAGACAGGGTCTCACTCTGTTGCCCAGGCTGGAGTGCAGCAGCACAATCTTGGCTTACTGGAACCTCCACTTCCTGGGTTCAAGTGATTCTCGGGCCTCAGCCTCCTGAGTAACCGGGATTACAGGCGCATGCCACCACCCTCAGCTAATTTTTGTTATTTTTTTTAGTAGAGACCAGGTTTCACCATGTTAGTCAGGCTGGTCTCGACCTCCTGACCTCAAGTTATCCGCCCACCTTGGCCTCCCAAGGTGCTGCAGGTTGCAGGCATGAGCCACCGCCCAGCCTGTTCCTGGTATTATTTAAATTGTATATTTTTTCATTGTCAAACAATTAGAAAATTTACAGTTGGAATTGATATTTAGATTGGCTTGCAGTGTAGCTTTCTGCTGTTGTTTATCAGGGACTAGGTTTCTCAAGTGTTGCTCAGAGAATTGGCAAGTGTCTTAAGAGTACCTAGGGGGTTGGTGCCAGATGGGCTGGCGGTCCACATTGTCTGAGTTAGATATTGGAGTTGACCACTTACCCCCAGGCACCTTCTACTCAAACGATCATAGTTAGTGGGATATTGACAACTACTATGGAATCTGCATCTTTGTACACAGCACAGGGCCTGGAAAAGAGTCAGAGTTCAGTGAATATTTACTAGGCTGGCTGAGATTCCTGCAAAAGCCTTACTCTGCTATGAGGTTCTCAGGTGGATGCCGATTATGACTTAAAGTTCCTGCATAGTTCACAAATTCTATTCACATGTGGTACAGGTAATTTTAAGAATTCAAAGCTGGGCGTGATGGCTCATACCTGCAATTCCAGCATTGTGGGAGACCCAAGCAGGAAGATCATTTGAGTCCAGGAGTTCGAGACCAGCCTGGGCAACATAGAGAGACCCCCCCCATCGAGACACACACACACAGCCAGGTGTGGTGACAGCGCCTGTAGTCCCAGCTACTCAGGAAGCTGAGGTGGGAGGATCACTTGAACCTGGGAGGTGGAGGTTGCAGTGAGCCGTGATTGTGCCATTGCACTCCAGTCTGGGCAACAGAGGGAGACCCTATCTCAAAAACTAAATTAACTGTTGTATCTATGTTTTCCTATCAAATTCTATCATTGGAACTTAGGGCCCTTTTCATCAAATCCTATTATTTACACCATCCAAAAAGAATTTATTTGATGGAATGAAACCACTGTGGGTCCCCTGTGGTTCTAGGATACAGCACCTTTTAACACAGGTGCTTGTCCTGTGCACCCTGATCTCTCGTTAAATAACATTTTGTCACCTAGGCCCTAGGGTCTGAGAAAAGGAGACAGTGTGAGCAGCTCTCATAGAGGATGAGCAGAAAGAAGTCAGAAATCTGAACAGGATCAACCCAGGCTCTGACCTTTCTAGAGCTTTTCCCCAGCTCTGCCCTGCCTCCCTTCCTCCTCGGTGTCCTCCCACTCCCGGGTGACAAGGGTGCTGTGTGCTCCCCTGTGGTTTACCCTGCAGAGGAAATTCAGTCATGCCCAGGTTTATTCTGTGTCACTGCAGTCTATTCGCCACAGAAACTGAGTTTTCATCTCACTGAGTGACCTCCATGGGCTCATGTAGCGCCAAAGGCCTTTTGTGTCACAATCATTTTTTGATTATCCATTTAGTGGCATTTCCACAAGAAGAATTTGAAAGACTAACAAAAACAAGTAATATTTCTTTTGATTATAAAAATGGTCTTAGGCCAGATGTGGTGGCTCATGCCTGTAATCCCAGCACTTTGGGAGGCCGAGGCAGGCAGATCACTTGAGGCCAGGAGTTCGAGGCCAGGAGTTCAAACCAGCCTAGCCAACATGGTGAAACTTCGTCTCTACTAAAAATACAAAAATTAGTTGGGTGTGGTGGCGCATGCCTGCAATCCCAGCTACTTTGGAGATTGAGACAGAAGAATCACTTGATCCTGGGAGGCAAAGGTTTCAGTGAGCCAAGATCACACCACTGCACTTAAGCCTGCGTGACAGTGAGTGAGACTCTGTTTCAGAAAAAAAAAAAAGAGGAAGAAATAAAAGTAATCTTAGTTTTAGAAGATTTGGAAATCCTAGGAAAGCAAAAGGAAGAAAATAAAATTATCTTTAGTTCATGTCTGGGAGGAACTGTTAGGATTTTGTAGTATACTCCTGTTGGATTTCTATTTAGTCATATGTAACAAAGGCATACTTTACTAAGATGTGAATGTACTGGACATTTTGTTCTAATCTTCCTTTTCACTTAAATGTATTATCAGTATTTTACCCTATCAGTCATTTTTTCTACCATGTTTTATTTTTTGTTTTTTATTCTTTTTTTTTTTTTTTTTTGAGACAGGATCTCACTTTGTCACCCAGGCTAGGGTGCAGTGGCATAATCATAGCTCAGTGCAGCCTCGAACTCCTGGGCACAAGTGATCCTTTCACTTCAGCCTCCCAAGTAGCTGGGACTACAGGTGCATGCCACCATGCTCAGCTAATTATTTTAAAATTGTTTTGTAGAGTCAGGGTCCTCCTGTGTGGCCCAGTTTGGTCTCAATTTCTTGGGCTCAAGTAATCCTTCCACCTTGGCCTCCCCAAGTGCTGGGATTACAGGTGTGAGCCACTGTGCCTGGCCTTCCACCATGTTTTTAGAAGCTGTATATATTTATTTTATATGTTAGGGAATCATAGATGTTTAGTTATTGAAGAAATGAGTTAATGTGGAAAATAATAAAATATGATACATATCTAAACACTTCATTTTAAATTTAAACAACAGCATATTCACTTTGCAATCTTTTTTTTTGAGATAGAGTCTAGCTCTGTCACTCAGGCTGGAGTGCGTGGAGTGCAGGGTCGCAGTCTCAGGTGAATGCATCCTCAACTTCCTGGGCTGGAACAATCCTCCCACCTCAGCCTCCCAAGTAGATGGGACTACAGGTCCATTTTTTTGTATATTTTGTAGAGACGGGGTTTTGTCATGTTGCCCAGGCTGGTCTCGAATTCCTGGACTGAAGTGATCTGCCCGCCTCAGCCTCTGAAAGTGCTGGAATGATAGGCATGAGCCACCGCACCCAGCCTTAGTTTGCAATCTTTTGTCTATAGACATAAAACTCATTCTTGGAGAGTCGATCCACTTCTTCCAGTTTCTTGTTTAAACCATAGCTGAAATGTCCAATTTTGATTTCTGTCGAATGGATGAATGGATACAGAACGTAAAATACCTTTTTCTTTTTTTTTTAAGACAGAGTTTTGCTCTTGTTGACCAGGCTGCAGTGCAATGGCGAGAGATCTCGGCTCACTGCACAACCTCTGTCTCTTGGATTCAAGTGATTCTCCTGCCTCAGCTTCCTGAGTAGCTGGGATTCCAGCCCCCCCACCACCATGCCTCACCATTTTTTGTATTTTTAGTAGAGACAGGGTTTCACCATGTTGGCCAGGCTGGTCTCGAACTCCTGACCTTAGGAGATCTGCCTGCCTCAGCCTCCTAAAGTGCTGTGATTACAGGCACGAGCCACCACGCCTGGCTTAGAACATAAAAGACCTTTAAAGACCCTTAATGCAACCTCCTAGATCATGTGCAAATTTTTCCAAGCTAGGCCAGGTGTGGTGGCTCATGCCTATAATCCCAACACTTTGGGAGGCTGAGACAGGAGGATCACTTGAGGTGAGGAGTTCGAGACCAGCCTGACCAAACATGGAGAAACCACATCTCCTAAAAATACAAAATTAGCTGGGCATGGCGGCACATGCCTGTAATCCCAGCTACTTGGGAGGCTGAGGCAGGAGAATCACTTGAACTCAGGAGGCGGAGGTTGCAGTGAGCTGAGATCGTGCCACTGCACTCCAGCCTGGGGGACAGAGCAAGACTCCATCTGGATGGGTGGGGGAGGGGGTGGAGGAGCTTTTGTGGGACCGTTCAGAGGAACACAAAAGAAGAGAGATTGTGCTGATGCCCTTCATCCCATCGCTGTCTTAAATAACTGTGCATGGCCAGGGTAATCATTTTACTAAATAGTCATTACATATTCTAGTTTGTATCTTTCAAAGAGAACTTTTTTTTATTTTTTTTTAATTTTTTGAGACAGAGTCTCTGTTACCCAGGCTGGAGTGCAATGGCAAGATCTCAGCTCACAGCAACCTCCGCCTCCCAGGTTCAAGCAATTCTCCTGCCTCTGCCTCCCAAGTAGCTGGGATTACAGGTACCCACCACCATGCCCAGCTAATTTTTGGTATTTTTAGTAGACATGGGGTTTTGCCATGTTGGCCAGGCTGGTCTCGAACTCCTGACCTCAGGTGATCCACCCAACTCAGCCTTCTAAAGTGCTAGGATTACAGGCATGAGCCACCACATCCGGCCTCAGAGAACTTTTAAAAAATAACCCAAACAGTTAACAATAATTCATTATTATTGTCACATAGGCAGTGTTTGGAGTCCCCAGGTTGTCTCAAAATTGGAACAGCTTGTTTGTATCAGGGTCTAGATTATTTTTCAGTGGCTGTGTGGGTATGCTATTTGGATGTACCCTCATTTAATCCATCCTGTTGATGGACTGTGAACTGAATGTCATTTACATAATGAAGCCCTACCCTTCTAAAGGGATGGTGTTAGGAGGTGGGGCCCTTGGGAGGCGATTAGGGATGGATAAGGTCCTGAGGGCAGAGCCTTCGCAATAAGATACATTCTCTTAAAGGAGGCCTCAGCATGAGCTTGTTCTCGTTCCACCTTGTGAGGACTCAGCGAGGAGTTGGACTCAGCAACCAGAAAGTGGGCCCTGATCACTGACTTCTACCCTCCAGAACCGTGAGAAATAATCTGTTGTTTGTAAGGCAGGTGTTTTGGTATAGCAGCCAGAAGAGACATCTAGGTAGTTTGCAATAGTTTGTCTTTATTTAATCATATCTGTGATGAATATACTAGAATTGGATTTGGCTCTCATTTCCTCAGGCTGAACCTCCAGCTGGAGTTGCCCTAAAATTGTTGGCAAAGGAATTCCCACATGGGAGTGCCCCAGTCCATGTGGAAATGGGACTTGTTGGGACTCCAAAGAAGGAAGCACCAAGCTCCAGGGCAATTGGTCCAAAGTGTTCATTAGGGGAACTTACTGGGTGCTGTAGCATATGCCTGGATAGACACCCAGAGAAAAGGATGTTCTGCTTAAGCATGTCCCTGTCAAGGGTGTCACGGTATGGAGTTTATAGGAAAGGTTCA